>NC_000008.11:7012556-7314841 GCF_000001405.40 Homo sapiens | reverse complement strand
AGGATGAAAGTGGACAGGAAAGCTAAGAGAGGCTCCAATGCTGACCATGGCACTCTGCAAGAAGAGAAAAAATGTGTATGTAGAGGTTTCTGAGGGAAAATCGTGAGTCTGGTTTTGGATATATATTACTTTTGAAATCAAGTGTCCAAGTAGATATACCAGTTATGCAGTTGGATAATTTATTATAAGCCTGGAGTTCAAAAGGAGGTCCAAAAGGAGAATTGAAAGGGATGAGACTTGCTGAGCCCCTCCAAAGAGTGTGTGGTGAGGGAGAAGAGAAGAGGACCAGGAACTGAGCTCTGGAGCTCTCCTGTAGGAGGTGTGAAGCAAAAGATGAGGAAGAAACAAAGGAAGCCGAAGTGGTAGCTCCAGTGAGACAGGCTGAGAATCAAGTGAATGAGCCGTCCTGGAAGCCAAATGAAGAAAGTATACTGTGAAGAAGGAAGTGATTATTTGTGTCAAATGCTGCTAATAGGTCGATTAAAGTTGTAGTGAAAAATGATCATTGGATCTAGCAATGTGGAGATTATTCATAACTTTGACAAAAGTGGTGTCAATAGCATGATCGAAAAAGGGGGAGAGAGCCTGATTGGGATATATTTAAGAAACAATGAGAGCTTGATTGGGATATATTTAAGAAACAATGAGAGGAGAGGAATTGAAGACAGAGAATATGGACAACTATTCTAAGATGTTTTGCTGAAAAGTAGAGCAAAAAAGGGGAGGACAGCTGGCATCAGAAGAAAAGCAAGGAAATTCTTTTTCTTAGATCAGAAAAACAACAGCATATTTGTATGCTGATGGTAATAATTTACTAGCATCAAAATTGATGACACAGTCATGATATAGTGAACTGCAACAGGAAAATCCCCAAGTACACAGTGAAGACGGAATATACACAAATTTAAAAATTATTTGAATCTCTGAAACATCTGTTTTGATATTAACCTTTCATTCCTGCAATAGTTATTTTAAGCATGTTCTCATTTTCTCTTGTTCAGTGTTGCCAGGTTATTATAAAGTGTATTAGACTTTTTGAAAAACATTTTTTAAAATACTGTTTTTTCTCATTTGTTTCATTAATTTATATTTTGTATTTATAATTTTCCCTTTATCTTCTTTAGGTTTATTATGCTGTTTTTTTTTTCCAAAAGCCCCCAAAATGCATGCTTAGCCCAGTAAATTTTAGCCATTTTTGTATTGAAAGTTATGTTACCCATTTCTGTGTGGTTACCTGTAATATACCTTGAGCAGCACTTGTTGGTGTCTTTGCTCCTTATTAATTCACTTGTCTGAAGTTCCTTTAACTCTCCTTTCTACTCTTCAGTTGCACTTTGAAAATCATTTTTTATTCATAACCACATAAAACATAATTTATTTTGAAAAGTCTCTCATATAATTTTCATTTATTCTAGGATTATAGTTTTTCTGTTTCTTCGAATAAAACCTTCAGATTTGTCAACACCCATTTAGAGTAGCTCCTATTGATAGGATACCATCCATCTCTTTTGACCTATTAAGTGAATATAATAATAGATGCCACCGAAATTCAATCCTGTCAGATCTAACTGCCTGCATATAAATTTCCATGTCCCGCAAAGGCATCTCATTGAGGTCATGTTCTGTTGTATCCTTACTTTGTATCTTGAGGTGCTTGGTGGGGCATGGAAATTTACATGTAGGCAGTTTCATCTGACAGGATTGAATTTCAGCAGCATCCATTATTATATCCACTCACTAGGTCAAAAGACATGGATGGAATCTTATCAAGAGGACATACTGCTAAATGAGTCTCTTTTCTATTTTTCCCTATTATAATCCTAGTGAAGCTGTAAATATTAGGTTCTTGAACCCACAGGACTGATTCTAGGTTCTTGTCTGGCCAGGGATATAGCATTCTCATCTGCAGAACCTTATAGTAATGAGCTACCAACTTACCTGGGGATAAGAGAATTGAAAAAAGAAGGAGAATAAGGAGAAGCAAATGGAGTCTCATGGCTGAAGGGCCAGCATCAATGTGGGTTGAGCCTGGAGTCTCTGGGCATCGTGGGTCTAGGCCTTTTTATGATGCTCTCTGAGTCTGTGATTTGTTCTTGGTCAGTAGAGCCTAACGAAAAGAGAATAACTAAATCTCCCACGGGAAACTTCCAGGGACACATAAGTACATAAAGGTGGTGATATCTCAATGGATGAGAAAGCAGGTGAATGCTATTTATTTCCCAAAGATTCAGGATGTCTTTATTGTCACCTGCTTTCTTTATTATTTTTGACATGCATATGCAATAATCATTGATCTCACTTTATACATCTATTGTTTGCCAGGCAATATAGTAGGAACTGAAGTAAAATTGTTATACACAAAAAGTACATAATTAATGGATATAGTTTGGCAAGTTTGCACATAAGTATTATCTTGTTACCACACCAATATCCAGGTAATAATATATCCATCACCTCCAAATGTTTCCTACGTCCCTTTGTTGTGGTTGTTGTTGTTGTCAGAACCCCTAAGATCGACCCTCTTAACAAATTGTTAAATACAAAATACCTTATTGTTAACTATAAGTACTATGGTTTGGAGCCTATCTCTGTAATTGATTCATTTTTTATAGCTTTAACCCTTGAACAATAACTCCCCATATTGCTCTTTCCCCACTCAGTAAAACACCAAACTCTTTTAAAGCACATTCTATATAATCCACTTTATGAAGCTTTTCCTAACACTCTTCTATCTGTTCCCCCCCCCCACCCAAGTAAAGGGAACTACTAATATAACAATTACCTATTTTGGATTATTGCATCTTTTACAAACATTCCTTCATGAACCCATTTAACACTTATCTCCATTATCTTATTATGAAGTAAAATAAAACTTGACTTGATTTTAAAAATGAAATCACAAAAGAGCTTTGTAAAATTATGATGTACCATTGCTTATTTGTAAGAATTCAAGTTACACTAGGGGTTTTTAAAAATCTTTTGTTTTTATTTGTTGCATATTGTAAGCACAGTGTCTTTTCCAGCTATTTGCTTTGGGAAGGAAAAGTTAGAGTTACAATGAACATCATAGGCTATCTTGTCTAGTCACTTACATTACAGATGAGGAAATAAGCTGAGGGAAAGGAAGAAACTTGCCCAGGATCACCCAGTGATCTAGCGAGGAAGGCGATAGGGACAGCACTAAGGCTTGGTATTCTGAGCCTCATTCTATTTTCTCCTCTTGCCCCTTCTCTGTTTCCTCCTCTCTTCCCCAGACTTCCAGAAAAACTTTACAGTTCTGCTGCAGTGTCTACCTAAGGACATCCAGAGGAGACCTCACTTTTCATTAGACTGCTTTTTTAAGCACTGTCTTGCATTTTCTTCTTCAGTCTTGTTTTATCCCATTTATGGCTATAAGTAATGCTTCTGCTGTGCTGTTCTATCCAATTAGTTTCTTCTATTTTCATTGAGAGAAAATTAAAACAAAAAACCATTAGTTTATCTAAATTTGAAAGTTTTAAAACTTGATTAGAATTTCCTGGGATATGGATGTAAGACATATATTTTAAAATATTTTTCATTTTCAAAATTAAAAATCAAACCCATATATTTAGCCAGGATGACTACTTGATAACTACTAATCAGATGGGTCTTCAGCAACGCCACAAGAATAAAAATCTTATAAATCAATTCCCTGGTGTTATGTGCTACTGAGTTAATACAATTTGATATGATATCACTTTTAAGCAGGCTTTACGGAGTCACACAAAGGAACAGCACAACAG
The DNA here is from genome assembly GCF_000001405.40 of Homo sapiens. NCBI lineage: Eukaryota > Metazoa > Chordata > Mammalia > Primates > Hominidae > Homo > Homo sapiens. Next base: position 7,311,077 of record NC_000008.11, on the reverse strand, counting down.
AACCATAGGGTGGAATATATAGGGAAAGCTGGGATGTAAAACCCAGCCTTGACTCTGACACTTACTCCACTGTTGGGAAAAGCACTTCAGTTCCCAGAGCCTTAATATTTTCCTCTATAAAACAGGAAAAATAGACCCATATTTAAGGTTTTGTCAAATCTTGTTGCTGAGTGATTTTACAGTGTCTGCAGCTATCCTCTCTGCTAATCATAACAAGGCTAACAAACTGTTCTTTTGTTTAGTTAAAGATATTTTTGCATTTGTTTACAAATTGTTATTCTTCCCTTCACAGAAAAGGAAACATTTTAAAGGTAATTTATAAAAGGTTAAGAGTCTCTTACATATCAACTCTTCACAATGTGACAGAGTAGCTTAACCCCATCCCTAAGAGTATAGTTTCAGATCAGCCCCAAACCTATGTGGAGTGTGGGATACAGAATATATTTCAAACACATGCAAAGGCACGCACATGCACACACACACACACACACACACAGTATTACCTAAGGCAGAGGTGCAGATGACAATCTTGGATAGACAGCTCAAAACTCTTAGTACTAAAATAATCCTAATAATAATTTTCCTTCCAAAGTCACCACCAACAATCAGATCTCTTAAGGGTTGGTGACTTAGGTTTTCGAACCTTGTGTATCTTTTGGCTTTTTTTTTTTGGTTGTGTGCTATTTATCTCATACAAAGAAACCTCTTCTTCATCCTATGCAAGTGCTGTATTGTAGGGGCTTGTTGACGTCTTCCTGGTATGTAGCAATCCAGGTGACTGGCCTCTGGCTTCTTAGGAGCAAGGCCATCACATGCTTTTTTTCTTTGTCTGCTTGTTTCCTTGTAAGGGCCCCACATACAGTGGGCGCTTAACAAAAATTTGATCAACTGAACTCATTCTCCATCTCCATTATCTCCATTTCAATCTTTCCCTTTTACTTCTTCCAGATTAGTTTTCCTACAGCAAAATGGGAATTGTCCAAAAACTGCCCTTCATCTTTATAACTTGAAGGATTCATTTACCCTAAGCAGTCCTTTTAAATTTACTATCACAGACTAGATAGAAAAGTCTGGGTTCACCAAGAATAGGCATGTGTGCCATCATATTTTCTGTTGAAAACTTTGGAAAGTGTCTTTTAGCAAACAACATAAAGCATAGAATTTGACCATCCCTGACAATGTAAAAGGACGATCCGCATTCTTACACGTCCATGGCTACTTTCCCACTCCTTCCCCAACCTTGAAATCCTGAATTCAAAAGAAAATATGAGAAGATAGTTTGCCTCATATAAGGCAACATGTTGCTTAATCTTTCTTGCCTATACAAGTTCAAGAGCTCCAGAAAATTTTCTGATCTACTTAGGATGCCTGATCATCTTCTTGGGTAAAAGCAATAAGTCCTACACAGAATCACCAAAACCATGTCTGTTCAAGGGGTCTTATACCTGTGATTCATGATTGCATGCTCAATGCAGAAGGGCATGCTCTGTTGCAGGGTCATATCTGGTCATTGTGTTTAAGTTCTAATTTAGAAGACTAGTTGCTGAGGAGGAAGAGGGAAGGATAATGTTAGGAAATGGAATCAAACTTAAGGGGAAAAGTCAAGTACAGGGGACCAACAGTACTGAGGGGCAATAGGTTGAAAATTTCTTAGATAATTGCAATATTTTCAAGGAGGCCCCACGAATCCTTCCTGGCTGACCCCACCAAAGCTTTGGCATAGCCTTTATGCCAAATGTCTTAGACTAACTAACTTTTCCAAAAGAAAATAGAGGAGTTATGGAGACCAATATTTAGTAGAATAATGCCTGATTATTTTGCTTTTGAGGTCTAGTAACTGCTAGTAAACTTGCCTAATTAATTCACATTTAGAAGTAGAGTAAAGAGGGTTTCAAGCACTTGAAACACCACTGACTTCATTTCATGTGAGAGTTGCTATGGAGAGCTAATGAACTATGAGGCTGCAGGTCTCTCAGCCAATAGGTCTTCTAGATTTCCTATGTGACTCCCTTTTCTGGTCATAGGCGATTTTGCTTTTGCTTTGAGTATTATAGCACCATAATGTGTCAGACACTCTACTCTTACCAAGCCTTACACAAAGTTTATCCTGTTATTTGGTGGAGCTTGGCTCATAAAAAAAAAAAAAAAGACAGAATGATAAAGAGGAAGACAGCAATCCTCATGGCTGAGGAAAGAAGAAAGCTTGGCTTTATTTCCAGTAGGCAGAGAAAACTTCCGTCTGTGGCTCTCTAGCACCAGTGGAATGTCTTTGTTTGGATAATAAGTGTCCTTCCATACCTCATTAGGCATATTCACAGAGATGTACTATGCACACAAAATGACCTTCATGAGACGACTGAGAGTCCATGTTTTATTGGACACTAAGTTCATTAGAATGATGTGGGTGCACAGTTTTGACCAGAAAACCTTGTTAAATGGGAACATAAGCTACAAATATTTTGGCAAAAGATTAAGGTTTATGAACAAACAACCATTTATATTGTTACAATTAATTAGGCCATGTTGAGAAACCGTTTAGTTTAATGATTAGACATTTTGTTAGTGAACACTTCCCAGACTTTACTTGCCCTATTAATCCCCACTTTGCCCCTGGTCTGAATCCCCACAGTGCCTTGTTTATGGTACAGTGCCTACTGCCTTGTATGTTAGATTAGTGAACATATATTTGCCCCCTCTACTACTGCAGGAGCTTCTTGTTTGCCAGGACAGGGCTATATTCCTCAGAGCTGAGGAGGAGTTGAATCATGTGGTCATTTATTCTCAAATCCTCTTCATCAAGTGAAGCAAAACAGGACAGTGAAAGGTCACTGCACATGGAAGCAGGATGTCTGGATTTCAGTTCTAAATCTCTAGATGTATTACTAACTGGAGGTATGGATAGAGTCAGGAAAATTTTCTTCCTTAAGTTTTGGTAGCACCTATGTAGGTCCAGATCCGTTGGATCTAGATAAGGGGATTCTCAATAATTACTGTGCATAAAATCAACTGAAAGTGTTAGTTTGCAATGCAGATTCATAGCCCCATTCTATGAAATATTTACTGTTTTATAAATTGATAAATAATTTTTATTAGACAATGTAAATTTCCTTACTTGCACCAGCATACAAAAGTATTGAATAATATTAGCAGCAGAATCTTTCAACAAAATAACTATGTATCTTTATTAAACCACTTTGTTTCACTGCTTTTTATTTTCTTTTATGTATCACTATTGTGTTCATTATTATCATCATCACACATTATTGAACACCCATCATGTACCATATGGCACAAACATTGTTTCTGCTCATAAGGAGTATATATTCTCTACATGTTTATAAAATTAATGCCTGAATAAGTTTGCTTAAGCAAAGCAGAAGTTGATTTCTTTTTCACTTAAAATTAACCTGTAGTTATACCATTCAGGGCTAGTACAGATACTTTCTAATATCATTAGGGATGCAGGTCCCTTCCGGCTCTCTGCTCTGCTATACTTTAGAAAAGGTCCTAGTTTGGCTGCTAAATTCCCACCTATTATTCCTGAACTCTAGACAGCAGGGAGAAAAATCCATGAGAGAAGGGCAAAGGAACATCTACCCTTCCTTTTTAAATTTTTTAACCAACCCCCCTTAAAAACACTTTGTTGAGACATGATTACATTCAAAAAGCTGTACCTATTTAATGTGTATATCTCAGTGAGTTTGAGAATAAGGATACATTGTGAAAGCATCACTACCATCAAGATTATAAACATATTCATCACCTCCCAAAGTTCTCCCTCCCATTCTAATTATTATTTTTATTGGTAAGAATAATTAACATAAAATTCACCCTCCTATTATATTTTAAGTATGCAATGCAGTATTCATAGCTATAAGCACTATGCTATAAATTAGACCTCCTGAACTTATTTATGTGATATATCTAAAACTTTGTACTGTAATCACACCTACACACTTACCTGCACCACAGTTCTTGGTCAGTCTACCCTCTGCTTCTGAGTTTGTTTTTTTGAGATTTCAAATACAAGGGGAATCATACAGTATTTGTCATTCTGTGTTTGGTTTATTTCACATGACTTCATGCCTTTCAGATCCATCAATGTTGTCACAAATGACAGGGTTTCATTATTATATAATACTGAATAATATTCCATTGTACATATATATATATATATATATATATAAAACAATAATTCAGCCGTCCATGAATGAATGATAACATGTATGTCTTCTTCATAGATCTTGACTATTGTGAGCAGTGCTGAAAGGAGCATAGGAGCGCAGATAACTCTTTCACATACTGATTTCGTGACTTCATATATATATATCTATATATCTATATATGTATATATATAGATATATATATTATATATAAAATAAGTGGGATTGCTGGAACAAAATGGTATTTTTATTGTTAATTTTTTGAGAAACGTCCATACTGTTTTCCAAGGTGGCCATACTAATTTACATTCCCACCACCAGTATACAAAGGTTCCCTTTTCTCCACATCCTTACCAACACTTGTTATCATCCATCTTTTTGATAATAGCTATTCTAACAGGTGTGAGGTGATATTTCTTGGTAGTTTTCATTTGCATTCCCGTGATGACTAGAGAGGGTAAGAATTGTTTATATATATGTTGTCCATTTGTATCTCCTTTTTCGAGAAATGCCTGCTCATATATCTTTGTTCATTTTTTACTTTTTCAATTTTTATTTTAGACACAGAGGATACATGTGCAGGTTTGTTACATGGATGTATTGTGTGCTGCTGAGGTTTACAGTATGAATGATCTCATCACACACTTAGTGAACATAATACCCAATAGTTAGTTTTTCAGGCCTTGCACCCAACCCTCCCTCCTCTCTCTAAGAATCTCCAGTGTCTGTTGTTTCCATATAAGTGAGAGCTAAACAGTGTATAACCCAATGTTTAGCTCTCACTTATACATGAGAATATGTAGTATTTGGTTTTCTGTTCCTGTGTACCACACCATACTGGGCTAACTTTTGTATTTTTGGTAAAGATGGGGTAGCTTCAACATGTTGGCCAGGCTGGTCTTGAACTCCTGGGTTCATGCGATCCACCCACCTCACAAAGTGCTGACATAACAGGCATGAGCCACTGCACCTGACTTTCCTGAACTTTTTTAGCTTATATTAGGTTTGTCTGTTCTAGAATTTTGTATACATTTATTTATATTATAGGACACTTTTTAGCTTAGCTTTCCCCAATCGGGGTTAGAAAGATTATATTGATCCATGATCATGATGTTGATTCATAGAGTTGATTTTTCCCCTTTATTGCTAAATATTACTCTATAATATGCATATAATTTATCAATTTCCTCTCAATAGACATTTGAGCTGTTCCTAGGCTTTAGCTATTGTTAATAGAACTCAAGGACACATTTTTAAAAGAAAAAATTTCAACCCAAATTGTCCTTTCCTTTTGGCTCTCCAATATTGTGTCAGAGTTATATTTTTGTTGTCTTGAAAATCCAATTACATTGAAGAGGAGGTGTCTCTAGAATCAAGTTTCAGTATATGTGTGGTCTGGCTGTGTCCTGGAATGTAGCCCTTATTAGTTTTATTAAGCATTTTCCTATATAAATTGAAATCAAGTTGAAGACTCATTTTTCCACAGTAGGACAAATAGAACAGTTTAGGACTTTGGAGAGATAGCAACTTGCTGCTTGCCTGTGCAACCCACCTCAAAAGATACAACTCCTCCAACTTTTGATTTCTGGTGACTTGTCCAAACAATTAGATGTGAATTGACCTTATTCCCTTACATTACTACAAGTCGATATTCTGCACCTGGCCAAATACAGTATAAAATTGATGAGCATACGTTTCTTTTGGTTTCATACATTCTATTTAAAGCTATTCTCTGTGGCTGGGCATTATGGCTCATGCCTGTAATCCCAGCAGTTTGGAAGGCCAAGATGGGTGGATCACTTGAGGCCAGGGGTTTGAGACCTGCCTGGCCAACATGATGAAAGCTGTCTTTCTGAAAAATACAAAAATTTTCTGGGTATCGTGGCACGTGCCTGTAATCCCAGCTACTCAGGAGGCTGAGGCAGGAGAATCACTTGAACCCAGGAGGCAGAAAGTGCAGTGAGCCAAGATCCCACCTCTGCATTCCATCCTGGGTGAGAGAATTAACCTCCATCTCAAAAAAATAAAAAGCTAATCTATACTTTTCTTTTGGTGTATTATTAGAACATAGAAGGCAATAAGGCAAAACTATTGTGGGTATATTAGTGCGTATCTGTAGCACCTAGCACAGTGCCTAGCCCATAACTTGTGTTGAAAATTAAGAGAACCTTCTTAATATCCTTTTCTATACTCTAGTTCTGAATTTAAAGAAAGAAAAAGGTAGGTTAGCAAATATAGGTATCAATTATTTCTATTGACAGATCATTTGGACAACATGTTTTTGGGTGTGGGAGAAAAAAGATTCCTAACTCTCCACCCCAGAAATAATTTTGCTGATACAAAAATCAGCCAGACATGGTGGCACATGCCTATAATCCCAGCTACTTAGGAGGATGAGTTTGAGGATAAGGATACATTGTGAAAAAGGTGGGAAAATCACTTGAACACAGGAGGCAGAGATTGCAGTGAGCCAAGAGTGCCCCACTGCATTCCAGCCTAGGCAACAGAGAAAGACTCTGTCTGAAAGAAAAAAAAAGTTGTTGCTATATAGCACATAATTTTATTGTCATCACATTTAAAATTGAATAGTACATTTGGGTTGAACTCTTATGCCTGCAGAGACATTTTCTTCTGGCTTAAAATCGCTGGCTGTAGGAGGAAACTCCAGCAGAGGGCATCGTAAGGATTTCATAGTGTCTATGGTCATCTTGGTAATTCCTCAAATAATTCCTGGCAATTCTGTTAGGTCTTGAACTTCACTTACTTCTTACATGTTTAAGAAAAAGAAGTTCAAAGCATTGCCATGGCTGTTGAATTCCCACAGGCTTGTCTTCCCTTTGAAATTCATCACATGGTTTGTACTCTTTTGCAGATATAATATGTAAGTTTGGAGGTGGATACTTTCAGCCATTAAGTTCAAAAGTACTGCTACAAGGGCCAACCATGGTGGCTCACACCTGTAATCCCAACCCTTTGGGAGGCCAAAGCAGGCAGATCACGAGATCAGGAAACTGAGACCATCCTAGCCAACATGGTGAAAACCCATCTGTACTAAAAATACAAAAATTAGCTGAGTGTGGTAGTGTGTGCCTGTAGTCCCAGCTACTCGGGAGGCTGAGGCAGGAGGATTGCTTGAACCCGGGAGGCAGAGGTTGCGGTGAGCCAAGATTGCGCCATTGCAGGGCAGCCTGGTTACAGAGTGAGACTCCGTCTCCCAAAAAAAAAAAAAAAAAAAAAAAAGTACTGCTACATGGACATCCATTGTCCCAGCATCTCTGCCATAATAGCTGAGGAATTATTGAGAATGTCTGTTAATTTCTTTAACTCCAAATTTGTGTTATGTCCCTTGGTCTTCTGTCATACCATAAATTGTATTATTCATAAAATGGACACCTTGTTTATAGTTATTTCTTCTCAGCATGCTACATCCCTTTAGAATTTAAACATAGTGTCTCCCAACCTGAAATTGGAAGTTTTGAAAAACCAGAAAAATGTTTTCGGACACCTTTTATTTCCAGCTGTTTTTATGTCCTCTCCTGAATCCAAGTTGAGGGTAAAGTCCATTCACCAGCATTTCTCCTCAACTCACAGCAACCTCATCCCACTCCAACATGATGTTTGTCCCCACAAATTGATGCACATAATTCTTGCTGGCAGTGCTAATGTCCTAATTAAAAAAATCAGGAGATGGCATCAGACTTTACTTTATTTTCTAGCTCAGCAGCATTTGATTCCTGTCTGATGAGGAAACCCTATTTTCCCTAGAAACTTTTCACTTTTGTCACAGGTTTGGTTCCCAGGGAACTGGATATAGATGAAGTTTAGTGTGCAGGATGTATATTAGGAAGTGATGTGAGGATCCACATCTGTGGAAAGGATTGGAGGGAAGCCTTATGTGCAAAGGGACAAGTCTAATCGCAGTGCAGCCTGACATTGTCAGCTGGCCACACGGACAGAGCTGTAGAGCTAAGAAGTCCTCCCCTATTGTCCCAACTGAATCAAATGGCAAAGCCTATGTACCCCTTGCCTCCATTAATGATTGTGTGCTTGCCACTTGTGGAGGATGAGACTTTGAAGCAGGTGGCTTTCTGTGGCTGAAGAAAACCTTAAATGTGCTGACAAAGTTTTCCAAAGAGACAGAGAATGGCATCTGGCATGTATGTTGCCCCTTTCCAAAGAGGAAGCAACAAGGGTAATAGCCTCCAATGGCTCTGTATGCAGATAGGTGGACAGTAATGTCTGTCCCTCCTGTGACCTAAGAAGAACAGATGGCAGACATGCAGCCAGGCAGTTAGAGGTGACACAGTGTTAGGAGATAAACATCTGTCAGAAGCAGTGCTTCTTTGAATCAGGTGTGACACGAGCCTTGCATCCCTTGCATGGACCCCTTCCCCATTATCCTGCTGTCCTACCTCATGAAGGTGGGTGGGGGCTGGCTGGTGAGCAGTCCCAGTACCAGATACACTTTGCCTGCAGTCTTTCCACATGAGTTCCAAGGTAGCCCATGTGATCATCCATGAACGTTGTGTTTTCCTTATGCTGCTTGTCCTTTGCCTTTGAGGAACACGTTTCATTTGACTCTGAGTGCAAACGACACATGTGTCCCTATATCTGGACATTGTCCTTCACTTAGGGGAATCCGTAATCTATATTGCCTTTGTTTTATTTTTACTATTAATATTATAATAATTAACATTGTCATTATTACCTTCATTGTTGATATTCAGTTATTTTTATTAATAGAGTTACTATGAATTATTATATTGTGGCTACTTACACCAAGATGAAGATAATTTATTAGTTCAGGAAGAACCTGCATTCTGAAGGCAAATGGAAGTTCCAGCTACAGATGGGCAGACACATGCCCCCTCAATTCCTGATGGACCTCCTTGTGCCTCATGGACCTAAGGGGCCTCCCTCAATGTTTCAAGATGCCACCAAGGCAGGGATCAGCTAGTGCATTCCTGAGAACATCCAGGATGAATTGAGGCTCTGGAAAAATGCAAGAGTTTCCACATAATCCCAAAAAACCCTACAGGTGAACTGGATGCCACAGAAAGAGGAGTGGTCTTTGTCACAACAAAATCAACAAAATTATTTCGAAGTCAATTAGGAAACTCAGAAATCACTCTTGCTGCCATTAAGAGGAAGAACAGCAGCCTGTGAATGGCATCCCTGGCCTTCCCGAGACTCCACAGATATTTCTATGTGGCTTCAGACACCAGAAATCTCTGTGATTTTCAGAAAGGCAGGGACAGCTCATGCAAGCCCATCCCTCTGCAGAATGTGTCCCAGCAGATCAGTGGCATGGAACCATCATGGACAGCACAGAGGCTCAAGGGCAGCATCCCAGGTGGGCCTGTGACTCTAGATAAGTTCTGAGTCCCCATGGGGGATCAGGAAAGGTTAGTGATGACCTGGAAAGAAGGGACAGGTGGAAACCGCCCCTAAGCAATCTGCAGGATTCCAACTTCAGCAGGAAACCAAGGACCAGCTCGTACCACACCTGCGCCCCCTGAAAACTGGATACAATCCCATTCTGCAGAAAGTTCCACGTAGAAGTGGCTGGGAATTTTGCATTCTAGAATGAATTTTACAGTGCCTCTGGACATGTGATGAGAAAGTTAACATTGGTGTATCTAAGTGACATTTTCCACGAAGTGATTTTTTAAGCTGTTTTAAAACAGACAAAATATAATTAAAACATATGTATTATATGTCAAAGTATGGTTCGCTGGAATCAAGTAGACTCACCTTGAGATACAATCTTGGACAACCTCCATATTCAGAATATCTACTTTTTCAAACCGAAACTCTCCAACCAAAAATCAATAACATCAAAAGTTTGCAACTACAAGCCAACGGAAAATAAATACATGAATTCTACCAAAGTGAATTGGACTGCTTTGGGAAACACAGATGAAGAAAGTCAACACCGCTTTGTCTTTCAGTGCCTGGCTCCCTTTTCAGCTCGTCTTGCGACACCAGACATTATACCTGAAAAGTCTCCCGGACGCCTGTGAGGCTCTAATTCCCTGGGTCCTATTGTCATTTCTCTGGATTTGCAAAGATCCACCTCACCTTCTGTGGAACCCCCATGTCGGTGAACTTTTGGGCCACGGCCCCTAATTCTGCCCATAGTCATCTGGAACTGCACGAGTTAGGGTCCATGTTCCTTGGACGGGAAGAGACAGGCAGGAGTCGGAATGATGAACCAGCACACTGGGGCATTTTCTCATGTAGCCCAAGTGACCCCATGGTCTTCTCGAGCTTTGGAACCAGTCGCGTCCCCCTTGACACTGCACCCGACTCCCAGTTTCTCAATCTTGTTGGCCCTCCGGCGATCTCCCTTTGGATGAATTGCACCTGCTGAAACTCGAGTCCCCTTTGATTTGCGCTTCATTAATTATTCATGATTCAGTTTGGAAGGCCTGCTTACGACTCCCTGTGGCCGTTCTCTGAGCTTTCCGGTCACATCGTTTCCTTCCACGCTCTTTGGTTCATTGTGGTCCTGCTGCTTCTGCTGTCAGAGGAGCAGAGAGTAGATCTTATTGATTCTGGATACGGATACTTTCTAGGTGATCTGGATAATCAAGATAACGACCCTCAACAGCGGCGGAAAGGGAGCAGCCATTCAGTGTGTCTCAGAAAATACCGCTCAGTTCCGAGGCCTCCTAGATGTGGAATCCTGCTCAGAGTTGTTCCCAGGTCAGAGAATAGAGAGAGTCTGTGCATGATGAGATATCCCTGCCTAGATCTTTCAGTGAGTCTCTACCTCAGCTACTCTTAGGATCAGTGGGAGAACCATGGAAAGGCCCGGTGTCAGACATCCGGAAAGAAGATGGGATGAATGTTTTACCTCTGAAGTACATCCCAAATCTGGGAGTTAACTACAGCTTTGCTGGGGACTATTTGGTCAGTGAAACTCTGCCTGGTTCATTCGCACATCCGGAAGCCACTTCACGGGGGGCCGTCGCAACCGGAACCACACACTTGGCATAGGCGGTTGAGCCAAATGGGGACTCGCGGTGCAAGCAACGCTCCCCACGTGTTAGCGTGCGTGAGATTCAGTTGGCGGAATTTTACTAGGTGCGTGTTGGTAGAGTGGGGCTGAGGTTCTCTTTCTCCTGTGGATGTATACGAAGTCAAAGGTCCTGCCCAGCCGTGCGGTCCCCTCAGTCAACTCTGTTTCGGAGACATAACGATTTGGATTGCTAACAAGTCAAGAAATGTTCAAGCCCTTGGATGTAGGGAAAAGAAAGAGAGATCAGACTGTCACTGTGTCTATGTCGAAAGGGAAGACATAAGAGACTCCATTTTGGAAAAGACCTGTACTTTAAACAATTGCTTTGCTGAGATGTTGTTCATTTGTAGCTTTGCCCCAGGCACTTTGCCCCAGCCGCTTTGACCCAACTTGGAGCTCACAAAAACCTGTGTTGTATAAAATCAAGGCTTAAGGGATCTAGGGCTGTGCAGGACGTGCCTTGTTAACCAAATGTTTACAAGCCGTATACTTGGTAAAAGTCGTGGCCATTCTCTAGTCTCAATAAACCAGGGGCACAATGCACCGTGGAAAGCTGCAGGGACGTCTGCCCTTGAAAGTAGGGCATTGTCCAAGGTTTCTCCCGATGCGATACTCTGAAATATGGCCTTGTGGGATAAAAAAGACCTGACTGTCCCCTAGCCTGACACCGGTAAAGCGTCTGTGCTGAGGTGGATTAGTCAAAGAGGAAAGCCTCTTGTAGTTGAGATGGAGGAAGGCCACTGTCTCCTGCTCGCCCCTGGGAGCTGAATGTCTCGGTGTAAAATCCGATCGTACATTTGTTCAACTCTGAGCTAGGAGAAAAGCTGCCCTGTGGCGCGAGGCGAGACATGTTGGCAGTAATGCTGCCCTGTTATTCTTTACTCCGCTGAGATGTTTGGGTGGAGAGAAACATAAATCTGGCCTACGTGCACGTCCAGGCATAGTACCTTCCCTTGAACTTAATTATGATATAGATTGCTTTGCTCACATGTTTTTTTGGTTGACCTTCTCTTTATTATCACCCTGCTCTCCTACTACATTCCTTTTTGCTGAAATAATGAAAATCATAATCAATTAAAAATGAGGGAACTCAGAGGCCGGTGCCGGTGCAGGTCCTTGGTGTGCTGAGTGCCGGTCCCCTGGACCCACTTTTGTCTCCCTATACTTTGCCTCTGTGTCTTATTTCTTTTCTCCGTCTCTCATCCCACCCGACTAGAAACACCCACAGGTGTGGAGGGGCAGGCGATCCCTACACTTGGAAAATCAGTTAAACACAAACACGGAATGAGAGTCAAAAGACAATATGTCATCTTTTTGAGAATTTTATTCACTTCAAAACAAATTCAACACACATATTTACAAAGGCATTCCAGAGCCCAGTTTTCGAGGCTGAGGAAAGACCCCGAGAGCACTTTGCACAGCACGCTTCCCAGCGTCCGAAACACTGCTCTCAAGGCGGAGCACAGAGGAAGGGCTGCACCTCTCAGGGTTCCCTAACTTTTCCCTTATTCAGTCATCTAAAGAGCAAATACACAGTAATTCCCTAGTTTCCTATTGACGTCCCAGCGGAAGTCTGACTCCAGCGCATCACGCAGTTTCTGACGCAAAGAATCACTGACGCGGAAGCTTTTCCTGGTGCGTTTCTGGAGACCCATGCGAAATACAATGTCCCTCACCAGAATTCAATGAGGCAGAGTCCCTGCATCTGTTCTCTGCCTGGCCTGGGCTCCCACATCCACAGAAGCGCGACAGCCGGGGAGCATCGAAGTCAGCGCAGAGTCTGCTCTCTGCTCTGCGCTCCTCAGTCCCACAGTCCCCTCCAAGTCACGGGAGCTGGAGGCCAAGGAGCCCCTGCCACCTGCAGTCTCACTCCAGGTCAGAATCGCTGTCCTCTGAGGAGGAGGAAACCTGAAGGTCCTCATAGAGGACGCTCGGTGGGACACGAACACAGGGAGCCTCAGACTTCTCTGACACATGAGGGCTCTGAGCGAGGAAGGCTCCCGGCTTCTCAGGAGAGTGAAATGAGGGGGCCGCCAGGAGGCTGGAGCTCCAGCGTCCGTTTTCCAGTCTCCGGAAGAGCACTCTGAGAGGCTGGGCCCCATCATGGCTGGCCGCTGGGTGATGGGACATGGTGCAGGCCTGGGCAGTAGGCAGGCAAGGTCTGCGGTGCGGAGGCTGCCGTTCAACGCTGGGCACCTGGGCCGGTGTCCTCCTGCCCATCTGGGGCGACCTACTTGGTCCAAGTTCGGTTGCGGCTGGTGGAGGTTGGAGATTCTCCGGGGCCCCCAGCTCACCTCCCTGGATGGTGCTTTCGGGGATCTGGAAGGGACCCAGTCTCGGTTTCTTGGGGAAGTTCAGGCAAGCCTGAATCGGAGCCTGGGCAGGTCTCTTGGCTCCTGACCCAAAGCTGAGATTGGAGCCTAGGCCCAAGCTGTGTGTGGCGGCTGATGGGCAGGGCTGTGAGGTCACCGCAGGACGTTTGTCTTGTGCCTGGGTTCTGACGGCCTGGAGCAGGCCGTGGGTTTTGGAGGCAGCCTGGGGAACTTCTCGGCAGCTACCCTCAGGGCTGCTGTGTGTCGGCTCCACCACGAGGAGAGTCTCGTGGACCTGGTGCCTGACTGCAGGCCGAGGGATGTCGGCGGCAGCCCCTGTCTGTCTTTCCTTTGGTCCAAGACTTGAGGAGGAGCTCAGACTGGCTTTTCTGAGGGGAGACAGTGAAGCCAAGACGGAGCCCCTGCCAGACATTTCGGTAGCTGAGCGACCAGAGAGGACAGGGTCCATGCGCGGCCTCTTACAGGTTGTGTGGACCGGCATTGGCCCCCTTGCAACCTGAAAGAGAGGAAACAACACAGGTTAGAAGTTCCTCAGCATGGAGCCAACATGAAAATCAAACACATCCAAAGACAAGGTGCACACACCATGAAATTCTTAGTACAGTATCGACAGGCGGTCCTTGGAAGTAGGGACAGACCCTCCACCTGAGTGCTGATCAGGAAAAGACACATGAACGATGCGCTATCGAGCTATGTGTAGCTGATCTAAGCACACCATTGTTCAAAAGATTGCGTCTTGGGCATTAACTGGATCAAAGTGCCTCCACTCAGCCTTCCATGAAGTGGAACGGACTAATGGCTTTCCGAAGGCAGGTTGGTGGCTCAAGGGTACTCGGGACGTCTTCTATGAACACATGCATGTTCCTGGGTTTAGCCTTCTCCACGTTTGCGGCCTCTGAGGGACTAATTTCCTCATGCCGCTAGGAACGTGTTGTTGGCAGGCTTGCCATAATTGGACAGAAAGAAAGCCACAGGAAATACGGCATCTTCAGATGACTTCGCCTGGAATCAAACTGACCTGCAAGGATCGTGGAGGCCCTGACCCCAAGAAGACAAGAAAGAGGGGTTCCCCGATTTCCTCCCGCAGACGGGAAGCTGAAAGGAAATCAACCAGGGTTACCTAGAGGATAAAAGGACCAGGGGCCCGGGGTGACACTCACCCTCAGATAATCAGAAGATTCCGTGGATCCTTTTCCATTCGGCAGCGGCTTCTCTGGAGGTTTCCCGGAAAACATGTGGAGGAGAGCCTTCCTCTGCGGGTCTTGTTGCCTGCAGAACAGAAAAAGGTCAGGCCGTGCCCCCTGGTTTTCCCCAGGAGACAGGGAGAACCCCGTCTGGGGCCCAGCCCCATTCCGTGTCTTGTGATACAGAAATGGAAATCTGGTGCCCTTTCCGCCTCTGCACCTTCCCTCACGTGCCAACCTTCCCATCCTCCAGGTGGCCCTCTAGGCTTCCCAACTAAGGACTGTGATTTGGATTCCATTGCTTTTCCCCCTGTCGTGGGGAACCTGCATGAAGCGCCCCCGCCTCTCCCCGTCCCTGAATCTCCCAGAGCCCAAGGAGCTCCTGGGTGTGGAACCCCGGAGGACACGGAGCTCCGGCCTATTTCTCTGCAGCGTTCCTTCCCTGGCCCGGAGACGGAAAGGCACACGGTGTGCAGGTGCAGAGACACCATGTCCTTAGGAGGCAGTACCCTAAGAGTGGTGAAAACCCCTCCCACTGCTCACCTTGGTCTCTCTTCCTTCTCTCCCTTATCCTTGTTCAAGGGCCCCGGGTTGGCTTCAACCCCAGGCTTCCATGGTTTCAGGTTTTCCTTCCCTTCCTTTTTCCCCAAGGTCGCTGGAACCAGGGCTGCCTTCCAGCACTTCATGGGGCACCTGGTACTTCTGGCCGTGTGGCCAAAGGCCCCGCAGTTTTTGCACTTGAGCTGTGGGTGGAAAGGAAGTGATGTCAGTGAGTGAG
The DNA here is from genome assembly GCF_000001405.40 of Homo sapiens. Taxonomy (NCBI): domain Eukaryota; kingdom Metazoa; phylum Chordata; class Mammalia; order Primates; family Hominidae; genus Homo; species Homo sapiens. Next base: position 7,295,595 of record NC_000008.11, on the reverse strand, counting down.
CTGAAGCCACAGGCAGCGATCCCACGTTAACATTGGGATGGATTGTGAATTCAGAGCTGAATAAGGATTCCAAAGAGGGGACACCGGCATGGGGGCCGTTAAGTGCTGGGAGAGTTCGGATACGATGTTCCCTCGCAAAGCCCGTGTGACGGAGGAACTCTGAAAGGAAGGACTCAAGGTTCCAAGGGGCACGATGGTGAAGCCGATGTCAACAACGCAGCCAAACGTGGCTACACAGGACTCTAAGTAGAAAGGGAGGTTGCCCCCAAGAGTCTCTCAAGGGACCTATCGGGCCGGGGAGAAGGTCCCAAGCCACGCCCACCTTGGATGGGAAAAGCAACCTGGCTGGTGGTGACAGAACTCTTTGGAATCCAACCCAGTCTCTGAGGACCGTGGGACACCCCCTCCCCCCGTCCCCACCCCCACCCCGATACCCAAGAGATCCAGGGCTAGACTTACCCTGGGATCTTCTTCATCGGGCGGGGGAGCCCTTGGCCCAACTGGGGCCCTCCGCTGCTTCTGGAGGGTCTGGGCTCTCACCAGTCTCTTGGCCCAAGATGTGGGGTCCCGACGTGCCATCATCTTCGTCTCCTGGGGGTTTTATGACCGCCTTTTTCAGGGGTGGACTGTTGGGCCACCTGAAACACACACAAACACACACATGTCGATGGTTAAGCACGTTGGATATTCACACACCCACAGGAAGCCACCTGCTAACTCCCTGCCTGTGTGGTCATGAGGAGACCTCACCACCAGTCGGTCAAATCTGTAGAACACAATGTGCTGTGCGCATCCTCGGATATTGTGTGTTCCTCTGCCATGACTACCTAGTCCAAGAGTAAACCCCACCTGCCACAGGGCCCGTGGCCTAGGTATGGGGGGTTGAGCTTTCAACCCCAAACAAACAACTGATTCTGGAGACTGGACTTAGGTCTCTCACGATTCACTCCGGTAGAAGACACGGTGATTCTATCTCCCTTGACGGACAGAATGATCGAAGACACAGGGCATGGCGTGTGCCACCCTTTGGCAGGTCTGCTTGAAGTCAGGGATAAGGGATGCTTCCTGTGACAACTTGAATCGCTACTCTTGCCATTTCATTAGGCAACTTCCAAACACAAATTCATACAGAGAAGTTACCTTCCTCTCTACCGCACTAGCAGGTGATGGTCTTTCCTGTTCTATCTTTTGGCTTTAGCTCCAGCCCCTCTTTATTTATTTTCCTGGTATTTTACGCATACCACACGAATTCATCTGAACAAACGGGGAAGAAGTGCCATATCGTATCGACGTCTTACACGGCTCAAGGGCCAACCACCCTTTTTTCCAAAGTCCTTTTGCCGTTTACCCACCAATTCAGCATGCTGCAGTACATTTCTTTTCGCATTCCCATCTTGGTCTTCTCCCACACGTGGAGACGGATATGTTTTCTCGTTTTCTGTTCCAAGAATTACTAGTAACGAGAACACATCCTACCCCACCAGCAAGCCCCAGTGTGATCGGTTTCTTTCGGCCTCCTTTGTCTCTTCCTCCCCCACACCCCCCGCAAAAACCCCTCAGGGATTGCGTGAAACAAACAATTGTTCAGCGAAACTAACCTGAAGTTACACGTCTACTTTCTTTCCCAGGCTGGCGCTGAGATGGGCAGGTGCTGCAGCAGCCCGGCTGGAAGCGATGCAGCATCCAGGACGACGGAGGAAGGGGCGGAGAGGGACCTCTGCTTTCCAGGCTGCCTTTTATACTGCCTCTGGTCACCTGACATGGAACGTACCCTAACCTAATCAGTTACCTGTACCTTAATTGCAATTAACTTAATCCAATTACATGACCTGGAAAGGTCTATCTGCACAGCCCACTCTAAGATCCTGTCCACTGCTGACAGACATTCTAAAACCTACTTGTACAGCTGCAAGCTTTGAACAATAGATGTTCCCCGTCAGACATGTAACACTGGTGCCTGTATCCCTGTCTTCTTTTCCATCTTTTTTGTTGTTTTGTTTTGTTTCGTTTTAAAAAATGTGGTAAAATAGACACCTTTTAATTGGACCACATTTTGTCTCTCTCGACGTAGGCCTCAGTGTCATCAAGGAGACTCTCCTTGACATGCAGTCACGGCCATGATCCATCTTCAGAGCTTCTCTTTCTTCCCCAAGGTAAGTCTGTCAGCAGAGAACCCTGACCGCACCCTCATGTGTTTTCTCCCCCAGGAGGCGCTTGGAAACCACCGTGAATTGGACCGCACTGGGAAACACAGATGAGGAAAGTCAACAACGCTTTGTCCTTCAGTGCCTGCCTCCTTTTTCAGCTCGTCTTGCGACTCCCGGACGCCTGTGAGGCTCTAATTCCCTGGGTCCCATTGCCATGTCTCTGGATTTGCGAAGATCCACCGCACCTTCTGTGGAACTCCCGTGTCGGTGAACTTTTGTGCCACGGCCCCTAATTCTGCCCATGGTCATCCGCACCTGCACGACTTAGGGTCCATGTTCCTTGGACGGGAAGAGACAGGCAGGAGTCGGAATGATGAACCAGCACACTGGGGCGTTTTCTCATGTAGCCCAAGTGACCCCATGGTCTTCTCGAGCTTTGGAACCAGTCGCGTCCCCTTTGACACTGCACCCGGCTCCCAGTCTCTCAATCTTGTTGGCCCTCCGGCGATCTCCCGTTGGATGAATTGCTCCTGCTGAAACTCCAGTCCCCTTTGATTTGCGCTTCATTAATTATTCATGATTCAGGTTGGAAGGCCTGCTGACGACCCCCTGTGGCCGTTCTCTGAGCTTTCCTGTCACATCGTTTCCTTCCACGCTCTTTGGTTCCTTATGGTCCTGCTCCCTCTGCTGTCAGAGGAGCAGAGAGTTGATCTTATTCATTCTGGATACGGATACTTTCTAGGTGATCTGGATAATCAAGATAACGACCCTCAACAGCGGCGGAGAGGGAGCAGCCAGTTGGTGTGTCTCAGAAAATCCCACTGAGTTCCGAGGCCTCCTAGATGTGGAATCCTGCTGAGAGTTGTTCCCAGGTCAGAGAATGGAGAGAGCCTGTGCATGATGGGACATCCCCGCCTAGATCTTTCAGTGAGTCTCTACCTCAGCTACTCTTAGGATCAGGGGGAGAACCATGGTGTCAGACATCCGGAAAGAAGACGGGATGAATGTTTTACCTCTGAAGTACATCCCAAATGTGGGAGTTAACTTCAGCTTTGCTGGGGTCTATTTGGCCAGTGAAACTCTGCCTGGTTCCTTCGCACATCCGGAAGCCACTTCACGGGGGGCCGTCGCAACTGGAACCACACACTTGGCATCGGCGGTTGAGCCAAATGGGGACTCGTGGTGCAAGCAACGCTCCCCACGTGTTAGCGTGCGTGAGATGCGGTTGGCGGAATTTTACTAGGTGCGTGTTGGTAGAGTGGGGCTGAGGTTTTCTTGCTCCTGTGGATGTATAGCAAGTCAAAGGTCCTGCCCAGCCCTGCGGTCCCCTCAGTCAACTCTGTTTCGGAGACGTAACGATTTGGATTGCCAACAAGTCAAGAAATGTTCAAGCCCTTGGATGTAGGGTAAAGAAAGAGAGATCAGACTGTCACTGTGTCTATGTAGAAGGGGAAGACATAAGAGACTCCATTTTGAAAAAGACCTGTAGTTTAAACAATTGCTTTGCTGAGATGTTGATCATTTGTAGCTTTGCCGCAGCCCCTTCCTTTGACCCAACTTGGAGCTCACAAAAACCTGTGTTGTATAAAATCGAGGTTTAAGGGATCTAGGGCTGTGCAGGACGCGCCTTGTTAACCAAATGTTTACGAGCAGTATACTTGGTAGGAGTCATTGCCATTCCCTAGTCTCAATAAACCAGGGGCGCAATGCACCGTGGAAAGCCACAGGGACCTCTGCCCTTGAAAGCAGGGTATTGTCCAAGGTTTCTCCCCATGTGACAGTCTGAAATATGGCCTCGTGGGATGGGAAAGACCTGACTGTCCCCCAGCCTGACACCCGCAATGGGTCTGTGCTGAGGTGGATTAGTCAAAGAGGAAAGCCTCTTGCAGTTCAGATGGAGGAAGGCCACTGTCTCCTGCTTGCCCCTGGGAACTGAATGTCTCGGTGTAAAGCCCGATCGTACATTTGTTCAACTCTGAGCTCGGAGAAAAGCTGCCCTGTGGCGGGAGGCGAGACATGTTGGCAGTAATGCTGCCTTGTTATTCTTTACTCCGCTGAGATATTTGTGTGGAGAGAAACATAAATCTGGCCTACGTGCACGTCCAGGCATAGTACCTTCCCTTGAACTTAATAATGATATGGATTCTTTTGCTCACGTGTTTGTTTTTGTTGTTGCTGTTGAACTTCCCCTTATTATCACCCTGCTCCCCTACTGCATTCCTTTGTGCTGTAATAATGATAATCATAATCAATAAAAACTGAGGGAACTCAGAGGCCGGTGCCGGTGCAGGTCCTAGGTGTGCTGAGTGCCGGTCCCCTGGACCCACTGTTGTCTCCCTATACTTTGTCTCTGTGTCTTATTTCTATTCTCCATCTCTCATCCCACCCGACTAGAAACACCCACAGGTGTGGAGGGGCAGGCCACCCCTTCACTTGGAAAATCAGTTACACACAAACACGGAATGAGAGTCAAAAGACAATATGTCATCTTTTTGAGAATTTTATTCACTTCAAAACCAATTAAACACACATATGTACAAAGGCATTCCAGAGCCCAGTTTTCGAGGCTGAGGAAAGACCCCGAGAGCGCTTCACACAGCACGCTTCCCAGCGTCCGAAACTCTGCTCTCAGGGCGGGGCACAGAGGAAGGGCTGCACCTCTCAGGGTTCCCTAACTTTTCCCTTATTCAGTCATCTAGAGAGCAAATACACAGTAATTCCCCAGTTTCCTATTGACGTCCCAGCGGAAGTCTGACTCCTGCGCGTCACGCAGTTTCTGAGGCAACGAATCTCTGGCACGGAAGCTTTTCCTGGCGCGTTTCGGGAGAACCACGCCAACTACAACGTCCCTCACCAGAATTCAATGAGGCAGAGTCCCTGCATCTGCTCCCTGCCTGGCCTGGGCTCCCACATCCACAGAAGCGCCACAGCCGGGGAGCTTCGGAGTCACCGCACAGAGTGTGCTCTCTGCTCTGCGCTCCTCAGCCCCACAGTCCCCTCCAAGTCACGGGAGCTGGAGGCCAAGGAGCCCCTGCCACCTGCAGTCTCACTCCAGGTCAGAATCGCTGTCCTCTGAGGAGGAGGAAACCTGAAGGTCCTCATAGAGGACGCTCGGTGGGACACGAACACAGGGAGCCTCAGACTTCTCTGACACATGAGGGCTCTGAGCGAGGAAGGCTCCCGGCTTCTCAGGAGAGTGAAATGAGGGGGCCGCCAGGAGGCTGGAGCTCCAGCGTCCGTTTTCCAGTCTCCGGAAGAGCACTCTGAGAGGCTGGGCCCCATCATGGCTGGCCGCTGGGTGATGGGACATGGTGCAGGCCTGGGCAGTGGGCAGGCAAGGTCTGCTGTGCGGAGGCTGCCGGTCGACGCTGGGCACCTGGGCCGGTGTCCTCCTGCCCATCTGGGGCGACGTACTTGGTCCAAGTTCGGTTGCGGCTGGCGGAGGTTGGAGATTCTCCGGGGCCCCCAGCTCACCTCCCTGGATGGCGCTTTCGGGGATCTGGAAGGGACCCAGTCTCGGTTTCTTGGGGAAGTTCAGGCAAGCCTGAATCGGAGCCTGGGCAGGTCTCTTGGCTCCTGGCCCGAAGCTGAGATTGGAGCCTAGGCCCAAGCTGTGTGTGGCGGCTGGCGGGCAGGGCTGTGAGGTCACCGCAGGACGTTTGTCTTGTGCCTGGGGTCTGGCGGCCTGGAGCAGGCCGTGGGTTTTGGAGGCAGCCTGGGGAACTTCTCGGCAGCCACCCTCGGGGCGGCTGTGTGTCGGCTTCACCACGAGGAGAGGCTCGCGGCCCTGGTGCCTGACTGCAGGCTGAGGCATGTCGGCCGCAGCCCCTGTCTGTCTTTCCTTTGGTCCAAGACTTGAGGAGGAGCTCAGGCTGGCTTTTCTGAGGGGAGACAGTGAAGCCAAGACGGAGCCCCTGTCAGACATTTCGGTAGCTGAGCCATCAGCGAGGACAGGGTCCACGCGCGGCCTCTTACTGGTTGTGTGGACCGGCATTGGCCCGCTTGCAACCTGAAAGAGAGGAAACAACACAGGTTAGAAGTTCCTCAGCATGGAGCCAACGTGAAAATCAAGCACATCCAAAGACAAGGTGCACACGCCATGAAATTCTTAGTACAGTATCGACAGGCGGTCCTTGGAAGTAGGGACAGACCCTCCACCTGAGTGCTGATCAGGACAAGACACATGAAAGATGCGCTCTCGAGCTATGTGTAGCTGATCTAAGCACACCATTGTTCAAAAGATCGCGTCTTGGGCATTAACTGGATCAAAGCGCCTCCACTCAGCCTTCCATGAAGTGGAACGGACTAATGCCCTTCCCAAGGCAGGTTGGTGGCTCAAGGGTACTCGGGACGTCTTCTCTGAACACATGCATGTTCCTGGGTTTCGCCTTCTCCACGTTTGGGGCCTCTGAGGGACTAATTTCCTCATGCCGCTAGGAACGTGTTGTTGGCAGGCTTGCCATAATTGGACAGAAAGAAAGCAACAGGAAATACGGCATGTTCAGATGCCTTCGCCTGGAATCCAATTGACCTGGAAGGATCGTGGAGTCCCTGACCCCAAGAAGGCAAGAAAGAGGGGTTCCCCGATTTCCTCCCGCAGACGGGAAGCTGAAAGGAAATCAACCAGGGTGACCTAGAGGAGAAAAAGACCAGGGGCCCGGGGTGACACTCGCCCTCAGATAATCAGAAGGTTCCGTGGATCCTTTTCCATTCGGCAGCGGCTTCTCTGGAGGTTTCCCGGAAAACATGTGGAGGAGAGCCTTCCTCTGCGGGTCTTGTTGCCTGCAGAACAGAAAAAGGTCAGGCCGTGCCCCCTGGTTTTCCCCAGGAGACAGGGAGAACCCCGTCTGGGGCCCAGCCCCATTCCGTGTCTTGTGATACAGAAATGGACATCTGGTGCCCTTTCCGCCTCTGCACCTTCCCTCACGTGCCAACCTTCCCATCCTCCAGGTGGCCCTCTAGGCTTCCCAACTAAGGACTGTGATTTGGATTCCATCGCTTTTCCCGCTGTCGCGGGGAACCTGCACGAAGCGCCCCCGCCTCTCCCCGTCCCTGAATCTCCCAGAGCCCAAGGAGCTCCTGGGTGTGGAACCCCGGAGGACACGGAGCTCCGGCCTATTTCTCTGCAGCGTTCCTTCCCTGGCCCGGAGACGGAAAGGCACACGGTGTGCAGGTGCAGAGACACCATGTCCTTAGGAGGCAGTACCCCAAGAGTGGTGAAAACCCCTCCCACTGCTCACCTTGGTCTCTCTTCCTTCTCTCCCTTATCCTTGTTCAAGGGCCCCGGGTTGGCTTCAACCCGGGGCTTCCATGGTTTCAGGTTTTCCTTCCCTTCCTTTTTCCCCAAGGTCGCTGGAACCAGGGCTGCCTTCCAGCACTTCATGGGGCACCTGGTACTTCTGGCCGTGTGGCCAAAGGCCCCGCAGTTTTTGCACTTGAGCTGTGGGTGGAAAGGAAGTGATGTCAGTGAGTGAGCTGAAGCCACAGGCAGCGATCCCACGTCAACATTGGGACGGATTGTGAATTCAGAGCTGAATAAGGATTCCAAAGAGGGGACACCGGCATGGGGGCCGTTAAGTGCTGGGAGAGTTCGGATACGATGTTCCCTCGCAAAGCCCGTGTGACGGAGGAACTCTGAAAGGAAGGACTCAAGGTTCCAAGGGGCACGATGGTGAAGCCGATGTCAACAACGCAGCCAAACGTGGCTACACAGGACTCTAAGTAGAAAGGGAGGTTGCCCCCAAGAGTCTCTCAAGGGACCTATCGGGCCGGGGAGAAGGTCCCAAGCCACGCCCACCTTGGATGGGAAAAGCAACCTGGCTGGTGGTGACAGAACTCTTTGGAATCCAACCCAGTCTCTGAGGACCGTGGGACACCCCCTCCCCCCGTCCCCACCCCCACCCCGATACCCAAGAGATCCAGGGCTAGACTTACCCTGGGATCTTCTTCATCGGGCGGGGGAGCCCTTGGCCCAACTGGGGCCCTCCGCTGCTTCTGGAGGGTCTGGGCTCTCACCAGTCTCTTGGCCCAAGATGTGGGGTCCCGACGTGCCATCATCTTCGTCTCCTGGGGGTTTTATGACCGCCTTTTTCAGGGGTGGACTGTTGGGCCACCTGAAACACACACAAACACACACATGTCGATGGTTAAGCACGTTGGATATTCACACACCCACAGGAAGCCACCTGCTAACTCCCTGCCTGTGTGGTCATGAGGAGACCTCACCACCAGTCGGTCAAATCTGTAGAACACAATGTGCTGCGCGCATCCTCGGATATTGTGTGTTCCTCTGCCATGACTACCTAGTCCAAGAGTAAACCCCACCTGCCACAGGGCCCGTGGCCTAGGTATGGGGGGTTGAGCTTTCAACCCCAAACAAACAACTGATTCTGGAGACTGGACTTAGGTCTCTCACGATTCACTCCGGTAGAAGACACGGTGATTCTATCTCCCTTGACGGACAGAATGATCGAAGACACAGGGCATGGCGTGTGCCACCCTTTGGCAGGTCTGCTTGAAGTCAGGGATAAGGGATGCTTCCTGTGACAACTTGAATCGCTACTCTTGCCATTTCATTAGGCAACTTCCAAACACAAATTCATACAGAGAAGTTACCTTCCTCTCTACCGCACTAGCAGGTGATGGTCTTTCCTGTTCTATCTTTTGGCTTTAGCTCCAGCCCCTCTTTATTTATTTTCCTGGTATTTTACGCATACCACACGAATTCATCTGAACAAACGGGGAAGAAGTGCCATATCGTATCGACGTCTTACACGGCTCAAGGGCCAACCACCCTTTTTTCCAAAGTCCTTTTGCCGTTTACCCACCAATTCAGCAGGCTGCAGTACATTTCTTTTCGCATTCCCATCTTGGTCTTCTCCCACACGTGGAGACGGATATGTTTTCTCGTTTTCTGTTCCAAGAATTACTAGTAACGAGAACACATCCTACCCCACCAGCAAGCCCCAGTGTGATCGGTTTCTTTCGGCCTCCTTTGTCTCTTCCTCCCCCACACCCCCCGCAAAAACCCCTCAGGGATTGCGTGAAACAAACAATTGTTCAGCGAAACTAACCTGAAATTACACGTCTACTTTCTTTCCCAGGCTGGCGCTGAGATGGGCAGGTGCTGCAGCAGCCCCGCTGGAAGCGATGCAGCATCCAGAACGACGGAGGAAGGGGCGGAGAGGGACCTCTGCTTTCCAGGCTGCCTTTTATACTGCCTCTGGTCACCTGACATGGAACGTACCCTAACCTAATCAGTTACCTGTACCTTAATTGCAATTAACTTAATCCAGTTACATGACCTGGAAAGGTCTATCTGCACAGCCCACTCTAAGATCCTGTCCACTGCTGACAGACATTCTAAAACCTACTTGTACAGCTGCAAGCTTTGAACAATAGATGTTCCCCGTCAGACATGTAACACTGGTGCCTGTATCCCTGTCTTCTTTTCCATCTTTTTTGTTGTTTTGTTTTGTTTCGTTTTAAAAAATGTGGTAAAATAGACACCTTTTAATTGGACCACATTTTGTCTCTCTCGACGTAGGCCTCAGTGTCATCAAGGAGACTCTCCTTGACATGCAGTCACGGCCATGATCCATCTTCAGAGCTTCTCTTTCTTCCCCAAGGTAAGTCTGTCAGCAGAGAACCCTGACCGCACCCTCATGTGTTTTCTCCCCCAGGAGGCGCTTGGAAACCACCGTGAATTGGACCGCACTGGGAAACACAGATGAGGAAAGTCAACAACGCTTTGTCCTTCAGTGCCTGCCTCCTTTTTCAGCTCGTCTTGCGACTCCCGGACGCCTGTGAGGCTCTAATTCCCTGGGTCCCATTGCCATGTCTCTGGATTTGCGAAGATCCACCGCACCTTCTGTGGAACTCCCGTGTCGGTGAACTTTTGTGCCACGGCCCCTAATTCTGCCCATGGTCATCCGCACCTGCACGACTTAGGGTCCATGTTCCTTGGACGGGAAGAGACAGGCAGGAGTCGGAATGATGAACCAGCACACTGGGGCGTTTTCTCATGTAGCCCAAGTGACCCCATGGTCTTCTCGAGCTTTGGAACCAGTCGCGTCCCCTTTGACACTGCACCCGGCTCCCAGTCTCTCAATCTTGTTGGCCCTCCGGCGATCTCCCGTTGGATGAATTGCTCCTGCTGAAACTCCAGTCCCCTTTGATTTGCGCTTCATTAATTATTCATGATTCAGGTTGGAAGGCCTGCTGACGACCCCCTGTGGCCGTTCTCTGAGCTTTCCTGTCACATCGTTTCCTTCCACGCTCTTTGGTTCCTTATGGTCCTGCTCCCTCTGCTGTCAGAGGAGCAGAGAGTTGATCTTATTCATTCTGGATACGGATACTTTCTAGGTGATCTGGATAATCAAGATAACGACCCTCAACAGCGGCGGAGAGGGAGCAGCCAGTTGGTGTGTCTCAGAAAATCCCACTGAGTTCCGAGGCCTCCTAGATGTGGAATCCTGCTGAGAGTTGTTCCCAGGTCAGAGAATGGAGAGAGCCTGTGCATGATGGGACATCCCCGCCTAGATCTTTCAGTGAGTCTCTACCTCAGCTACTCTTAGGATCAGGGGGAGAACCATGGTGTCAGACATCCGGAAAGAAGACGGGATGAATGTTTTACCTCTGAAGTACATCCCAAATGTGGGAGTTAACTTCAGCTTTGCTGGGGTCTATTTGGCCAGTGAAACTCTGCCTGGTTCCTTCGCACATCCGGAAGCCACTTCACGGGGGGCCGTCGCAACTGGAACCACACACTTGGCATCGGCGGTTGAGCCAAATGGGGACTCGTGGTGCAAGCAACGCTCCCCACGTGTTAGCGTGCGTGAGATGCGGTTGGCGGAATTTTACTAGGTGCGTGTTGGTAGAGTGGGGCTGAGGTTTTCTTGCTCCTGTGGATGTATAGCAAGTCAAAGGTCCTGCCCAGCCCTGCGGTCCCCTCAGTCAACTCTGTTTCGGAGACGTAACGATTTGGATTGCCAACAAGTCAAGAAATGTTCAAGCCCTTGGATGTAGGGTAAAGAAAGAGAGATCAGACTGTCACTGTGTCTATGTAGAAGGGGAAGACATAAGAGACTCCATTTTGAAAAAGACCTGTAGTTTAAACAATTGCTTTGCTGAGATGTTGATCATTTGTAGCTTTGCCGCAGCCCCTTCCTTTGACCCAACTTGGAGCTCACAAAAACCTGTGTTGTATAAAATCGAGGTTTAAGGGATCTAGGGCTGTGCAGGACGCGCCTTGTTAACCAAATGTTTACGAGCAGTATACTTGGTAGGAGTCATTGCCATTCCCTAGTCTCAATAAACCAGGGGCGCAATGCACCGTGGAAAGCCACAGGGACCTCTGCCCTTGAAAGCAGGGTATTGTCCAAGGTTTCTCCCCATGTGACAGTCTGAAATATGGCCTCGTGGGATGGGAAAGACCTGACTGTCCCCCAGCCTGACACCCGCAATGGGTCTGTGCTGAGGTGGATTAGTCAAAGAGGAAAGCCTCTTGCAGTTCAGATGGAGGAAGGCCACTGTCTCCTGCTTGCCCCTGGGAACTGAATGTCTCGGTGTAAAGCCCGATCGTACATTTGTTCAACTCTGAGCTCGGAGAAAAGCTGCCCTGTGGCGGGAGGCGAGACATGTTGGCAGTAATGCTGCCTTGTTATTCTTTACTCCGCTGAGATATTTGTGTGGAGAGAAACATAAATCTGGCCTACGTGCACGTCCAGGCATAGTACCTTCCCTTGAACTTAATAATGATATGGATTCTTTTGCTCACGTGTTTGTTTTTGTTGTTGCTGTTGAACTTCCCCTTATTATCACCCTGCTCCCCTACTGCATTCCTTTGTGCTGTAATAATGATAATCATAATCAATAAAAACTGAGGGAACTCAGAGGCCGGTGCCGGTGCAGGTCCTAGGTGTGCTGAGTGCCGGTCCCCTGGACCCACTGTTGTCTCCCTATACTTTGTCTCTGTGTCTTATTTCTATTCTCCATCTCTCATCCCACCCGACTAGAAACACCCACAGGTGTGGAGGGGCAGGCCACCCCTTCACTTGGAAAATCAGTTACACACAAACACGGAATGAGAGTCAAAAGACAATATGTCATCTTTTTGAGAATTTTATTCACTTCAAAACCAATTAAACACACATATGTACAAAGGCATTCCAGAGCCCAGTTTTCGAGGCTGAGGAAAGACCCCGAGAGCGCTTCACACAGCACGCTTCCCAGCGTCCGAAACTCTGCTCTCAGGGCGGGGCACAGAGGAAGGGCTGCACCTCTCAGGGTTCCCTAACTTTTCCCTTATTCAGTCATCTAGAGAGCAAATACACAGTAATTCCCCAGTTTCCTATTGACGTCCCAGCGGAAGTCTGACTCCTGCGCGTCACGCAGTTTCTGAGGCAACGAATCTCTGGCACGGAAGCTTTTCCTGGCGCGTTTCGGGAGAACCACGCCAACTACAACGTCCCTCACCAGAATTCAATGAGGCAGAGTCCCTGCATCTGCTCCCTGCCTGGCCTGGGCTCCCACATCCACAGAAGCGCCACAGCCGGGGAGCTTCGGAGTCACCGCACAGAGTCTGCTCTCTGCTCTGCGCTCCTCAGTCCCACAGTCCCCTCCAAGTCACGGGAGCTGGAGGCCAAGGAGCCCCTGCCACCTGCAGTCTCACTCCAGGTCAGAATCGCTGTCCTCTGAGGAGGAGGAAACCTGAAGGTCCTCATAGAGGACGCTCGGTGGGACACGAACACAGGGAGCCTCAGACTTCTCTGACACATGAGGGCTCTGAGCGAGGAAGGCTCCCGGCTTCTCAGGAGAGTGAAATGAGGGGGCCGCCAGGAGGCTGGAGCTCCAGCGTCCGTTTTCCAGTCTCCGGAAGAGCACTCTGAGAGGCTGGGCCCCATCATGGCTGGCCGCTGGGTGATGGGACATGGTGCAGGCCTGGGCAGTGGGCAGGCAAGGTCTGCTGTGCGGAGGCTGCCGGTCGACGCTGGGCACCTGGGCCGGTGTCCTCCTGCCCATCTGGGGCGACGTACTTGGTCCAAGTTCGGTTGCGGCTGGCGGAGGTTGGAGATTCTCCGGGGCCCCCAGCTCACCTCCCTGGATGGCGCTTTCGGGGATCTGGAAGGGACCCAGTCTCGGTTTCTTGGGGAAGTTCAGGCAAGCCTGAATCGGAGCCTGGGCAGGTCTCTTGGCTCCTGGCCCGAAGCTGAGATTGGAGCCTAGGCCCAAGCTGTGTGTGGCGGCTGGCGGGCAGGGCTGTGAGGTCACCGCAGGACGTTTGTCTTGTGCCTGGGGTCTGGCGGCCTGGAGCAGGCCGTGGGTTTTGGAGGCAGCCTGGGGAACTTCTCGGCAGCCACCCTCGGGGCGGCTGTGTGTCGGCTTCACCACGAGGAGAGGCTCGCGGCCCTGGTGCCTGACTGCAGGCTGAGGCATGTCGGCCGCAGCCCCTGTCTGTCTTTCCTTTGGTCCAAGACTTGAGGAGGAGCTCAGGCTGGCTTTTCTGAGGGGAGACAGTGAAGCCAAGACGGAGCCCCTGCCAGACATTTCGGTAGCTGAGCGATCAGCGAGGACAGGGTCCAAGCGCGGCCTCTTACTGGTTGTGTGGACCGGCATTGGCCCGCTTGCAACCTGAAAGAGAGGAAACAACACAGGTTAGAAGTTCCTCAGCATGGAGCCAACGTGAAAATCAAGCACATCCAAAGACAAGGTGCACACGCCATGAAATTCTTAGTACAGTATCGACAGGCGGTCCTTGGAAGTAGGGACAGACCCTCCACCTGAGTGCTGATCAGGACAAGACACATGAAAGATGCGCTCTCGAGCTATGTGTAGCTGATCTAAGCACACCATTGTTCAAAAGATCGCGTCTTGGGCATTAACTGGATCAAAGCGCCTCCACTCAGCCTTCCATGAAGTGGAACGGACTAATGCCCTTCCCAAGGCAGGTTGCTGGCTCAAGGGTACTCGGGACGTCTTCTCTGAACACATGCATGTTCCTGGGTTTCGCCTTCTCCACGTTTGGGGCCTCTGAGGGACTAATTTCCTCATGCCGCTAGGAACGTGTTGTTGGCAGGCTTGCCATAATTGGACAGAAAGAAAGCAACAGGAAATACGGCATGTTCAGATGCCTTCGCCTGGAATCCAATTGACCTGGAAGGATCGTGGAGTCCCTGACCCCAAGAAGGCAAGAAAGAGGGGTTCCCCGATTTCCTCCCGCAGACGGGAAGCTGAAAGGAAATCAACCAGGGTGACCTAGAGGAGAAAAAGACCAGGGGCCCGGGGTGACACTCGCCCTCAGATAATCAGAAGGTTCCGTGGATCCTTTTCCATTCGGCAGCGGCTTCTCTGGAGGTTTCCCGGAAAACATGTGGAGGAGAGCCTTCCTCTGCGGGTCTTGTTGCCTGCAGAACAGAAAAAGGTCAGGCCGTGCCCCCTGGTTTTCCCCAGGAGACAGGGAGAACCCCGTCTGGGGCCCAGCCCCATTCCGTGTCTTGTGATACAGAAATGGACATCTGGTGCCCTTTCCGCCTCTGCACCTTCCCTCACGTGCCAACCTTCCCATCCTCCAGGTGGCCCTCTAGGCTTCCCAACTAAGGACTGTGATTTGGATTCCATCGCTTTTCCCGCTGTCGCGGGGAACCTGCACGAAGCGCCCCCGCCTCTCCCCGTCCCTGAATCTCCCAGAGCCCAAGGAGCTCCTGGGTGTGGAACCCCGGAGGACACGGAGCTCCGGCCTATTTCTCTGCAGCGTTCCTTCCCTGGCCCGGAGACGGAAAGGCACACGGTGTGCAGGTGCAGAGACACCATGTCCTTAGGAGGCAGTACCCCAAGAGTGGTGAAAACCCCTCCCACTGCTCACCTTGGTCTCTCTTCCTTCTCTCCCTTATCCTTGTTCAAGGGCCCCGGGTTGGCTTCACCCCGGGGCTTCCATGGTTTCAGGTTTTCCTTCCCTTCCTTTTTCCCCAAGGTCGCTGGAACCAGGGCTGCCTTCCAGCACTTCATGGGGCACCTGGTACTTCTGGCCGTGTGGCCAAAGGCCCCGCAGTTTTTGCACTTGAGCTGTGGGTGGAAAGGAAGTGATGTCAGTGAGTGAGCTGAAGCCACAGGCAGCGATCCCACGTCAACATTGGGACGGATTGTGAATTCAGAGCTGAATAAGGATTCCAAAGAGGGGACACCGGCATGGGGGCCGTTAAGTGCTGGGAGAGTTCGGATACGATGTTCCCTCGCAAAGCCCGTGTGACGGAGGAACTCTGAAAGGAAGGACTCAAGGTTCCAAGGGGCACGATGGTGAAGCCGATGTCAACAACGCAGCCAAACGTGGCTACACAGGACTCTAAGTAGAAAGGGAGGTTGCCCCCAAGAGTCTCTCAAGGGACCTATCGGGCCGGGGAGAAGGTCCCAAGCCACGCCCACCTTGGATGGGAAAAGCAACCTGGCTGGTGGTGACAGAACTCTTTGGAATCCAACCCAGTCTCTGAGGACCGTGGGACACCCCCTCCCCCCGTCCCCACCCCCACCCCGATACCCAAGAGATCCAGGGCTAGACTTACCCTGGGATCTTCTTCATCGGGCGGGGGAGCCCTTGGCCCAACTGGGGCCCTCCGCTGCTTCTGGAGGGTCTGGGCTCTCACCAGTCTCTTGGCCCAAGATGTGGGGTCCCGACGTGCCATCATCTTCGTCTCCTGGGGGTTTTATGACCGCCTTTTTCAGGGGTGGACTGTTGGGCCACCTGAAACACACACAAACACACACATGTCGATGGTTAAGCACGTTGGATATTCACACACCCACAGGAAGCCACCTGCTAACTCCCTGCCTGTGTGGTCATGAGGAGACCTCACCACCAGTCGGTCAAATCTGTAGAACACAATGTGCTGCGCGCATCCTCGGATATTGTGTGTTCCTCTGCCATGACTACCTAGTCCAAGAGTAAACCCCACCTGCCACAGGGCCCGTGGCCTAGGTATGGGGGGTTGAGCTTTCAACCCCAAACAAACAACTGATTCTGGAGACTGGACTTAGGTCTCTCACGATTCACTCCGGTAGAAGACACGGTGATTCTATCTCCCTTGACGGACAGAATGATCGAAGACACAGGGCATGGCGTGTGCCACCCTTTGGCAGGTCTGCTTGAAGTCAGGGATAAGGGATGCTTCCTGTGACAACTTGAATCGCTACTCTTGCCATTTCATTAGGCAACTTCCAAACACAAATTCATACAGAGAAGTTACCTTCCTCTCTACCGCACTAGCAGGTGATGGTCTTTCCTGTTCTATCTTTTGGCTTTAGCTCCAGCCCCTCTTTATTTATTTTCCTGGTATTTTACGCACACCACACGAATTCATCTGAACAAACGGGGAAGAAGTGCCATATCGTATCGACGTCTTACACGGCTCAAGGGCCAACCACCCTTTTTTCCAAAGTCCTTTTGCCGTTTACCCACCAATTCAGCATGCTGCAGTACATTTCTTTTCGCATTCCCATCTTGGTCTTCTCCCACACGTGGAGACGGGTATGTTTTCTCGTTTTCTGTTCCAAGAATTACTAGTAACGAGAACACATCCTACCCCACCAGCAAGCCCCAGTGTGATCGGTTTCTTTCGGCCTCCTTTGTCTCTTCCTCCCCCACACCCCCCGCAAAAACCCCTCAGGGATTGCGTGAAACAAACAATTGTTCAGCGAAACTAACCTGAAATTACACGTCTACTTTCTTTCCCAGGCTGGCGCTGAGATGGGCAGGTGCTGCAGCAGCCCCGCTGGAAGCGATGCAGCATCCAGAACGACGGAGGAAGGGGCGGAGAGGGACCTCCGCTTTCCAGGCTGCCTTTTATACTGCCTCTGGTCACCTGACATGGAACGTACCCTAACCTAATCAGTTACCTGTACCTTAATTGCAATTAACTTAATCCAATTACATGACCTGGAAAGGTCTATCTGCACAGCCCACTCTAAGATCCTGTCCACTGCTGACAGACATTCTAAAACCTACTTGTACAGCTGCAAGCTTTGAACAATAGATGTTCCCCGTCAGACATGTAACACTGGTGCCTGTACCCCTGTCTTCCTTTCCATCTTTTTTGTTGTTTTGTTTTGTTTCGTTTTAAAAAATGTGGTAAAATAGACACCTTTTAATTGGACCACATTTTGTCTCTCTCGACGTAGGCCTCAGTGTCATCAAGGAGACTCTCCTTGACATGCAGTCACGGCCATGATCCATCTTCAGAGCTTCTCTTTCTTCCCCAAGGTAAGTCTGTCAGCAGAGAACCCTGACCGCACCCTCATGTGTTTTCTCCCCCAGGAGGCGCTTGGAAACCACCGTGAATTGGACCGCACTGGGAAACACAGATGAGGAAAGTCAACAACGCTTTGTCCTTCAGTGCCTGGCTCCTTTTTCAGCTCGTCTTGCGACTCCCGGACGCCTGTGAGGCTCTAATTCCCTGGGTCCCATTGCCATGTCTCTGGATTTGCGAAGATCCACCGCACCTTCTGTGGAACTCCCGTGTCGGTGAACTTTTGTGCCACGGCCCCTAATTCTGCCCATGGTCATCCGCACCTGCACGACTTAGGGTCCATGTTCCTTGGACGGGAAGAGACAGGCAGGAGTCGGAATGATGAACCAGCACACTGGGGCGTTTTCTCATGTAGCCCAAGTGACCCCATGGTCTTCTCGAGCTTTGGAACCAGTCGCGTCCCCTTTGACACTGCACCCGGCTCCCAGTCTCTCAATCTTGTTGGCCCTCCGGCGATCTCCCGTTGGATGAATTGCTCCTGCTGAAACTCCAGTCCCCTTTGATTTGCGCTTCATTAATTATTCATGATTCAGGTTGGAAGGCCTGCTGACGACCCCCTGTGGCCGTTCTCTGAGCTTTCCTGTCACATCGTTTCCTTCCACGCTCTTTGGTTCCTTATGGTCCTGCTCCCTCTGCTGTCAGAGGAGCAGAGAGTTGATCTTATTCATTCTGGATACGGATACTTTCTAGGTGATCTGGATAATCAAGATAACGACCCTCAACAGCGGCGGAGAGGGAGCAGCCAGTTGGTGTGTCTCAGAAAATCCCACTGAGTTCCGAGGCCTCCTAGATGTGGAATCCTGCTGAGAGTTGTTCCCAGGTCAGAGAATGGAGAGAGCCTGTGCATGATGGGATATCCCTGCCTAGATCTTTCAGTGAGTCTCTACCTCAGCTACTCTTAGGATCAGGGGGAGAACCATGGTGTCAGACATCCGGAAAGAAGACGGGATGAATGTTTTACCTCTGAAGTACATCCCAAATGTGGGAGTTAACTTCAGCTTTGCTGGGGTCTATTTGGCCAGTGAAACTCTGCCTGGTTCCTTCGCACATCCGGAAGCCACTTCACGGGGGGCCGTCGCAACTGGAACCACACACTTGGCATCGGCGGTTGAGCCAAATGGGGACTCGTGGTGCAAGCAACGCTCCCCACGTGTTAGCGTGCGTGAGATGCGGTTGGCGGGATTTTACTAGGTGCGTGTTGGTAGAGTGGGGCTGAGGTTTTCTTGCTCCTGTGGATGTATAGCAAGTCAAAGGTCCTGCCCAGCCCTGCGGTCCCCTCAGTCAACTCTGTTTCGGAGACGTAACGATTTGGATTGCCAACAAGTCAAGAAATGTTCAAGCCCTTGGATGTAGGGTAAAGAAAGAGAGATCAGACTGTCACTGTGTCTATGTAGAAGGGGAAGACATAAGAGACTCCATTTTGAAAAAGACCTGTAGTTTAAACAATTGCTTTGCTGAGATGTTGATCATTTGTAGCTTTGCCGCAGCCCCTTCCTTTGACCCAACTTGGAGCTCACAAAAACCTGTGTTGTATAAAATCGAGGTTTAAGGGATCTAGGGCTGTGCAGGACGCGCCTTGTTAACCAAATGTTTACGAGCAGTATACTTGGTAGGAGTCATTGCCATTCCCTAGTCTCAATAAACCAGGGGCGCAATGCACCGTGGAAAGCCACAGGGACCTCTGCCCTTGAAAGCAGGGTATTGTCCAAGGTTTCTCCCCATGTGACAGTCTGAAATATGGCCTCGTGGGATGGGAAAGACCTGACTGTCCCCCAGCCTGACACCCGCAATGGGTCTGTGCTGAGGTGGATTAGTCAAAGAGGAAAGCCTCTTGCAGTTCAGATGGAGGAAGGCCACTGTCTCCTGCTTGCCCCTGGGAACTGAATGTCTCGGTGTAAAGCCCGATCGTACATTTGTTCAACTCTGAGCTCGGAGAAAAGCTGCCCTGTGGCGGGAGGCGAGACATGTTGGCAGTAATGCTGCCTTGTTATTCTTTACTCCGCTGAGATATTTGTGTGGAGAGAAACATAAATCTGGCCTACGTGCACGTCCAGGCATAGTACCTTCCCTTGAACTTAATAATGATATGGATTCTTTTGCTCACGTGTTTGTTTTTGTTGTTGCTGTTGAACTTCCCCTTATTATCACCCTGCTCCCCTACTGCATTCCTTTGTGCTGTAATAATGATAATCATAATCAATAAAAACTGAGGGAACTCAGAGGCCGGTGCCGGTGCAGGTCCTAGGTGTGCTGAGTGCCGGTCCCCTGGACCCACTGTTGTCTCCCTATACTTTGTCTCTGTGTCTTATTTCTATTCTCCATCTCTCATCCCACCCGACTAGAAACACCCACAGGTGTGGAGGGGCAGGCCACCCCTTCACTTGGAAAATCAGTTACACACAAACACGGAATGAGAGTCAAAAGACAATATGTCATCTTTTTGAGAATTTTATTCACTTCAAAACCAATTAAACACACATATGTACAAAGGCATTCCAGAGCCCAGTTTTCGAGGCTGAGGAAAGACCCCGAGAGCGCTTCACACAGCACGCTTCCCAGCGTCCGAAACTCTGCTCTCAGGGCGGGGCACAGCGGAAGGGCTGCACCTCTCAGGGTTCCCTAACTTTTCCCTTATTCAGTCATCTAGACAGCAAATACACAGTAATTCCCCAGTTTCCTATTGACGTCCCAGCGGAAGTCTGACTCCTGCGCGTCACGCAGTTTCTGAGGCAACGAATCTCTGGCACGGAAGCTTTTCCTGGCGCGTTTCGGGAGAACCACGCCAACTACAACGTCCCTCACCAGAATTCAATGAGGCAGAGTCCCTGCATCTGCTCCCTGCCTGGCCTGGGCTCCCACATCCACAGAAGCGCCACAGCCGGGGAGCTTCGGAGTCACCGCACAGAGTCTGCTCTCTGCTCTGCGCTCCTCAGTCCCACAGTCCCCTCCAAGTCACGGGAGCTGGAGGCCAAGGAGCCCCTGCCACCTGCAGTCTCACTCCAGGTCAGAATCGCTGTCCTCTGAGGAGGAGGAAACCTGAAGGTCCTCATAGAGGACGCTCGGTGGGACACGAACACAGGGAGCCTCAGACTTCTCTGACACATGAGGGCTCTGAGCGAGGAAGGCTCCCGGCTTCTCAGGAGAGTGAAATGAGGGGGCCGCCAGGAGGCTGGAGCTCCAGCGTCCGTTTTCCAGTCTCCGGAAGAGCACTCTGAGAGGCTGGGCCCCATCATGGCTGGCCGCTGAGTGATGGGACATGGTGCAGGCCTGGGCAGTAGGCAGGCAAGGTCTGCTGTGCGGAGGCTGCCGTTCGACGCTGGGCACCTGGGCCGGTGTCCTCCTGCCCATCTGGGGCGACGTACTTGGTCCAAGTTCGGTTGCGGCTGGCGGAGGTTGGAGATTCTCCGGGGCCCCCAGCTCACCTCCCTGGATGGCGCTTTCGGGGATCTGGAAGGGACCCAGTCTCGGTTTCTTGGGGAAGTTCAGGCAAGCCTGAATCGGAGCCTGGGCAGGTCTCTTGGCTCCTGGCCCGAAGCTGAGATTGGAGCCGAGGCCCAAGCTGTGTGTGGCGGCTGGCGGGCAGGGCTGTGAGGTCACCGCAGGACGTTTGTCTTGTGCCTGGGGTCTGGCGGCCTGGAGCAGGCCGTGGGTTTTGGAGGCAGCCTGGGGAACTTCTCGGCAGCCACCCTCAGGGCTGCTGTGTGTCGGCTTCACCACGAGGAGAGGCTCGCGGCCCTGGTGCCTGACTGCAGGCTGAGGCATGTCGGCCGCAGCCCCTGTCTGTCTTTCCTTTGGTCCAAGACTTGAGGAGGAGCTCAGGCTGGCTTTTCTGAGGGGAGACAGTGAAGCCAAGACGGAGCCCCTGCCAGACATTTCGGTAGCTGAGCCATCAGCGAGGACAGGGTCCACGCGCGGCCTCTTACTGGTTGTGTGGACCGGCATTGGCCCGCTTGCAACCTGAAAGAGAGGAAACAACACAGGTTAGAAGTTCCTCAGCATGGAGCCAACGTGAAAATCAAGCACATCCAAAGACAAGGTGCACACGCCATGAAATTCTTAGTACAGTATCGACAGGCGGTCCTTGGAAGTAGGGACAGACCCTCCACCTGAGTGCTGATCAGGACAAGACACATGAAAGATGCGCTCTCGAGCTATGTGTAGCTGATCTAAGCACACCATTGTTCAAAAGATCGCGTCTTGGGCATTAACTGGATCAAAGCGCCTCCACTCAGCCTTCCATGAAGTGGAACGGACTAATGCCCTTCCCAAGGCAGGTTGCTGGCTCAAGGGTACTCGGGACGTCTTCTCTGAACACATGCATGTTCCTGGGTTTCGCCTTCTCCACGTTTGGGGCCTCTGAGGGACTAATTTCCTCATGCCGCTAGGAACGTGTTGTTGGCAGGCTTGCCATAATTGGACAGAAAGAAAGCAACAGGAAATACGGCATGTTCAGATGCCTTCGCCTGGAATCCAATTGACCTGGAAGGATCGTGGAGTCCCTGACCCCAAGAAGGCAAGAAAGAGGGGTTCCCCGATTTCCTCCCGCAGACGGGAAGCTGAAAGGAAATCAACCAGGGTGACCTAGAGGAGAAAAAGACCAGGGGCCCGGGGTGACACTCGCCCTCAGATAATCAGAAGGTTCCGTGGATCCTTTTCCATTCGGCAGCGGCTTCTCTGGAGGTTTCCCGGAAAACATGTGGAGGAGAGCCTTCCTCTGCGGGTCTTGTTGCCTGCAGAACAGAAAAAGGTCAGGCCGTGCCCCCTGGTTTTCCCCAGGAGACAGGGAGAACCCCGTCTGGGGCCCAGCCCCATTCCGTGTCTTGTGATACAGAAATGGACATCTGGTGCCCTTTCCGCCTCTGCACCTTCCCTCACGTGCCAACCTTCCCATCCTCCAGGTGGCCCTCTAGGCTCCCCAACTAAGGACTGTGATTTGGATTCCATCGCTTTTCCCGCTGTGGCGGGGAACCTGCACGAAGCGCCCCCGCCTCTCCCCGTCCCTGAATCTCCCAGAGCCCAAGGAGCTCCTGGGTGTGGAACCCCGGAGGACACGGAGCTCCGGCCTATTTCTCTGCAGCGTTCCTTCCCTGGCCCGGAGACGGAAAGGCACACGGTGTGCAGGTGCAGAGACACCATGTCCTTAGGAGGCAGTACCCCAAGAGTGGTGAAAACCCCTCCCACTGCTCACCTTGGTCTCTCTTCCTACTCTCCCTTATCCTTGTTCAAGGGCCCCGGGTTGGCTTCAACCCGGGGCTTCCATGGTTTCAGGTTTTCCTTCCCTTCCTTTTTCCCCAAGGTCGCTGGAACCAGGGCTGCCTTCCAGCACTTCATGGGGCACCTGGTACTTCTGGCCGTGTGGCCAAAGGCCCCGCAGTTTTTGCACTTGAGCTGTGGGTGGAAAGGAAGTGATGTCAGTGAGTGAGCTGAAGCCACAGGCAGCGATCCCACGTCAACATTGGGACGGATTGTGAATTCAGAGCTGAATAAGGATTCCAAAGAGGGGACACCGGCATGGGGGCCGTTAAGTGCTGGGAGAGTTCGGATACGATGTTCCCTCGCAAAGCCCGTGTGACGGAGGAACTCTGAAAGGAAGGACTCAAGGTTCCAAGGGGCACGATGGTGAAGCCGATGTCAACAACGCAGCCAAACGTGGCTACACAGGACTCTAAGTAGAAAGGGAGGTTGCCCCCAAGAGTCTCTCAAGGGACCTATCGGGCCGGGGAGAAGGTCCCAAGCCACGCCCACCTTGGATGGGAAAAGCAACCTGGCTGGTGGTGACAGAACTCTTTGGAATCCAACCCAGTCTCTGAGGACCGTGGGACACCCCCTCCCCCCGTCCCCACCCCCACCCCGATACCCAAGAGATCCAGGGCTAGACTTACCCTGGGATCTTCTTCATCGGGCGGGGGAGCCCTTGGCCCAACTGGGGCCCTCCGCTGCTTCTGGAGGGTCTGGGCTCTCACCAGTCTCTTGGCCCAAGATGTGGGGTCCCGACGTGCCATCATCTTCGTCTCCTGGGGGTTTTATGACCGCCTTTTTCAGGGGTGGACTGTTGGGCCACCTGAAACACACACAAACACACACATGTCGATGGTTAAGCACGTTGGATATTCACACACCCACAGGAAGCCACCTGCTAACTCCCTGCCTGTGTGGTCATGAGGAGACCTCACCACCAGTCGGTCAAATCTGTAGAACACAATGTGCTGCGCGCATCCTCGGATATTGTGTGTTCCTCTGCCATGACTACCTAGTCCAAGAGTAAACCCCACCTGCCACAGGGCCCGTGGCCTAGGTATGGGGGGTTGAGCTTTCAACCCCAAACAAACAACTGATTCTGGAGACTGGACTTAGGTCTCTCACGATTCACTCCGGTAGAAGACACGGTGATTCTATCTCCCTTGACGGACAGAATGATCGAAGACACAGGGCATGGCGTGTGCCACCCTTTGGCAGGTCTGCTTGAAGTCAGGGATAAGGGATGCTTCCTGTGACAACTTGAATCGCTACTCTTGCCATTTCATTAGGCAACTTCCAAACACAAATTCATACAGAGAAGTTACCTTCCTCTCTACCGCACTAGCAGGTGATGGTCTTTCCTGTTCTATCTTTTGGCTTTAGCTCCAGCCCCTCTTTATTTATTTTCCTGGTATTTTACGCATACCACACGAATTCATCTGAACAAACGGGGAAGAAGTGCCATATCGTATCGACGTCTTACACGGCTGAAGGTCAAACCCCCCTTTTTTCCAAAGTCCTTTTTCCATTTACCCACCAATTCAGCATGCTGCAGTACATTTCTTTTCGCATTCCCATCTTGGTCTTCTCCCACACGTGGAGACGGATATGTTTTCTCGTTTTCTGTTCCAAGAATTACTAGTAACGAGAACACATCCTACCCCACCAGCAAGCCCCAGTGTGATCGGTTTCTTTCGGCCTCCTTTGTCTCTTCCTCCCCCACACCCCCCGCAAAACCCCCCCAGGGATTGCGTGAAACAAACAATTGTTCAGCGAAACCAACCTGAAATTACACATCTACTTTCTTTCCCAGGCTGGCGCTGAGATGGGCAGGTGCTGCAGCAGCCCCGCTGGAAGCGATGCAGCATCCAGAACGACGGAGGAAGGGGCGGAGAGGGACCTCTGCTTTCCAGGCTGCCTTTTATACTGCCTCTGGTCACCTGACATGGAACGTACCCTAACCTAATCAGTTACCTGTACCTTAATTGCAATTAACTTAATCCAGTTACATGACCTGGAAAGGTCTATCTGCACAGCCCACTCTAAGATCCTGTCCACTGCTGACAGACATTCTAAAACCTACTTGTACAGCTGCAAGCTTTGAACAATAGATGTTCCCCGTCAGACATGTAACACTGGTGCCTGTATCCCTGTCTTCTTTTCCATCTTTTTTGTTGTTTTGTTTTGTTTCGTTTTAAAAAATGTGGTAAAATAGACACCTTTTAATTGGACCACATTTTGTCTCTCTCGACGTAGGCCTCAGTGTCATCAAGGAGACTCTCCTTGACATGCAGTCACGGCCATGATCCATCTTCAGAGCTTCTCTTTCTTCCCCAAGGTAAGTCTGTCAGCAGAGAACCCTGACCGCACCCTCATGTGTTTTCTCCCCCAGGAGGCGCTTGGAAACCACCGTGAATTGGACCGCACTGGGAAACACAGATGAGGAAAGTCAACAACGCTTTGTCCTTCAGTGCCTGGCTCCTTTTTCAGCTCGTCTTGCGACTCCCGGACGCCTGTGAGGCTCTAATTCCCTGGGTCCCATTGCCATGTCTCTGGATTTGCGAAGATCCACCGCACCTTCTGTGGAACTCCCGTGTCGGTGAACTTTTGTGCCACGGCCCCTAATTCTGCCCATGGTCATCCGCACCTGCACGACTTAGGGTCCATGTTCCTTGGACGGGAAGAGACAGGCAGGAGTCGGAATGATGAACCAGCACACTGGGGCGTTTTCTCATGTAGCCCAAGTGACCCCATGGTCTTCTCGAGCTTTGGAACCAGTCGCGTCCCCTTTGACACTGCACCCGGCTCCCAGTCTCTCAATCTTGTTGGCCCTCCGGCGATCTCCCGTTGGATGAATTGCTCCTGCTGAAACTCCAGTCCCCTTTGATTTACGCTTCATTAATTATTCATGATTCAGGTTGGAAGGCCTGCTGACGACCCCCTGTGGCCGTTCTCTGAGCTTTCCTGTCACATCGTTTCCTTCCACGCTCTTTGGTTCCTTATGGTCCTGCTCCCTCTGCTGTCAGAGGAGCAGAGAGTTGATCTTATTCATTCTGGATACGGATACTTTCTAGGTGATCTGGATAATCAAGATAACGACCCTCAACAGCGGCGGAGAGGGAGCAGCCAGTTGGTGTGTCTCAGAAAATCCCACTGAGTTCCGAGGCCTCCTAGATGTGGAATCCTGCTGAGAGTTGTTCCCAGGTCAGAGAATGGAGAGAGCCTGTGCATGATGGGATATCCCCGCCTAGATCTTTCAGTGAGTCTCTACCTCAGCTACTCTTAGGATCAGGGGGAGAACCATGGTGTCAGACATCCGGAAAGAAGACGGGATGAATGTTTTACCTCTGAAGTACATCCCAAATGTGGGAGTTAACTTCAGCTTTGCTGGGGTCTATTTGGCCAGTGAAACTCTGCCTGGTTCCTTCGCACATCCGGAAGCCACTTCACGGGGGGCCGTCGCAACTGGAACCACACACTTGGCATCGGCGGTTGAGCCAAATGGGGACTCGTGGTGCAAGCAACGCTCCCCACGTGTTAGCGTGCGTGAGATGCGGTTGGCGGAATTTTACTAGGTGCGTGTTGGTAGAGTGGGGCTGAGGTTTTCTTGCTCCTGTGGATGTATAGCAAGTCAAAGGTCCTGCCCAGCCCTGCGGTCCCCTCAGTCAACTCTGTTTCGGAGACGTAACGATTTGGATTGCCAACAAGTCAAGAAATGTTCAAGCCCTTGGATGTAGGGTAAAGAAAGAGAGATCAGACTGTCACTGTGTCTATGTAGAAGGGGAAGACATAAGAGACTCCATTTTGAAAAAGACCTGTAGTTTAAACAATTGCTTTGCTGAGATGTTGATCATTTGTAGCTTTGCCGCAGCCCCTTCCTTTGACCCAACTTGGAGCTCACAAAAACCTGTGTTGTATAAAATCGAGGTTTAAGGGATCTAGGGCTGTGCAGGACGCGCCTTGTTAACCAAATGTTTACGAGCAGTATACTTGGTAGGAGTCATTGCCATTCCCTAGTCTCAATAAACCAGGGGCGCAATGCACCGTGGAAAGCCACAGGGACCTCTGCCCTTGAAAGCAGGTTATTGTCCAAGGTTTCTCCCCATGTGACAGTCTGAAATATGGCCTCGTGGGATGGGAAAGACCTGACTGTCCCCCAGCCTGACACCCGCAATGGGTCTGTGCTGAGGTGGATTAGTCAAAGAGGAAAGCCTCTTGCAGTTCAGATGGAGGAAGGCCACTGTCTCCTGCTTGCCCCTGGGAACTGAATGTCTCGGTGTAAAGCCCGATCGTACATTTGTTCAACTCTGAGCTCGGAGAAAAGCTGCCCTGTGGCGGGAGGCGAGACATGTTGGCAGTAATGCTGCCTTGTTATTCTTTACTCCGCTGAGATATTTGTGTGGAGAGAAACATAAATCTGGCCTACGTGCACGTCCAGGCATAGTACCTTCCCTTGAACTTAATAATGATATGGATTCTTTTGCTCACGTGTTTGTTTTTGTTGTTGCTGTTGAACTTCCCCTTATTATCACCCTGCTCCCCTACTGCATTCCTTTGTGCTGTAATAATGATAATCATAATCAATAAAAACTGAGGGAACTCAGAGGCCGGTGCCGGTGCAGGTCCTAGGTGTGCTGAGTGCCGGTCCCCTGGACCCACTGTTGTCTCCCTATACTTTGTCTCTGTGTCTTATTTCTATTCTCCATCTCTCATCCCACCCGACTAGAAACACCCACAGGTGTGGAGGGGCAGGCCACCCCTTCACTTGGAAAATCAGTTACACACAAACACGGAATGAGAGTCAAAAGACAATATGTCATCTTTTTGAGAATTTTATTCACTTCAAAACCAATTAAACACACATATGTACAAAGGCATTCCAGAGCCCAGTTTTCGAGGCTGAGGAAAGACCCCGAGAGCGCTTCACACAGCACGCTTCCCAGCGTCCGAAACTCTGCTCTCAGGGCGGGGCACAGCGGAAGGGCTGCACCTCTCAGGGTTCCCTAACTTTTCCCTTATTCAGTCATCTAGAGAGCAAATACACAGTAATTCCCCAGTTTCCTATTGACGTCCCAGCGGAAGTCTGACTCCTGCGCGTCACGCAGTTTCTGAGGCAACGAATCTCTGGCACGGAAGCTTTTCCTGGCGCGTTTCGGGAGAACCACGCCAACTACAACGTCCCTCACCAGAATTCAATGAGGCAGAGTCCCTGCATCTGCTCCCTGCCTGGCCTGGGCTCCCACATCCACAGAAGCGCCACAGCCGGGGAGCTTCGGAGTCACCGCACAGAGTCTGCTCTCTGCTCTGCGCTCCTCAGTCCCACAGTCCCCTCCAAGTCACGGGAGCTGGAGGCCAAGGAGCCCCTGCCACCTGCAGTCTCACTCCAGGTCAGAATCGCTGTCCTCTGAGGAGGAGGAAACCTGAAGGTCCTCATAGAGGACGCTCGGTGGGACACGAACACAGGGAGCCTCAGACTTCTCTGACACATGAGGGCTCTGAGCGAGGAAGGCTCCCGGCTTCTCAGGAGAGTGAAATGAGGGGGCCGCCAGGAGGCTGGAGCTCCAGCGTCCGTTTTCCAGTCTCCGGAAGAGCACTCTGAGAGGCTGGGCCCCATCATGGCTGGCCGCTGAGTGATGGGACATGGTGCAGGCCTGGGCAGTAGGCAGGCAAGGTCTGCTGTGCGGAGGCTGCCGTTCGACGCTGGGCACCTGGGCCGGTGTCCTCCTGCCCATCTGGGGCGACGTACTTGGTCCAAGTTCGGTTGCGGCTGGCGGAGGTTGGAGATTCTCCGGGGCCCCCAGCTCACCTCCCTGGATGGCGCTTTCGGGGATCTGGAAGGGACCCAGTCTCGGTTTCTTGGGGAAGTTCAGGCAAGCCTGAATCGGAGCCTGGGCAGGTCTCTTGGCTCCTGGCCCGAAGCTGAGATTGGAGCCGAGGCCCAAGCTGTGTGTGGCGGCTGGCGGGCAGGGCTGTGAGGTCACCGCAGGACGTTTGTCTTGTGCCTGGGGTCTGGCGGCCTGGAGCAGGCCGTGGGTTTTGGAGGCAGCCTGGGGAACTTCTCGGCAGCCACCCTCAGGGCTGCTGTGTGTCGGCTTCACCACGAGGAGAGGCTCGCGGCCCTGGTGCCTGACTGCAGGCTGAGGGATGTCGGCCGCAGCCCCTGTCTGTCTTTCCTTTGGTCCAAGACTTGAGGAGGAGCTCAGGCTGGCTTTTCTGAGGGGAGACAGTGAAGCCAAGACGGAGCCCCTGTCAGACATTTCGGTAGCTGAGCCATCAGCGAGGACAGGGTCCACGCGCGGCCTCTTACTGGTTGTGTGGACCGGCATTGGCCCGCTTGCAACCTGAAAGAGAGGAAACAACACAGGTTAGAAGTTCCTCAGCATGGAGCCAACGTGAAAATCAAGCACATCCAAAGACAAGGTGCACACGCCATGAAATTCTTAGTACAGTATCGACAGGCGGTCCTTGGAAGTAGGGACAGACCCTCCACCTGAGTGCTGATCAGGACAAGACACATGAAAGATGCGCTCTCGAGCTATGTGTAGCTGATCTAAGCACACCATTGTTCAAAAGATCGCGTCTTGGGCATTAACTGGATCAAAGCGCCTCCACTCAGCCTTCCATGAAGTGGAACGGACTAATGCCCTTCCCAAGGCAGGTTGCTGGCTCAAGGGTACTCGGGACGTCTTCTCTGAACACATGCATGTTCCTGGGTTTCGCCTTCTCCACGTTTGGGGCCTCTGAGGGACTAATTTCCTCATGCCGCTAGGAACGTGTTGTTGGCAGGCTTGCCATAATTGGACAGAAAGAAAGCAACAGGAAATACGGCATGTTCAGATGCCTTCGCCTGGAATCCAATTGACCTGGAAGGATCGTGGAGTCCCTGACCCCAAGAAGGCAAGAAAGAGGGGTTCCCCGATTTCCTCCCGCAGACGGGAAGCTGAAAGGAAATCAACCAGGGTGACCTAGAGGAGAAAAAGACCAGGGGCCCGGGGTGACACTCGCCCTCAGATAATCAGAAGGTTCCGTGGATCCTTTTCCATTCGGCAGCGGCTTCTCTGGAGGTTTCCCGGAAAACATGTGGAGGAGAGCCTTCCTCTGCGGGTCTTGTTGCCTGCAGAACAGAAAAAGGTCAGGCCGTGCCCCCTGGTTTTCCCCAGGAGACAGGGAGAACCCCGTCTGGGGCCCAGCCCCATTCCGTGTCTTGTGATACAGAAATGGACATCTGGTGCCCTTTCCGCCTCTGCACCTTCCCTCACGTGCCAACCTTCCCATCCTCCAGGTGGCCCTCTAGGCTTCCCAACTAAGGACTGTGATTTGGATTCCATCGCTTTTCCCGCTGTCGCGGGGAACCTGCACGAAGCGCCCCCGCCTCTCCCCGTCCCTGAATCTCCCAGAGCCCAAGGAGCTCCTGGGTGTGGAACCCCGGAGGACACGGAGCTCCGGCCTATTTCTCTGCAGCGTTCCTTCCCTGGCCCGGAGACGGAAAGGCACACGGTGTGCAGGTGCAGAGACACCATGTCCTTAGGAGGCAGTACCCCAAGAGTGGTGAAAACCCCTCCCACTGCTCACCTTGGTCTCTCTTCCTTCTCTCCCTTATCCTTGTTCAAGGGCCCCGGGTTGGCTTCAACCCGGGGCTTCCATGGTTTCAGGTTTTCCTTCCCTTCCTTTTTCCCCAAGGTCGCTGGAACCAGGGCTGCCTTCCAGCACTTCATGGGGCACCTGGTACTTCTGGCCGTGTGGCCAAAGGCCCCGCAGTTTTTGCACTTGAGCTGTGGGTGGAAAGGAAGTGATGTCAGTGAGTGAGCTGAAGCCACAGGCAGCGATCCCACGTCAACATTGGGACGGATTGTGAATTCAGAGCTGAATAAGGATTCCAAAGAGGGGACACCGGCATGGGGGCCGTTAAGTGCTGGGAGAGTTCGGATACGATGTTCCCTCGCAAAGCCCGTGTGACGGAGGAACTCTGAAAGGAAGGACTCAAGGTTCCAAGGGGCACGATGGTGAAGCCGATGTCAACAACGCAGCCAAACGTGGCTACACAGGACTCTAAGTAGAAAGGGAGGTTGCCCCCAAGAGTCTCTCAAGGGACCTATCGGGCCGGGGAGAAGGTCCCAAGCCACGCCCACCTTGGATGGGAAAAGCAACCTGGCTGGTGGTGACAGAACTCTTTGGAATCCAACCCAGTCTCTGAGGACCGTGGGACACCCCCTCCCCCCGTCCCCACCCCCACCCCGATACCCAAGAGATCCAGGGCTAGACTTACCCTGGGATCTTCTTCATCGGGCGGGGGAGCCCTTGGCCCAACTGGGGCCCTCCGCTGCTTCTGGAGGGTCTGGGCTCTCACCAGTCTCTTGGCCCAAGATGTGGGGTCCCGACGTGCCATCATCTTCGTCTCCTGGGGGTTTTATGACCGCCTTTTTCAGGGGTGGACTGTTGGGCCACCTGAAACACACACAAACACACACATGTCGATGGTTAAGCACGTTGGATATTCACACACCCACAGGAAGCCACCTGCTAACTCCCTGCCTGTGTGGTCATGAGGAGACCTCACCACCAGTCGGTCAAATCTGTAGAACACAATGTGCTGCGCGCATCCTCGGATATTGTGTGTTCCTCTGCCATGACTACCTAGTCCAAGAGTAAACCCCACCTGCCACAGGGCCCGTGGCCTAGGTATGGGGGGTTGAGCTTTCAACCCCAAACAAACAACTGATTCTGGAGACTGGACTTAGGTCTCTCACGATTCACTCCGGTAGAAGACACGGTGATTCTATCTCCCTTGACGGACAGAATGATCGAAGACACAGGGCATGGCGTGTGCCACCCTTTGGCAGGTCTGCTTGAAGTCAGGGATAAGGGATGCTTCCTGTGACAACTTGAATCGCTACTCTTGCCATTTCATTAGGCAACTTCCAAACACAAATTCATACAGAGAAGTTACCTTCCTCTCTACCGCACTAGCAGGTGATGGTCTTTCCTGTTCTATCTTTTGGCTTTAGCTCCAGCCCCTCTTTATTTATTTTCCTGGTATTTTACGCATACCACACGAATTCATCTGAACAAACGGGGAAGAAGTGCCATATCGTATCGACGTCTTACACGGCTGAAGGTCAAACCCCCCTTTTTTCCAAAGTCCTTTTTCCATTTACCCACCAATTCAGCATGCTGCAGTACATTTCTTTTCGCATTCCCATCTTGGTCTTCTCCCACACGTGGAGACGGATATGTTTTCTCGTTTTCTGTTCCAAGAATTACTAGTAACGAGAACACATCCTACCCCACCAGCAAGCCCCAGTGTGATCGGTTTCTTTCGGCCTCCTTTGTCTCTTCCTCCCCCACACCCCCCGCAAATACCCCTCAGGGATTGCGTGAAACAAACAATTGTTCAGCGAAACTAACCTGAAATTACACGTCTACTTTCTTTCCCAGGCTGGCGCTGAGATGGGCAGGTGCTGCAGCAGCCCCGCTGGAAGCGATGCAGCATCCAGAACGACGGAGGAAGGGGCGGAGAGGGACCTCTGCTTTCCAGGCTGCCTTTTATACTGCCTCTGGTCACCTGACATGGAACGTACCCTAACCTAATCAGTTACCTGTACCTTAATTGCAATTAACTTAATCCAGTTACATGACCTGGAAAGGTCTATCTGCACAGCCCACTCTAAGATCCTGTCCACTGCTGACAGACATTCTAAAACCTACTTGTACAGCTGCAAGCTTTGAACAATAGATGTTCCCCGTCAGACATGTAACACTGGTGCCTGTATCCCTGTCTTCTTTTCCATCTTTTTTGTTGTTTTGTTTTGTTTCGTTTTAAAAAATGTGGTAAAATAGACACCTTTTAATTGGACCACATTTTGTCTCTCTCGACGTAGGCCTCAATGTCATCAAGGAGACTCTCCTTGACATGCAGTCACGGCCATGATCCATCTTCAGAGCTTCTCTTTCTTCCCCAAGGTAAGTCTGTCAGCAGAGAACCCTGACCGCACCCTCATGTGTTTTCTCCCCCAGGAGGCGCTTGGAAACCACCGTGAATTGGACCGCACTGGGAAACACAGATGAGGAAAGTCAACAACGCTTTGTCCTTCAGTGCCTGGCTCCTTTTTCAGCTCGTCTTGCGACTCCCGGACGCCTGTGAGGCTCTAATTCCCTGGGTCCCATTGCCATGTCTCTGGATTTGCGAAGATCCACCGCACCTTCTGTGGAACTCCCGTGTCGGTGAACTTTTGTGCCACGGCCCCTAATTCTGCCCATGGTCATCCGCACCTGCACGACTTAGGGTCCATGTTCCTTGGACGGGAAGAGACAGGCAGGAGTCGGAATGATGAACCAGCACACTGGGGCGTTTTCTCATGTAGCCCAAGTGACCCCATGGTCTTCTCGAGCTTTGGAACCAGTCGCGTCCCCTTTGACACTGCACCCGGCTCCCAGTCTCTCAATCTTGTTGGCCCTCCGGCGATCTCCCGTTGGATGAATTGCTCCTGCTGAAACTCCAGTCCCCTTTGATTTGCGCTTCATTAATTATTCATGATTCAGGTTGGAAGGCCTGCTGACGACCCCCTGTGGCCGTTCTCTGAGCTTTCCTGTCACATCGTTTCCTTCCACGCTCTTTGGTTCCTTATGGTCCTGCTCCCTCTGTTGTCAGAGGAGCAGAGAGTTGATCTTATTCATTCTGGATACGGATACTTTCTAGGTGATCTGGATAATCAAGATAACGACCCTCAACAGCGGCGGAGAGGGAGCAGCCAGTTGGTGTGTCTCAGAAAATCCCACTGAGTTCCGAGGCCTCCTAGATGTGGAATCCTGCTGAGAGTTGTTCCCAGGTCAGAGAATGGAGAGAGCCTGTGCATGATGGGATATCCCCGCCTAGATCTTTCAGTGAGTCTCTACCTCAGCTACTCTTAGGATCAGGGGGAGAACCATGGTGTCAGACATCCGGAAAGAAGACGGGATGAATGTTTTACCTCTGAAGTACATCCCAAATGTGGGAGTTAACTTCAGCTTTGCTGGGGTCTATTTGGCCAGTGAAACTCTGCCTGGTTCCTTCGCACATCCGGAAGCCACTTCACGGGGGGCCGTCGCAACTGGAACCACACACTTGGCATCGGCGGTTGAGCCAAATGGGGACTCGTGGTGCAAGCAACGCTCCCCACGTGTTAGCGTGCGTGAGATGCGGTTGGCGGAATTTTACTAGGTGCGTGTTGGTAGAGTGGGGCTGAGGTTTTCTTGCTCCTGTGGATGTATAGCAAGTCAAAGGTCCTGCCCAGCCCTGCGGTCCCCTCAGTCAACTCTGTTTCGGAGACGTAACGATTTGGATTGCCAACAAGTCAAGAAATGTTCAAGCCCTTGGATGTAGGGTAAAGAAAGAGAGATCAGACTGTCACTGTGTCTATGTAGAAGGGGAAGACATAAGAGACTCCATTTTGAAAAAGACCTGTAGTTTAAACAATTGCTTTGCTGAGATGTTGATCATTTGTAGCTTTGCCGCAGCCCCTTCCTTTGACCCAACTTGGAGCTCACAAAAACCTGTGTTGTATAAAATCGAGGTTTAAGGGATCTAGGGCTGTGCAGGACGCGCCTTGTTAACCAAATGTTTACGAGCAGTATACTTGGTAGGAGTCATTGCCATTCCCTAGTCTCAATAAACCAGGGGCGCAATGCACCGTGGAAAGCCACAGGGACCTCTGCCCTTGAAAGCAGGGTATTGTCCAAGGTTTCTCCCCATGTGACAGTCTGAAATATGGCCTCGTGGGATGGGAAAGACCTGACTGTCCCCCAGCCTGACACCCGCAATGGGTCTGTGCTGAGGTGGATTAGTCAAAGAGGAAAGCCTCTTGCAGTTCAGATGGAGGAAGGCCACTGTCTCCTGCTTGCCCCTGGGAACTGAATGTCTCGGTGTAAAGCCCGATCGTACATTTGTTCAACTCTGAGCTCGGAGAAAAGCTGCCCTGTGGCGGGAGGCGAGACATGTTGGCAGTAATGCTGCCTTGTTATTCTTTACTCCGCTGAGATATTTGTGTGGAGAGAAACATAAATCTGGCCTACGTGCACGTCCAGGCATAGTACCTTCCCTTGAACTTAATAATGATATGGATTCTTTTGCTCACGTGTTTGTTTTTGTTGTTGCTGTTGAACTTCCCCTTATTATCACCCTGCTCCCCTACTGCATTCCTTTGTGCTGTAATAATGATAATCATAATCAATAAAAACTGAGGGAACTCAGAGGCCGGTGCCGGTGCAGGTCCTAGGTGTGCTGAGTGCCGGTCCCCTGGACCCACTGTTGTCTCCCTATACTTTGTCTCTGTGTCTTATTTCTATTCTCCATCTCTCATCCCACCCGACTAGAAACACCCACAGGTGTGGAGGGGCAGGCCACCCCTTCACTTGGAAAATCAGTTACACACAAACACGGAATGAGAGTCAAAAGACAATATGTCATCTTTTTGAGAATTTTATTCACTTCAAAACCAATTAAACACACATATGTACAAAGGCATTCCAGAGCCCAGTTTTCGAGGCTGAGGAAAGACCCCGAGAGCGCTTCACACAGCACGCTTCCCAGCGTCCGAAACTCTGCTCTCAGGGCGGGGCACAGAGGAAGGGCTGCACCTCTCAGGGTTCCCTAACTTTTCCCTTATTCAGTCATCTAGAGAGCAAATACACAGTAATTCCCCAGTTTCCTATTGACGTCCCAGCGGAAGTCTGACTCCTGCGCGTCACGCAGTTTCTGAGGCAACGAATCTCTGGCACGGAAGCTTTTCCTGGCGCGTTTCGGGAGAACCACGCCAACTACAACGTCCCTCACCAGAATTCAATGAGGCAGAGTCCCTGCATCTGCTCCCTGCCTGGCCTGGGCTCCCACATCCACAGAAGCGCCACAGCCGGGGAGCTTCGGAGTCACCGCACAGAGTCTGCTCTCTGCTCTGCGCTCCTCAGTCCCACAGTCCCCTCCAAGTCACGGGAGCTGGAGGCCAAGGAGCCCCTGCCACCTGCAGTCTCACTCCAGGTCAGAATCGCTGTCCTCTGAGGAGGAGGAAACCTGAAGGTCCTCATAGAGGACGCTCGGTGGGACACGAACACAGGGAGCCTCAGACTTCTCTGACACATGAGGGCTCTGAGCGAGGAAGGCTCCCGGCTTCTCAGGAGAGTGAAATGAGGGGGCCGCCAGGAGGCTGGAGCTCCAGCGTCCGTTTTCCAGTCTCCGGAAGAGCACTCTGAGAGGCTGGGCCCCATCATGGCTGGCCGCTGGGTGATGGGACATGGTGCAGGCCTGGGCAGTGGGCAGGCAAGGTCTGCTGTGCGGAGGCTGCCGGTCGACGCTGGGCACCTGGGCCGGTGTCCTCCTGCCCATCTGGGGCGACGTACTTGGTCCAAGTTCGGTTGCGGCTGGCGGAGGTTGGAGATTCTCCGGGGCCCCCAGCTCACCTCCCTGGATGGCGCTTTCGGGGATCTGGAAGGGACCCAGTCTCGGTTTCTTGGGGAAGTTCAGGCAAGCCTGAATCGGAGCCTGGGCAGGTCTCTTGGCTCCTGGCCCGAAGCTGAGATTGGAGCCTAGGCCCAAGCTGTGTGTGGCGGCTGGCGGGCAGGGCTGTGAGGTCACCGCAGGACGTTTGTCTTGTGCCTGGGGTCTGGCGGCCTGGAGCAGGCCGTGGGTTTTGGAGGCAGCCTGGGGAACTTCTCGGCAGCCACCCTCGGGGCGGCTGTGTGTCGGCTTCACCACGAGGAGAGGCTCGCGGCCCTGGTGCCTGACTGCAGGCTGAGGCATGTCGGCCGCAGCCCCTGTCTGTCTTTCCTTTGGTCCAAGACTTGAGGAGGAGCTCAGGCTGGCTTTTCTGAGGGGAGACAGTGAAGCCAAGACGGAGCCCCTGCCAGACATTTCGGTAGCTGAGCGATCAGCGAGGACAGGGTCCAAGCGCGGCCTCTTACTGGTTGTGTGGACCGGCATTGGCCCGCTTGCAACCTGAAAGAGAGGAAACAACACAGGTTAGAAGTTCCTCAGCATGGAGCCAACGTGAAAATCAAGCACATCCAAAGACAAGGTGCACACGCCATGAAATTCTTAGTACAGTATCGACAGGCGGTCCTTGGAAGTAGGGACAGACCCTCCACCTGAGTGCTGATCAGGACAAGACACATGAAAGATGCGCTCTCGAGCTATGTGTAGCTGATCTAAGCACACCATTGTTCAAAAGATCGCGTCTTGGGCATTAACTGGATCAAAGCGCCTCCACTCAGCCTTCCATGAAGTGGAACGGACTAATGCCCTTCCCAAGGCAGGTTGCTGGCTCAAGGGTACTCGGGACGTCTTCTCTGAACACATGCATGTTCCTGGGTTTCGCCTTCTCCACGTTTGGGGCCTCTGAGGGACTAATTTCCTCATGCCGCTAGGAACGTGTTGTTGGCAGGCTTGCCATAATTGGACAGAAAGAAAGCAACAGGAAATACGGCATGTTCAGATGCCTTCGCCTGGAATCCAATTGACCTGGAAGGATCGTGGAGTCCCTGACCCCAAGAAGGCAAGAAAGAGGGGTTCCCCGATTTCCTCCCGCAGACGGGAAGCTGAAAGGAAATCAACCAGGGTGACCTAGAGGAGAAAAAGACCAGGGGCCCGGGGTGACACTCGCCCTCAGATAATCAGAAGGTTCCGTGGATCCTTTTCCATTCGGCAGCGGCTTCTCTGGAGGTTTCCCGGAAAACATGTGGAGGAGAGCCTTCCTCTGCGGGTCTTGTTGCCTGCAGAACAGAAAAAGGTCAGGCCGTGCCCCCTGGTTTTCCCCAGGAGACAGGGAGAACCCCGTCTGGGGCCCAGCCCCATTCCGTGTCTTGTGATACAGAAATGGACATCTGGTGCCCTTTCCGCCTCTGCACCTTCCCTCACGTGCCAACCTTCCCATCCTCCAGGTGGCCCTCTAGGCTCCCCAACTAAGGACTGTGATTTGGATTCCATCGCTTTTCCCGCTGTGGCGGGGAACCTGCACGAAGCGCCCCCGCCTCTCCCCGTCCCTGAATCTCCCAGAGCCCAAGGAGCTCCTGGGTGTGGAACCCCGGAGGACACGGAGCTCCGGCCTATTTCTCTGCAGCGTTCCTTCCCTGGCCCGGAGACGGAAAGGCACACGGTGTGCAGGTGCAGAGACACCATGTCCTTAGGAGGCAGTACCCCAAGAGTGGTGAAAACCCCTCCCACTGCTCACCTTGGTCTCTCTTCCTTCTCTCCCTTATCCTTGTTCAAGGGCCCCGGGTTGGCTTCAACCCGGGGCTTCCATGGTTTCAGGTTTTCCTTCCCTTCCTTTTTCCCCAAGGTCGCTGGAACCAGGGCTGCCTTCCAGCACTTCATGGGGCACCTGGTACTTCTGGCCGTGTGGCCAAAGGCCCCGCAGTTTTTGCACTTGAGCTGTGGGTGGAAAGGAAGTGATGTCAGTGAGTGAGCTGAAGCCACAGGCAGCGATCCCACGTCAACATTGGGACGGATTGTGAATTCAGAGCTGAATAAGGATTCCAAAGAGGGGACACCGGCATGGGGGCCGTTAAGTGCTGGGAGAGTTCGGATACGATGTTCCCTCGCAAAGCCCGTGTGACGGAGGAACTCTGAAAGGAAGGACTCAAGGTTCCAAGGGGCACGATGGTGAAGCCGATGTCAACAACGCAGCCAAACGTGGCTACACAGGACTCTAAGTAGAAAGGGAGGTTGCCCCCAAGAGTCTCTCAAGGGACCTATCGGGCCGGGGAGAAGGTCCCAAGCCACGCCCACCTTGGATGGGAAAAGCAACCTGGCTGGTGGTGACAGAACTCTTTGGAATCCAACCCAGTCTCTGAGGACCGTGGGACACCCCCTCCCCCCGTCCCCACCCCCACCCCGATACCCAAGAGATCCAGGGCTAGACTTACCCTGGGATCTTCTTCATCGGGCGGGGGAGCCCTTGGCCCAACTGGGGCCCTCCGCTGCTTCTGGAGGGTCTGGGCTCTCACCAGTCTCTTGGCCCAAGATGTGGGGTCCCGACGTGCCATCATCTTCGTCTCCTGGGGGTTTTATGACCGCCTTTTTCAGGGGTGGACTGTTGGGCCACCTGAAACACACACAAACACACACATGTCGATGGTTAAGCACGTTGGATATTCACACACCCACAGGAAGCCACCTGCTAACTCCCTGCCTGTGTGGTCATGAGGAGACCTCACCACCAGTCGGTCAAATCTGTAGCACACAATGTGCTGTGCGCATCCTCGGATATTGTGTGTTCCTCTGCCATGACTACCTAGTCCAAGAGTAAACCCCACCTGCCACAGGGCCCGTGGCCTAGGTATGGGGGGTTGAGCTTTCAACCCCAAACAAACAACTGATTCTGGAGACTGGACTTAGGTCTCTCACGATTCACTCCGGTAGAAGACACGGTGATTCTATCTCCCTTGACGGACAGAATGATCGAAGACACAGGGCATGGCGTGTGCCACCCTTTGGCAGGTCTGCTTGAAGTCAGGGATAAGGGATGCTTCCTGTGACAACTTGAATCGCTACTCTTGCCATTTCATTAGGCAACTTCCAAACACAAATTCATACAGAGAAGTTACCTTCCTCTCTACCGCACTAGCAGGTGATGGTCTTTCCTGTTCTATCTTTTGGCTTTAGCTCCAGCCCCTCTTTATTTATTTTCCTGGTATTTTACGCATACCACACGAATTCATCTGAACAAACGGGGAAGAAGTGCCATATCGTATCGACGTCTTACACGGCTCAAGGGCCAACCACCCTTTTTTCCAAAGTCCTTTTGCCGTTTACCCACCAATTCAGCATGCTGCAGTACATTTCTTTTCGCATTCCCATCTTGGTCTTCTCCCACACGTGGAGACGGATATGTTTTCTCGTTTTCTGTTCCAAGAATTACTAGTAACGAGAACACATCCTACCCCACCAGCAAGCCCCAGTGTGATCGGTTTCTTTCGGCCTCCTTTGTCTCTTCCTCCCCCACACCCCCCGCAAAACACCCCTCAGGGATTGCGTGAAAGAAACAATTGTTCAGCGAAACTAACCTGAAGTTACACGTCTACTTTCTTTCCCAGGCTGGCGCTGAGATGGGCAGGTGCTGCAGCAGCCCCGCTGGAAGCGATGCAGCATCCAGAACGACGGAGGAAGGGGCGGAGAGGGACCTCTGCTTTCCAGGCTGCCTTTTATACTGCCTCTGGTCACCTGACATGGAACGTACCCTAACCTAATCAGTTACCTGTACCTTAATTGCAATTAACTTAATCCAATTACATGACCTGGAAAGGTCTATCTGCACAGCCCACTCTAAGATCCTGTCCACTGCTGACAGACATTCTAAAACCTACTTGTACAGCTGCAAGCTTTGAACAATAGATGTTCCCCGTCAGACATGTAACACTGGTGCCTGTACCCCTGTCTTCTTTTCCATCTTTTTTGTTGTTTTGTTTTGTTTCGTTTTAAAAAATGTGGTAAAATAGACACCTTTTAATTGGACCACATTTTGTCTCTCTCGACGTAGGCCTCAGTGTCATCAAGGAGACTCTCCTTGACATGCAGTCACGGCCATGATCCATCTTCAGAGCTTCTCTTTCTTCCCCAAGGTAAGTCTGTCAGCAGAGAACCCTGACCGCACCCTCATGTGTTTTCTCCCCCAGGAGGCGCTTGGAAACCACCGTGAATTGGACCGCACTGGGAAACACAGATGAGGAAAGTCAACAACGCTTTGTCCTTCAGTGCCTGGCTCCTTTTTCAGCTCGTCTTGCGACTCCCGGACGCCTGTGAGGCTCTAATTCCCTGGGTCCCATTGCCATGTCTCTGGATTTGCGAAGATCCACCGCACCTTCTGTGGAACTCCCGTGTCGGTGAACTTTTGTGCCACGGCCCCTAATTCTGCCCATGGTCATCCGCACCTGCACGACTTAGGGTCCATGTTCCTTGGACGGGAAGAGACAGGCAGGAGTCGGAATGATGAACCAGCACACTGGGGCGTTTTCTCATGTAGCCCAAGTGACCCCATGGTCTTCTCGAGCTTTGGAACCAGTCGCGTCCCCTTTGACACTGCACCCGGCTCCCAGTCTCTCAATCTTGTTGGCCCTCCGGCGATCTCCCGTTGGATGAATTGCTCCTGCTGAAACTCCAGTCCCCTTTGATTTGCGCTTCATTAATTATTCATGATTCAGGTTGGAAGGCCTGCTGACGACCCCCTGTGGCCGTTCTCTGAGCTTTCCTGTCACATCGTTTCCTTCCACGCTCTTTGGTTCCTTATGGTCCTGCTCCCTCTGCTGTCAGAGGAGCAGAGAGTTGATCTTATTCATTCTGGATACGGATACTTTCTAGGTGATCTGGATAATCAAGATAACGACCCTCAACAGCGGCGGAGAGGGAGCAGCCAGTTGGTGTGTCTCAGAAAATCCCACTGAGTTCCGAGGCCTCCTAGATGTGGAATCCTGCTGAGAGTTGTTCCCAGGTCAGAGAATGGAGAGAGCCTGTGCATGATGGGACATCCCCGCCTAGATCTTTCAGTGAGTCTCTACCTCAGCTACTCTTAGGATCAGGGGGAGAACCATGGTGTCAGACATCCGGAAAGAAGACGGGATGAATGTTTTACCTCTGAAGTACATCCCAAATGTGGGAGTTAACTTCAGCTTTGCTGGGGTCTATTTGGCCAGTGAAACTCTGCCTGGTTCCTTCGCACATCCGGAAGCCACTTCACGGGGGGCCGTCGCAACTGGAACCACACACTTGGCATCGGCGGTTGAGCCAAATGGGGACTCGTGGTGCAAGCAACGCTCCCCACGTGTTAGCGTGCGTGAGATGCGGTTGGCGGGATTTTACTAGGTGCGTGTTGGTAGAGTGGGGCTGAGGTTTTCTTGCTCCTGTGGATGTATAGCAAGTCAA
Source organism: Homo sapiens (assembly GCF_000001405.40). NCBI lineage: Eukaryota > Metazoa > Chordata > Mammalia > Primates > Hominidae > Homo > Homo sapiens. The sequence goes on along the minus strand of NC_000008.11, from coordinate 7,254,034 downwards.
AGGTCCTGCCCAGCCCTGCGGTCCCCTCAGTCAACTCTGTTTCGGAGACGTAACGATTTGGATTGCCAACAAGTCAAGAAATGTTCAAGCCCTTGGATGTAGGGTAAAGAAAGAGAGATCAGACTGTCACTGTGTCTATGTAGAAGGGGAAGACATAAGAGACTCCATTTTGAAAAAGACCTGTAGTTTAAACAATTGCTTTGCTGAGATGTTGTTCATTTGTTGCCTTGCCTCATCCACTTTGCCCCAGCCCCTTTGACCCAACTTGGAGCTCAGAAAACCTGTGTTGTATAAAATCGAGGTTTAGGGGATCTAGGGCTGTGCAGGATGTGCTTTGTTAACCAAATGTTTACAAGCAGTATACTTGGTAAAAGTCATTGCCATTCTCTAGTTTCAATAAACCAGGGGCACTATGCACCGTGGAAAGCCGCAGCGACCTCTACCCTTGAAAGCAGGTTATTGTCCAAGGTTTCTCCCCATGTAACAGTCTGAAATATGGCCCTGTGGGATGGGGAATACCTGACTGTCCCCCAGCCTGAGACCCGTAAAGGGTCTGTGCCGAGGTGGAGTAGTCAAAGAGGAAAGCCTCTTGCAATTTAGATGGAGGACAGCCACTGTCTCCCGCATCCCCCCTTGCCTCCCTGGCTCTTAGGACCCGCATCGCAGGTTGTGAGGCACTCCCCCCGTTTCGGGTTGTAAGAGCCAAACCCTCTTGCCCCCCTGGCTCTTAGTTTCCCCCATCGCAGCGGGGTGAGTCACGTCCTGCTATGCTTGGGGTAAGAGCCAGCCCCTCTTGCCCCCCTGGCTCTCAGGACCCCCATCGCAGTGGTGTGAGGCACGCCCCTTGATGCGGGTATTAAGAGCCTTCCCATCTTACCTCCTGGCTCTTAGGACCCCCATCGCAGGGGGTGAGGCACGCCCCGCCATGCGCAGAGTAAGAGCTAACCCCTCTTGCCCCCCTGGTTTTTAGGATCCGCGGTGGACTCACAGCCTGTTTATCATATTGTGAGTAATATCGTCTCCCGCTCTGGAGATTGTGAACTGTTTCACCCACCAGTGTTCACCCCGGCGTACAGAGGTTGTACAACCGTCTGTATTGGGAGTCATATCATCCTCTCCCTCTCTGAATATTAAGAACAGTATCACAGGGGTGTTTCTACTCCCTCGGATATCGCGTGTCATATCCTCCTCTCCCACGTTGCAATTACAAACAATATCAGTGGGGGCGTGTCCAACTTCTGTGATACTGAAAGCAATATCATCCTCTTCCCTCCAGGATCGTGGGAACAATATCCTTGGGGGTGTCCACTTTCTGCCATATGTGTAGTCATATCACCCCCTCCGCCTTGGAATATTATTAAGAACCACGTCACACGGGGGTGTACACTTCCTACGATGTTGGGAGTAATAGCATTCTCTTCTTCCATGAATATTAGGAACAAAATCACCGGGTGGATGCACACCCAGTGCTATATTGGGAGTAATGTCATACTCCACCCCCTGGAGATTATATTCGGATCAATATCACCGGCTGGGTGTGCACCTGCTGCGATATTGAACGTAATATCATGCTCTCTCCCTCCCTGAACATTAGGAACAATATCACAGGTGGGTGTACACCCACTGAGGTATTAGGGCATACTATTAGTATGAATTATTCCTTGTTTTTTATTAACATGAATATGAATGGCCGATATTAATATTAATATTAAGAAGTAATTGCTAATAAAAAGTTCTCAGATTATTAATATTAATATTAATTATTAGGAGCTAATATTACTATTTTCTAAAGAATAAGATCAGTATCAGTTATTAATATCAGGCGTCATAATCATCAATATTAATCATGTATTGTTATTGTTAGTATAACTATTTAATATTAATTATCATTAGTATCCGTATTGATTTTTAAAATTATATTATGGGTTATTAATATTGATAATTATTAGTGTCAGTTAATAATTGAGATTATTAATTGCGGTAAGTCGCATTGCGCCATTCCACCCCTTCCTCGGCAGCTCGTTTACGACCCAAAACGGGGACACAAATGCCCCTGAGAGAGCAGCGGTATACTGGGATAGATGAAAATGCTCATGTAGTGGAGAGACGTGTTTTTGGGTACCAGCCCTTCACCTGCGTCGACCTTCTCAACTGGAAAAACAATACATCGCCCTATACCGAAAAGCCACAAGCCCTAATTGATTTGCTCCAAACTGTTATCCAGACCCACAACCACACCTGGACCGATTGGCACCAGTTGCTCATTTTCCTCTTTAACAGTGAAGAAAGGCAGAGAGTCCTCCAAGCAGCAACTAAGTGGCTAGAGGAACATGCACCAGCTGATTATCAAAACCCCGAACAGTATGGAAGGACCCAGTTGCCAGGAACCGACCCCCAGTTGGACCCACATGAAAGAGAGGAGATGCAAAGGCTAAACCGAGACAGGGAAGCTCTCTTGGAAGGATTAATGAGGGGAGCTCAGAAGGCCACAAACGTTAACAAGCTCTCTGAGGTCATTCAGGGAAAAGAAGAAAGTCCAGCACAATTCTACGAGAGACTGTATGAGGCCTATCATATGTATACTCCCTTTGATCCCGATAGCCCTGAAAATCAGCGCATGATTCACATGGCTTTAGTCCATCAAAGTGCAGAAGACATGAGAAGAAAACTGCAGAAACAGACTGGGCTTGCAGGGAAGAATCCATCCCAATTACTAGAAATAGCTAGCCAGGTGTTTGTAAACAGGTATGCAGTAAGCCGTAAGGAAAACGGCAAAGAGAATGGAGGTCAGGCCCGGCCACACGCCGACCTGTTTGTCAGCTGCAGCAATCAGAGGGGCCCCCGCAAAGAGGCAAGGGAAAGGGGGCCCTGGGAAAGAAACTCAGCTTGGCTGTCAGAGTTTGCAGCGTAACCAGTGTGCTGATTGTAAAGAAATAGGACAGTGGAAGAACAAATGCCCTCAGCTCAAAAGAAAAGAAGGTGACTCAGAGCCGGAGGCCCCGGACAAGGAGGAAGGGGCCCTGCTCAACCTGGCGGAAGGGTTCTTGGACTGAGGGAGACCGGGCTCAAGCATCCCCATTCTGACATCTGTTCAGAATGACAGTCAGGGGTGGAGACATTAACTTTCTTGTAGATAGCGGTGCTGAACATTCGCTAGTAACCGCCCCGGTTGTCCCCTTACCGAAAAAGACTACTGACGTCATCGGAGCCACGGGGGTTTCAGCAAAGCAAGCTTTCTGCTTGCCTTGGACTTGTCCTGTAGGAGGACATAAAGTCATTCATCAGTTTTGTTACATGCCTGACAGTCTCTTGAACTTTTCAGGAAGGGACTTGCTCAGCAAGCTGAGAGCCACTGCCTCTTTCACAGAGCACGGCTCTTTGCTGCTAAAGTTACCCGGAATGGGAGTCATTATGACGCTTATGGTCCCCCGAGAGGAGGAATGGAGACTTTTCTGAACTGACCCGGGCAAAGAGAAAAGACCAGCTCTGGCTAAGCGCTGGCCAAGAGTTCGGGCAGAAGAGAACCCTCCAGGATTGGCCAGTTAAGACTGGGGCCCAGCCGGTGAGGCAAAAACAGGACTCGGTCCCCAGAGAAGCCCTTCAAGGTATCCAGGTCCATCTCAAGCACCTAAGAACGTTTGGAATGATTGTTCCTTGTCAGTCTCCATGGAACACTCCCCTCCTGCCTGTTCCCAAGCCACGGACCAAGGACTACCGGCCGGTACAGGATTTGCGCTTGCTTCATCAAGCCACACTGACTTTACATCCAACAGTACCTAACCCGTCCACATTGTTGGGGTTGCCGCCAGCTGAGGACAGCTGGTTCACCTGCTTGGACCTAAAAGACGCTTTCCTTCCTATCAGATTAGCCCCTGAGAGGCAGAAGCTGTTTGCCTTTCAGTGGGAAGATCCGGAGTCAGGTGTCACTACTTAGTACACTTGGACCGGGCTTCCCCAAAGGTTCAAGAACTCCCCCACCATCTTCGGGGAGGCATGGGATCGAGACCTCCAGAAGTTTCCTAGCAGAGACCTAGGCTGCTTGTTGCTCCAGTAGGTTGATGACCTTCTGCTGGGACACCCCACGGCAGTCGGGTGTGCCAAGGGAACAGATGCCCTACACCGCACCTGGAGGACTGTGGGTAGAAGGTGTCCAAGAAGAAAGCTCAGATCTGCCGACAGCAGGTACGTTACTTGGGATTTACTATCCGACAGGGGTCGGAACGCAGCCCGAGATCAGAAAGAAAGCAGGTCATTTGCCATCTAGCGGAGCCTAAGAGCAGAAGGCAGGTAGGAGAATTCTTAGGAGCTGTGGGGTTTTGTAGACTGTGGATCCCAAACTTTGCAGTATTAGCCAAGTTTTTGTATGAGGTCACAAGGGGGACGGGGACGGGGAATCTTTGGAATGAGGATCCCAACAACAGCAAGTATTTCATGAGTTAAAGGAAAAACTTCTGGCAGCACCAGCCCTGAGGCTACCCGATCTGACAAAGCCTTTTCCATTGTATGCATCAGAGAGAGAAAGGATGGCAGCTGGACTTTGAACCCAAACTGTGGGGCCCTGGCTGAGGCTGGTGGCCTACCTCTGTAAACCACTAGACGGAGTTTCTAAAGGATGGCCCCCCTGTTGGAGGGCCTTGGCAGCAACTGCCCTGCTAGTACAAGAAGCAAATAAGCTGACTCTTGGGCGAAACCTGAACATAAAGGCCTCCCGTGCTGTGGTGATGAATACTAAAGGACGTCATTGGCTAACGAATGCCAGGCTCACCAAGTACCAAACTTTGGTCTGTGAAAATCCCCGTATAACCATTGAAGTTTGTAACACCCTACACCCCGCCACCTTGCTGCCGGTATCAGGGAGCCCTGTCGAGCCTGATTGTGTAGAAGTGTTGGACTCAATTGACTCTAGCAGACCTGAGCTCCGGGACCAGACTTGGGCATCAGTAGACTGGGAGCCACACGTGGATGGGAGCAGCTTCTTCAACCCCCAAGGAGAGAGAGGTGCAGGGTATGCAGTGATAACTCTGGACACTGTTGTTGAAACCAGGTCGTTGCCCCAGGCCACTTCAGCCCAGAAAGCTGAACTTAATGCTTTCATTTGGGCCTTAGAACTCAGTGAGGGTGAGACTGTCAACACTTACACTGATTCTCAGTATGTCTTTTTAACCCTTCAAGTGCATGGAGTGTGATAGAAAGAAAAGGGCCTATTGAATTCTGGGGGGAAAGACAGAAAATATCCACAAGAAATCTTGCAATGATTAGAAGCAGTATGGAAACCCCACAAGGTGGCAGTTAGGCATTGCAGAGGACACCAGCGAGCTTCCACCTTGCTGTGTTTGGGGAATTCCCGCGCTGAGTCAGAGGCTCGAAAAGCAGCAACTGCCCCCTTCTGGGCATCAGTGCTCCCTCAAGCACCTGATCTTGGACCTGCTTCTTCTAAAGAAGAAAGGACTTTCTCCAGGTAGAGGGAAGGACAAGTGATGGAGGAAGGATGGATTCAGTTACCAGATAGGAGAGTAGCTGTGCCACAGCTGCTAGGAGCTGCAGTTGTACTGGCTGTGCAAGAAAACACCCATCGAGGTCAGGAGTCACTGGAAAAGTTGTTAGGCCGGTATTTCTACATCTCGCCTTTGTCAACCCTTGCCAAAACGGTGAGGCAGCGGTGTGTTACCTGCTGACAGCAAGATGGGAGTCAAGGTCCAGCCGTTCCGCCCGGCATACGAGCTTGTGGAGCAGCCCCCTTTGAAGGTCTCCAGGTGGACTTCACCTTCACGGAGATGCCAAAGTGTGGAGGTAACAAGCATGTACTGGTTCTTGGGCGTACCTACTCTGGGTGGGTGGAGGCCTATCCAACACGAACTGAGAAAGCTGGTGAAGTAATCCCTGTGCTTCTTCGAGATGTGATTCCTAGATTTCGACCGCCCTTATGGATCGGCTCAGACAACGGGCCTGCGTTTTTGGCTGCCTTGGTACAGAAAACGGCAAAGGTATTGGGGATCGCACGGAAACTACATGCCGCCTCCCGGCCTCAGAGTTCCGGAAAGGTGGAGAGGATGAATCGGACTATCAAAAATAGTACTACTGTCTTCCCCGCTGGATATTTAAAACAACAGCACAAGGGGCGTCAAACCACCTGCTAAATTGGAGGCAATGTTATCCTCTCCCCTCCTCCCCCGGCCCCGGATATTAGAGACAACAACACAGAGGTGATGTACACCCACTGCTTTATTGTGAGTAATATCATCCTCTCCCTTCTTGGATAGTAGGAACAGTATCACACTGTGCGTGTAGGCCTGTCGCGAAATTCAATGGAATGTCATCCTGCGCCTCCCTGGATATGACGAACAATATCACGGGGGATGTACAACTTCTGAGATATTGGGAGTGATGTCATCCTCTCCCCTCTGGAAGTTAGGGACAATATCACAGGGGTAGTGTACACCCTCTGGGATGTTGGGACTAATATCTCACAGGTGTCTGAGAATTCCTCCTCCTGGGACTCTCAGAGGATCCAGAACTGCAGCCGGCCCTCGCTTTGCTGTCCCTGTCCCTGTCCATGTATCTGGTCACGGTGCTGAGGAACCTGTTCAGCATCCTGGCTGTCAGCTCTGACTGCCCCCTCCACACCCCCATGTACTTCTTCCTCTCCAACCTGTGCTGGCCTGACATCGGTTTCACCTCGGCCATGGTTCCCAAGATGATTGTGGACACGCAGTCGCATAGCAGAGTCATCTCTCATGCGGGCTGCCTGACACAGATGTCTTTCCTGCTCCTTGTTGCATGTATAGAAGGCATGCTCCTGACTGTGATGGCCTATGACTGCTTTGTAGCCATCTGTCGCCCTCTGCACTACCCAGTCATCGTGAATCCTCACCTCTGTGTCTTCTTCGTTTTGGTGTCCTTTTTCCTTAGCCTGTTGGATTCCCAGCTGCACAGTTGGATTGTGTTACAATTAACCATCATCAAGAATGTGGAAATCTCTAATTTGGTCTGTGACCCCTCTCAACTTCTCAAACTTGCCTGTTCTGACAGTGTCATCAATAACATATTCATATATTTCGATAGTACTATGTTTGGTTTTCTTCCCATTTCAGGGATCTTTTTGTCTTACTATAAAATTGTCCCCTCCATTCTAAGGATTTCATCGTCAGATGGGAAGTATAAAGCCTTCTCCACCTGTGGCTGTCATCTAGCAGTTGTTTGCTGGTTTTATGGAACAGGCATTGGCATGTACCTGACTTCAGCTGTGTCACCACCCCCCAGGAATGGTGTGGTGGCATCAGTGATGTACGCTGTGGTCACCCCATGCTGAACCTTTTCATCTGCAGCCTGAGAAACAGGGACATACAAAGTGCCCTGCGGAGGCTGGGCAGCAGAGCATTCGAATCTCATGATCTGTTCCATCCTTTTTCTTGTGTGGGTGAGAAAGGGCAATCACATTAAATCTCTTTATCTGCAAATCCTGCCCCTTAGTCACATTCTTTTTGTGGCTTGATGGTTTTTATTCCTTTCCGCATTTCCTTTGTGAATATTGCTTTCTTCGTTATGCCTTTATCTGGAATGAGTGACGATTCTGGGATCCTTGGTTTAGCAGAAACCTCATGACAGAATCTTCTATACCTAGGTGGCCTCTTTTAGTCTCTGAGCAATAACCATGTCATCCAGGTGGAATCACAACCATCATTTTATATACACGAAGTCCTCACTTCGTTTTGGAATTCCCTGAAAACTGACTTTATGGAAACAATGTACAGAAGGTCCTCCAACAGCATTGGTTGTTCAAAGTCGTGTAGTTATACTGTTGATGAAAAATAAGTGGTTTCACTGTACATAATTTTGCTTCAAGGTGAAGTTTCCAAGAGACTTTCAAAGATGTTAAGTGAGGACATACTGTACATCAAATTCATATCCTCTTCCACAGTTCATGTGGAATTTCTTTATAAACTTCTTCTAGAGAATCTATTTAGGCAGGTTCTGTGTAGATATCCATGTCGCCGTTCCTCAATCTTGGCTTTGAGTCAAATCACCTGGGCAGCTTACACATGATGAGGACTGGTTCTCAATACCTGAGATTCTGATTTCCTTGCACCTGTGTGAGTGTGTGGATTTTTTTTTTTTCTTTTAAAGCACCAGAGATGGTTCCAATGACGAAGTTTTTAGAGGCATCAAGCTGCAATGAGTAAGAACAGAAATTAATTGTAATATGATTTCTTCAAATATTATCTTCAAATGCATTGTCCATCAACGCCATACAAATGTTTATTATGCTGTTTTTTCTTACCATTTCGCATTTTCTATTTCCTTCCTGTCCTTTTTTTTTTTTTTTTTTTTTTTTTTTGAGTCAGAGTTTCACTCTTGTTGCCCAGGCTGGAGTTCAATGGCACGGTCTCGGCTCACTGAAACCTCTGCCTCCCGTATTCAAGCAATTCTCCTGTCTCAGCCTTCCAAGTAGCTGGGATTACAGGCATGCGCTACCATGCCTGGCTATCTTTTTGTTGTTGTTGTTGTTGTATTGTTAGTAGAGACAATGTTTCTCCATTTTGGTCAGGCTGGTCTTGAACTCCTGACCTCAGGTGATCCGGCCGCTTCCGCCTCCCAAAGTACTGGGATTACACGCATGAGGGACCGCGCCCAGCCACCACTTAGCATTTACATTTTGCAATTGTTGAAGTTATAGATTTATACACACATCAATTGCTGCTTTGTTATACACTTGCATATACATAAGATGGGAAATAGAAAAGAATAAAATGGGCACGGTATCCCTGAAGTTTCACATTCTGAGACTTTAAAAATATTTGCTCTTTAGAAATTTGTTTCAATAAAGAAACTGTGGTATACACACCCAATGAAGTATTATTCAGCCTAAAGAGGAAGAAAATCCTCTCTGCTGCAGACAAAATGGATGTGATTGCAGGTCTGTATATTAAATGAAATAAGCCAGGCACAGAATGTCAAATATTTCATGTCCTCACTTCTACGTAGGAAGAAAAAAGGAAACCTTGACCAGGCGTGGTGGCTCAGACCTGTAATCCCAGCACTCTGGGAGGCCGAGTCGCACGGATCAATTGAGTCCAGGGGTTCGAGACCCGCTTGGCCAACATGGTGAAACCCCGTCTCTACGGAAAAAACAAACAATTAGCCGGGCGTGGTGACGCGTGCCTCTAGTCTCAGCTACTTGGAGGGCTGAGGCCCAAGAAGCGCTTGAACTCGGGAGACGGAGCTTACAGTGAGCCCGGATTGTGCCTGTGTACTCCAACCTGGGCAACATAAAGAGACTCCATCACACACCTACACACAAAAGGAATCTCAGGAAGGTGGAAAGTATAAAGGTGGTTAGCAGACGCTAGGAAGAAAAGGGTTGGGATGGGGAATGAAGACAAGTGGATAATTGGGTCCCAAAATACAGAAAGATGGAATAAGTGAGTTCTAGTGTTTGATTGTACAGTATGAAAATTTTAGTTCACAAGAATTTCTTGAATATTTCCAGATGCTTTGGTAAGAAACTTCCTAATTTTCTCATTATGCTGGTTTTTCAGCTCTTCTCTTTCTGCTCTTGAAATCATGCTGGTTTTTTGTTTTTTGTTTTTTGTTTTGAGATGGAGTTTCGCTCTTGTTGCCCAGGCTGGAGTGTCATGGTGCAATGTTGGCTCACCGCAACCTCTGCCTCCTGGGTTCAAGCAATTCTCCTGCCTCCACCTCCCGAGTAGCTGGGATTACAGGCATGCGCCTGTAGTAGAGACGGAGGTTTCTCCCTGTCGGTCAGGCTGGTCTTCAACTCCTGACATCAGGTGATCCGCCCACCTCGGCCTCCCAAAGTGCTGGGATTACAGGCTTGAGCGACGCGCCCAGCCCATGCTGTAACATTATCTGTTGTCTGCTGTTGTTTGTTTATTTTGGAGCCCAGAAATAACTTGTCACCTGTATGTTCAAATGATTTTTAACATGAGTGGTAAGAAAGCTCATTGGTGGAAAAACAGCCTTTTCAAGAAATGGTGTTGGAGAAACTTGATTTCCACATGCAGAAGATTGAAGGTGGACCCTATGTCACACCAGGGGCAAAAATTAACACAAACTGGATCAAAGACCTCACCCCAAGCGCTAAAAGAATCATTCGCCTAAAGGAAAACATTGGCCATGCTTTCATGACATCAGATTGGGCAATGTTCTCTGGGATGTGACACCAAAAGCATAGGCAACAAAAGAAAATTAGATTCCTTGGATTACATCGAAATGACAGACACTTTTGTGCAGCAAAATCACGGCAAACTGAGTGAAAAGATAACCCATGGATTAGGAAAAATATTTTCAAAGCGTATATCTGAAAAGAGGCTGATATCCATCATACATAAAGAACAGGCAGAACTAAACAACAAGAAACCCAAAGCATCCCATCAACAATGGTCAGAAGACTCAAGTAGACGTGTTCCTAAAGAAGATATAGCAGTGGCCAATAAGCATCTAAAATGATGTTCAAAATCACTCATCATAGGGAAGCGCAAATCAAACCAAGAATGTGACACCACACATTAGGATGGATATGATAAACAAACAGGATTGGTGAGACTAGAGGGAAGTAGGAATGCTCGAATCTGATCAGAGGGAATGTAAAACCGTGAAGGAACGGGGAAAATAGTATGGTGTCTACTGGAAAAATTAGAAACAGGATGATCAGATGTTGCCGCAGTTGCATTTGTGGGTACCTACAAAAAAGAAGCCAGGAGTGGAAGACAGATTTGTGTACACCCATATTCATAGCAGCATTATTCACAAGAGCCAAAATGTGGAAGCAACCCAAGGGTTCGTGGACAGATGAATGAAAAAGCACACTGCAGTTCCTTCATACAATGGAAGACTATTCAGCTTTCAAAAGGCAGGCACTTCTGGCCGGTGCGGTGGCTCACGCCTGTAATCGCAGCGTCTTGGAAGACCGAGGTGGGCGGATCACCTGAGGTCAGGAATTCAAGACCAGCCTGGCCATCTTGGGGAAACCCTGTCCCTACTGAAAATGCAAAAAATGAGATGAGCATGGAGGCGTGTGCCTATAGTCCCAGCTACTCGGGAGGATGTGGCACAAGAATCACTGGAACCCGGGAAGCGGAGGTGAGCCCAGATTGTGCCACTGTACTCCAGCCTGTGCGACAGAGTGAGACTCCATGGAAACACAAAACAAAACAAAGTCAAACGAACAAACAAAAAACAACAACAACAAAAAAAACAGACAGGCACTTCTGAGGCAGGCCGCAACATGGATGAACCTTGAAGACATTATCGTCAGTGAAATAAATAAATCCCAAAAGGATAAACAGGCCCAGGCTCAGTGGCTCGCACCTGTAACACCAGCACTTTGGGAGGCTGAGCCAGGCGGATCACTTCAGGTCAGGAGTTCGAGACCAGCCTGGCCAATATGGTGAAAGCTCGTCTCTATTAAAAATACAAAAATTAGCTGGGCGTAGTGGTGCAAGCCTGTAATCCCAGCTACTCGGGAGACTGAGACACAAGAATCGCTTGAACCCACGATGTGGAGGTTGCAGTGAGCCGAGATCACGCCACTGCACTCCAGACTGGGTGAGAGAGAAAGACTCTGTCTCCAAAACAAAAAAATTAAACACGGTATGATTCCACTTATCTATCAAGTGTCTAGAGTAGTTAAACTCATAGAGTTGCAAACTAGAAAGGTGGCCCCCAGGGGTGGGTGAGAGAAAGGAATGGAGAGCTTGGTGAATGGGTGGAATTTCCATTTTGAAAGATAAAACTGTTCCTGAGATGATGGCGGTGATGCTTGCTAAATAATGTGAACGTACTTAATGTCAATAATCTGTAAACTGAAAAAGAGTGGAAATTGTAAATGTTTATACTGGTCATTCTATATGAACTAATATATATTTATAATTTTTAATATTTATACGTGGTATATTTTCCCATTATAAAAGATGAAAATTAAAGCAGTTGGATGTTTAAAAAGAAAAGAAAGAAGCGAAGAATACACACCAGCTTTCTTCTGATTAGAGGAGGAGCCCCAAAGTTTCTATGGACACTCACTTTTCTCTTCTTCTTCTTGCATTATTGTGAGGACATCCTTACAGGTTGGGGAACTTGGGCAGCTTTGGCTAATGAGGAGCTCTGTGCCTGAGCCCCCCAGGCCACAGGATAGTAAATACTCAGTCTGTGCCTCCAGCCCTGCAGTGTGAGGTTGCAGTCCTGTGGTCTCCACAGCCGTCACCTGTATCAGGAGGCTCATGTCTCACCCTGTCTTCTTGCCAGCCTTGAGGACGGAGTCTGAGCCTCCATGGTGCACCACGCAGGGAGGACAGTGGACCTGTTCTCCGTGGTCATGTCCCAGCAGAGGGGAGAGGCAGTTCAGTGAGTGTAGGGAAAAGAAAGAGAGATCAGACTCTTACTGTGTCTATGTACAAAGGAAAGACATAAGAGACTCCATTTTGAGAAAGACCTGTACTTTCAACAATTGCTTTGCTGAGATGTTGTTAATCTGTAGCTTTGCCCCAGCCACTTTGCCCCAACCTGAAGCTCACAAAAACATGTGTTGTATGAAATCAAGGTTTAAGGGATCTAGGGTTATGCAGGACGTGCCTTGTTAACAAGATGTTTCCAAGCAGTATACTTTGTAAAAGTCATCGCCATTCTCTAGTATCAATAAACCAGGGGCACAATACACTGTGGAAAGCCGCAGGGAGACCTGCCCTTGAAAGCAGGGTATTGTCCAAGGTTTCTCCCCATGTGATAGTCTGAAATATGGCCTCGTGGGATGAGAAAGACCTGACCATCCCCCAGCCCGCCCCCCGTAAAGGGTCTGTGCTGAGGTGGATTACTCAAAGAGGAAAGCCTCTTGCAGTTGAGAGAGAGGAAGGCCGCTGTTTCCTGCCTGCCCCTGGGAACTGAATGTCTCGGTATAAAACACGATTGTACATTTGTTCAATTCTGAGATGAGAGAAAAACCACCCTATGGTGAGAGGCGAGACATGTTTACAGCAATGCTGCCTTGTTATTCTTTACTCCACTGAGATGTTTGGGTGGAGAGAAACATAAATCTGGCTTACGTACACATCCAGTCATAGTACCTTTCCTTGAACTTCCTTATGAAGTAGATTCTATTTCTCACATGTTCGTTGCTGACCTTCTCCTTATTATCACCCTGTGCTCCTACTACATTCCTTTTTGCTAAAATAATAAAAATAATAGTCAATAAAAACTAAGGGAACTCAGAGGCCTGTGCCGGTGCAGGTCCTTTGTATGCTGAGCGCCGGTCCCCTAGGCCCACTGTTGTTTCTCCATACTTTGTCTCTGTATCTTATTTCTTTTCTCAGTCTCTCGTCCTACCCGACTGGAAATACCCACAGCTGTGGAGGAGGAGGCCACCCCTTCAAGTGAGTGCTGAGGGACGTTCGGGAGACTTGTTTGTTTCCTCATCCTCAGGACAAACAGGAGAGTGCGGTGGGCAGATGTGAGGAGACCAATATGCAACTCTCTGCTCAGCAGACTGTGCAGTTTATGTTCTTGGTTGTGCTGGGGGTCTCAGAAATCTTATTCAAAATTTTGCTTTCCTCCCCCACTGGTTGTCCTTCTCATAAACATCTCACCCATGATAGCAGGGAATCAGCCCCTCTAGCTATTCCCTAAGAACAACAAAGAGATTATGAAGGTGATGATGAGGATAAAGAGGATGACGACAGACACCATGGCATCATGAACCCTTACTGAGGGCTTCCTAAAGGCCAGGCTCTGAGCTCTGTGCTCTATGCAGCTTGTTTCATTTCATCTGCATAGTCTCCCAGTTATTAGTGCACATTTCATGATGATTTTACAGACTAGAAAAAGCTCAACGGATTTTCACGTAGCTTGTACCAGATCACGAAGTCAAAAAGGGTGAAGTCCAATTTGAACCAGGCAGTCTAAGTCCAGACACATGTCATTTGGCAAGTCCTCTCCCTGCAACCAACCTGCCCTCTCAAATCCTCGTCACTCAGGCGGATGCCCCTGCTCACTGTGCCCTTCCCTTTGGGGGTTCCTTGTAGACCACAGCTAGACCAGTGGGTGCCACAATCACTGTGTCATGTATAGAAAGGGCAGCTGAGATCACATCAAGGATTCCAGAAAGAATTTGCACAGGATCATTCGGGACGCATCTCTCCCTTGCCCCTGTTCCTGGCTTTCCTTACAGCTCTCAACTTCCTCAAAGGAGTCATCAATTCGGAGTTTGGCTTCCATTCCTATTGAGGAAGATGGAAAGTGTTTCAAAAATGCTCCTCCGATGTGCCTGTGGTTAAGACCTCTGAGCTCTGCTTAAAACTCTTTGAAGCTGGGCGCGTTGGCTCACGTGTGTAATCCCAGCCCTTTGGGATGCTGAGGCAGGCGAATCACAAGGTCAGGATTTCGAGACCAGCCTGGCCAACATGGTGAAACCCTGTTTCTACTAAAAATACCAAAAAAACTCAAAAAAATTAGCCAGGCATGGTGGCATACGCCTGTCATCCCAGCTACTGGGGAGGCTGAGACAGGAGACTCCTTTGAAGCCGGGAGACAGAGGTTGCAGTGAATCGAGATCACGCCACTGCACTCCTGCCTGGGCAACAGAGCAAGACTCCGTCTCAAAAAAATAAATAAATAAAAATTACGAAAAAAAGTGCTTGGATGGGCTTGGCAAACTTTAGCCATTAGCTCACGTACCACTTTGGAAGGGCATACCTTCAGTCACTTCACCCTTTAATCCCTTTGCTCAAGACTAAAGTTCTGAGAGGAAGACTAATCGGCTGAGTTGTGTCCATGTGGGCAGTGCAGGAAAGGATGCAGCGGGACGCTGCTCCAGGGACGTCTTTGGCTTCCATCATGGGGGAGCAGGCGCCTGGATTATCCACCCTAACAAATCTGGGCAAAGGAAAACGAGGTTCTCCGAGGAAGGAGACATAGAGCCCAAGGAGCTAACCAAGAGACAAATAGTCATCCTGTCTTGTCATTTTCTTTTACACATGTGTGTACATTATTTTACACTTATCACTTTGTTTTCTTTCTCTCCTTTAATTGCACCCTGCTGCCAAAAGTTAAAATAAAATGAAAGTATTGAGATAGCTCAGTAACTGACTTTTGGTCAATTGCCTTTTCATATAGTGAACAGCTGCCCAAACGATTGTCTCTGTCACTGTGCAAATTTGCAAGCGTTTGCATGATCACTCCCACTCCCCCAATACAGAGCTGTGTTACAGCACAATTTAGTTCAGTGTTTTGCTCTCTGCAACAGGGAGGTTCTCATCCATTACACGTTGCAGTAAAAACAGGGGTACCATAAGCAACCAGCTCTTTCCTCAACGAGGTGATGAAAGCAAAAGCCAAGTAGCTCCATGTATCCAACTTAAAAATATAAAAGTTACGCCCGTGGGCTGCAGTTGGAGCTATGGCGGCGGCAGCTGTCACTGGGCCTAGCCCGGGGTGTGGACCTGGGGACTCCCCAGAAGGGCCCGAGGGGGAGGCTCAAGGAGCGTCGGTGGAAGGCGGACAGGATGCTGAAGTTTTACAACGGCCTCTCGGAAGTGGAGGCGGTGGGACTCCCCGCGGGGACCGAACCCCTGGACCCCACTGATCTGAACGGGGTGCACTTCGACCCGGAAGTTTACCTAGACAAGCTTCCTAGAGAGTGCCCTCTGGCCCAGCTGATGGATAGTGAGACGGACATGGTGCAGCAGATCAGGGCTCTAGACAGCAACATGCAAACCCTGGTCTATGAGAACTACAATAAGTTCTCATAGACCCAGCCACAGAAATTGACACACAGCATAAAACTGTAAGAGGAATTGCAGGAGACCCAGAATTTCCCAAATAACCTTGTAAAAGAAGAACAAATTTGGAAGACTCACAAAAAAAAAAAAAAAAATATATATATATATATATATATATATATATATACACACATTATATATATACATATATATATAAAGTTGTGTTTTCATTCAGTTGTAAATGTTTAGTAATTTCTATTATGATTTTTCATTTAACTCATGAAAGGATATTTTTAATTTTCCAAATATATGCTTGCGTTTAGCTATCTTCTTGCTGTTGACTTCTAATTTTGTGGCATTATGGTCAGGAAAATGTGCTCTGGACACTGTCAATCGTATAGTGGATTTTGTTGAGACTTATTTATGGCCTAATATGTGGCCAGTTTTTTTTTTTTTTTTTTTTTTTTTTTTTGCAAATTTGCCACATGTGGTTAAAAGGAATGTGGATTTTTTTTTTAGGAGAGTTTTTATTTTTAAATAGATAAGGTTCTCAGTGTAATTGAAATCTAACTTCAGTTAACAATATGCTAGACCTCTCAAACCTCAGGATGTTAGTCAGTGTAACAATAGACTGCTGCTGAGACGAATAAACCCTGAACTCTCAGTGGGTTGACACCCATAGCATAGTCTGGTGCAGGGTAGGGGTTCTCTTTGGGGGCCCTTGTCCAACAGTGATTCAGAGATTCTGCAGGTTTCCATCTTTTAATTCTGCCATCTCAGAGTTTTTCACTTGTAGCCATATGAATAGGAAGAGAGGGAACATAGCTCACACTTTGATAACCTTGGCCCAGAAGTGATTTCTTACATTCCTATTGGTGGAAATGCAGTCACATGGTTCCAAACTAACTGCAAGTGAGGCTGGGAAATGTAGTCTTTCTGCATGTCCAGGAAGAGGAATGGTGTGAACACAGTATTGTCTTTGACACACTAAGCATGTGCTGAAGAGTTCTTACTCTCATAGGAGGTTTGTCTGTCCTGTGTAACTTTCTCAGATTTTGCTTAGATAGTTTCAGGCAATGCTGTTTGGTGCATTCAGCTTGATGATTATTATGCCCTCTTGGCAAAGCAGTCAAGATTCCCATCAGTTTGAATGAAAGTGTTTTACAGATAGGTCAGGAAATGTTAATACTTTAAAAGGTCCTTCTATTCCTCCACTCTACAGATAAGAACAACAGAGTCTTAGAGAGAGGAGGTCACGGGTCTCACTCATGAGTGGCAGAATTGAAACCAATGTGGCACTAACTTTGCCTTTCCCCCATCATGTTGTTCTCCTTCTATCTTCACTCTGCTGATTTCTTCACTTGCTCCATACAGACCTCCCAGTGCCAAGTGTATAAGTGTGTCCAGAATTGGTGGGTTCTTGGTCTCACTGACTTCAAGAATGAAGCTGTGGACCCTCCTGGTGAGTGTTACAGTTCTTAAAGGTGGTGTGTCTAGAGATTGTTCCTTCTGATGTTCAGATGTGTTTGAAGTTTCTTCCTTCAGGTGGGGCTCGTGGTCTCGCTGGCTCAGGAGTGAAGCTGCAGATCTTCACGGTGAGTGTTACAGCTCTTACGGCTGCAGGTCTGGAGTTGTTCATTTCTCCCAGTGGGTTCATGGTCTTGCTGGCTTCAGGAGAGAAGCTGCAGACCTTCTCGGTGAGTGTTACAGCTCATAAAGTCAGTGTGGACCCAAAGAGTGAGCAGCAACAAGATTTATTGCAAAGAGCAAAAGAACAAAGCTTCCACAGTGTGGAAGGGGACCCCAGTGGGTTGCCACTGCTGGCTCGGGCAGCCTGCTTTTATTCTCTTACCTGGCCCCACCCACATCCTGCTGATTGGTCCATTTTACAGAGAGCCTGAGTGGTCTGTTTTGACAGGGCACTGATTGGTGCGTTTACAATCCCTGAGCTAGACACAAATGCTCCCCACGTCCCCACTAGATTAGCTAGATACAGAGTGTCCAAACAAAGGTTCTCCAAGTCCCCACCCTAGTAGCTAGATACAGAGTGTCAATTGGTGCATTCATAAACCCTGAGCTAGACACAGGGTGCTGATTAGTGTGTTTACAAACCTTGAGCTAGATACAGAGTGCCAATTGGTGTATTTCCAATCCCTTACCTAGACATAAAGTTCTACAAGTCCCCACCAGACTCAGGAGCCCAGCTGGCTTCACCCAGTGGACCCAGCACAGGAGCTGCAGGTGGAGCTGCCTGCCAGTCCCTCTCCATGCACCCACACTCCTCAGCCCTTGGGTGGTCGATGGGACTGGGTGCCATGGAGCAGGGGGCGGTGCTCATCGGGGAGGCTTGGGCCGTACAGGAGCCCACAGAGGGGCGAGGCTAAGGAATGGCGGGCTGCAGGTCCCGAGCCCTGCCCCGCAGGGAGGCAGCTAAGGCCCAGTGAGAAGTCGAGCACAGCAGCTGCTGGCCCAGGTGCTAAGCCCCTCACGGCCCGGGCCGGCAAGGCCAGCCGGCAGCTCCTAGTGCAAGGCCGCCAAGCCCACGCCCATCCAGAACTCCAGCCGGCAGGCAAGCAGCACACGTAGCCCCAGTTCCAGCTCATGCCTCTCCCTCCATGCCTCCCTGCAAGCTGAGGGAGCCAGCTCTGACCTTGGCCAGCCCAGAAAGGGGCTCCCACCATGCAGCCGTGGGCTGAAGGGCTCCTCAAGTGCTGCCAAAGTGGGAGCCCAGGCAGAGGAGGTGCCGAGAGTGAACGAGGGCTGTGAGGGCTGCCAGCACGCTGTTACCTCTCATAAGGAGTGATTAATCTGAGCTTCTCCAGAAAGTCCATTCCTGGTAGGCACTGGGAATAAGAAATCTCAGAGTATAAAAAAACATCAAGTGGTAACACTTTTGTGAGTGGCTCCCAAATTAGATCCTTTACCTTTTTTTTCATGAAGCACAGTTGCCCAAAACACGCTTAGCCTGAGGTGAAGCACATATTAGAGAAAAGTTCTCTCTATAGCATTATGTATTACTCAAATGAGCATTAAAAAGAGGAGACGGGACATGCTCTCTCTAGCTATTATTACCTGCACTATAGAGTTGACATACACAAGCTCATTATTGCATTATGTTTTATTCAACAAAATAACTTTAATGTTGAAGCTTAAACTGAATTCGCTAAAACATCTGTCTCCAGCATAGTGTGCCTCAAGTGTCTCCTTGGTGCCTGAATTTTCTCCAGAATTATCGTGCTGAAGCTATGGAAATGGTGAAATTATATGCAATCTGCAAAACAATGTGGCTATAACGTGGTAATTGGCCTTCCACATAATTAAAGGAACATTTCCTCGTCAGAGCTGTTCCATCAGAGACCCAAAGGCTATCGTTGTACAAATCACCCACTTAGGAAAACCTTTATTCCCAGTAGCCTATAAAAATCTGCTTATGCAAACAGATTTGCTTATTCAGTAACATTAATGGCTTCTCATAGTTAAAAAGTCATCAATGTGATTGACCTATAATCTGCTTCCTCTGTGACGAAGTGTCATTTTTATTTTGACAGTTAGGAGCCTTTTGACTCTTTCACAGCTGGCATGAAGGCACAGGGAGGGAAATCTCAAAAACCAACAACCTGTGTATTCCCAGCCTATTAATCAATAGAAAATCACTTCAACTGGATTAGGGTCTTGTACCTGGCAGAAAGGCTCTTATGGACATTGGAATTGGATTTTTACACTTGATATGACACCTCCTTGAGTCAGATCAGATTCGTGTTTGATAGACACTTGCTGAAAAATTGCTCCAGGGTCTGTGCAGTAGCTAAAGCCTTTTTATTGTTGTTGTTTTAAAAGCAGCATTAAATATTTTCATGAAGACCTTCCCAGCAGTTATTTTATTGGGAATATGGTCTTTAGCTCTGGTCCTGAATAACTCACACTGAGGAAACCTCTAACAAGTGTTTTATTGGAAGATGTCTGATGGATGGTTGGTTTTAATAACAAATCTCTTCCCTTTTTCTGTCCCCTGTGTTCTATTCTCCTTTCTTACACATTATTCTGGGAGGATTCACCTATTCCCAAAGTCCTTTCCTCTTTATTTCCATTCCAGAGCTCTCTGTATAACTCCAGGCTGATGAATCCAGCTGCCCAGTTGTTATCTCCACTTGGCTGTCTGTCTTGCATTGACCTCATCTTACCTTTCCTCTCCTGATTTCCTCTTCTGCCAGGGCTCACCACGTCAGATTCACACCACCATCCACCCAGCTTCCAAATCACCTGGGCCTCCTCCTTCATTCCTCCCTCTTTCTCAGTCAAGTTAGTCTACTGTCTCCTCTCCATCCTCACTGCCACAGCCTTGGTCCAGCCAACCATCTTGTCTCACTTGGCGTATTGCAGCCTCCTACCTGGTCTACTCACCACCCACTCTCCTCCAGCCAGACTACTCTTCTTCTAGCACAAAGTGGATCATTACTCCCCTGCATAAAAACATCTACTGTCTCCCTTTGTCTACAGGATAGACACGACAAAGAGCCTTTAAGATTTGCCTCCAACTTACCTCTATATTAGTCACTTTTTACAATTATATGAACATCTCTCAACTCCTCACCCTCCACGTCTCGATTTTTACACATGCTCTTCCCTCTGCTGGGAATGATCTTCCACACCTCTCCTATCAACCTGGCTAGTTCCTTCCATTTTCTAGTCTTCAACTGAGGAGTCCTGTGGTGGAGAAGGATTTCTCACCACCTGATATAGATTGCATGCCCACCCACCTCCGAGCTTTTTCTTTTTTCTTTCTTTTTTTTTTTTTGAAAGAGTCTCGCTCTGACCATGCAGGCTGGAATGCAGTGGTGCGATCTTGGCTCACTGCAATCTCCACCACCCGGGTTCAAGCAATTCTCCCACCTCAGCCTTCTGAGTATCTGGAATTACAGGTGCCCGCCACCACATCTGGCTAATTTTTTTGTATTTTTAGTAAAGACAGGATTTCACCATGTTGGCCAGGCTGTTTTTGAACTCCTGGCCTCAAGTGATCCACCCACCTTGGCCTCCCGAAGTGCTGGGAATACAGGCATGAACAACTGCACCTGGCCGATTGGGTGCCCCTTCTATGTGCTCCCATTGCCCCAGGCATAGTGTCACCATAACTCTTACCATTCTGAGTTGAAAATGATTTTTTTTTTTTTGCTTTTTTTTCTCTCATTAAATGCAAAGCTTATTGAAAAGAGGACAGTGGTTGTTCACTGTTGTACTCCTAACCTTTGACTCAGTGTCCTTAGGTTGGCTCTACAGCTGTGCACACATGTTCAGACATTGGAGCACATCTTGTCTAGCACCTCTTTTGTGGTGGCTTAGAGAAAAGTCAGTAGGTACTTCCCCAAGGATGAAACAGAAGCTTCACCTAAACCAGTTCTTCAACTTCAGCCTGCATTAGAATACTCTGAGAGCTTGTTAAAAATACCATCTCCTGGAGCCCACTCTTCAAGAGTCGGTGAGTTTCTTCATCATCAAAATATACACAGAATTCAGGCAGTCTTCAGCCCCAGCCTGGTCTGAGCCTCTGTGGACTCCCACCTGCAGAATGTCCCTGCTGGTCTCCTTGCTTCTGCTCTTACCTTCTTATTAACCATTCGAGTAGCCGGGGTGATCCTTTTTAAAAATTTTTTTAAATTTTTTTGTGATGAAGTCTCACTCTGTTGCCCAGGCTGGAGTGCAGTGGTGCTATCTCAGCTCGCTGCAGCTCTACCTCCTGGGCTCAAGCAATCCTCCCACCTCAGCCTCCTGGGTAACTGGGACCACAGACATACACCACCACACCCGGCTAATTTTTGTATTTTTTGTAAAGACACGGTCTTGCTATGTTGCCCAGGCTAGTCTTGAACTTCTGTGTGCACCCACCTCAGCCTCCTGAATTTTTAGGAGGCCCCTCTTGTAGGGATTTTGATCCAGATGCCTGGGTGCCTCATGTCTCCTCCCATCTCTCTCTGTCTTTCTGTCTCTGTCTCTCTCTCTCTCTTTCTCTTTGCCTTATAGCTGCCCTGAGGTCTAGACTCTCCCTTAGGCATCCCTCTGGCTCTTGTTTGCTTTTATACTGAGGCTGCTTTAAATTGCACCTTGATCTGAAGCCTTGGGCTTCTGTTCCTATTCCTTGCTTTTGTTGGAAGGGCCGTGCAGCTTCTTGACAAATTGCAAAGGTGCCCACGAGTTTCCAAGTCCCCAAGAACCAAACCAGATGACAAACAAGGATGCAGTCCACAGCTGGGGAGACAGATTTCATGTCCACACAGAGACTCCAAGATGCTGAACTGAAATCCACCTCGAAACCTGTTTTCTCTCTCATTTAAGTTCATTGTCACCTGGGGGCTTGCAGGGCAGAGCTGGTGACCATTCTCAGGGCAAAGATGCTTTGAAATGTCAACTGAGAATGGTGTGGTGGTTGACAGATGGCACGTCAGAGCATAGATTAACATGGAAAGAGAAACTCACCCCTTGTGGGGAGTGTGTGAGGCTGGCAGCCACACAGAGGGCTTTTCCTGTGAGCTCTTGCATAGATGCAAACAGCCAGGAGGTTTTGCTTTCTGATCCTAAGTGGAAGCATGTTCTTCCCTGCAAATTGCCGCTCTGCAGCAAATGTTTATTCCTGTTGCATTGATTAAAAGTGCTTACCAGGCCGGGCGCGGTGGCTCACGCCTGTAATCCCAGCACTTTGGGAGGCCGAGGCAGGCAGATCACAAGGTCAGGAGATTGAGACCATCCTGGCTAACACGGTGAAACCCCGTCTCTACTAAAAATACAAAAAATTAGCCAGGCATGGTGGCGGGCACCTGTAGTCCCAGCTACTTGGGAGGCTGAGGCAGGAGAATGGCATGAACCCAGGAGGCGGGGCTTGCAGTGAGCCGAGATTGTGCCACTGCACTCCAGCCTGGATGACAGAGCAAGACTCCGTCTCAAAAATACAAAGTGCTTACCGAAGTGGTTTGAGGGCAGCGGTGACACTGTGAGTTATGGCTCTGCCGGCTGCCAGTGGAGCCAGCCTCTCTGCACAGCCGTGCAAGGGTGTTTTGAAAAGTGGCTCAGCCGGCCAGGAGTGACTGGCTGTAAATATTGCTGCCAGAACATCTTGTAGCCTGATTGGGGCCGTGTTTGCAGAACCCCTAAACCACTACACTTGTTCAGGCTTAAAAATAAGCTTACTTTTTTTTGTTTGTTTTGTTTTGTTTTATGAGATGGAGTCTAATTCTGTCACCAGGTTGGAATGCAGTGGCATGATCTTGGCCCACTGCAACCTCTGCCTCCTGCGTTCAAGTGATTCTCCTGCCTCAGGCTCCCGAGTAGCTGGGACTATAGGCGTGTGCCATCATGGCCAGCTAATTTTTGAATTTTTAGTACAGACGGGGCTTCACCTTGTTGGCCAGGATGGTGCGATCTCTTGACCTCGTGATCTGCCCGCCTTGGCTTCCCAAAGTGCTAGGATTACAGGCGTGAGCCACCGTGCCTGGTCAAACATAAACTTACTTTCTTACCTCTTCTGCTGAACTCTATGTGCTTCTTTTCGCAACTTCTGCTGAAACTCTATTTTGCTTCTTTTTCCTGGATAAGGCTCTTGTTTATCCAGAAGAACTTTTAGCAACAAAGTTACCCAATGCCCTTCCCTAGTCTCTCCTTGCAACTGGTTTTCAGTGGTGGGGGTGGTGGGTAGGAGGAAATCCTTGACAGAACCAATTTACATGACTGTTTGGAGGACTCTCACTAGCCCCAGGAGGTGTTTACATTTTGAAATTGGTTACTAGTGTCAGAATGTTTCATGAGTAAGAGCACAGCCTCTAAGTTGGATACCCTGAATTTAAGTCTCAACATGGCCATTTTGTATATAAGCAGAGGATGGATTTGGGGACCCAATGGATCTACCATGACATGAACTTGGACCAACATTCACCTGACCTCCAAAATGCCTATTCTGACTGGTAGACCCTAGTCTCGCCCTAGTGCCAGTTCAGAGCCTGTGTCCAGTGGTCTTGCACAGGTCCCATTAGTTCCTTTTCTCCTATTCAGTCATCCCGGTAAAGGCTGTGTATTCCCTTGGGGCCAGGCTGGGAGAAAGATTGACAGTATAAATTTTTGGCAGTGGAGCAGAGTCCTTTCTGGAGGGGACCTGGCTTCCCATTCAGACAAGGGACTCCAGGTCTGTGAACTGGCTTATGTCTGGGAATTGACGGGGGACTGTGACTCTGTTTTTATGATTCAGATTAGACTTCTGCTCACCTGACCTAGAATTCTTCTGCAAACACAGATCCAGTAAAAATGTGGCAGGCTTCTTATCTATTTCAGTTCTAGGAAAGCCACGATCAGCAGGCACCATAGGTCTCTGCGAGTCAGGCTATTCTGGTTGCAGCTTTGACTCTGCTGTCTTTTATGGTAACTGCATCCACCTTGCCTTTGGGGATTGAGTGCTCTGATCACTTGACCCCAGCCCCTGTAGTGTGCGTATGTCACTTACCCTCTTTATACCTCAGTCTCCTCCTCTATAAAATGGGCATCCTCATTGCACCCACCCCCAGGGCTGCTGTGAGGTATAGATGGATTAGCATATGGAAAGTAATAGAAGAGGGTCTCAAAGCCCATGTGTCGTTATCAGAATTATTTCATGATGGGGAGAGCTGGAGGAGAGAGGAAGGTGCTGAGCAGACCCACGTGCTCTCCCACCAGTGTTTCCTGAGCACCTACTATGTGCTGCCCACTGTGAGAGCTGTTAGGGTTGAAATAGGGAGCACAGCAGGATAGGAGCTGCCATTAGGAGCTTAGTGGGGAAACCGTTGTGCAACATGGTTACAGTGCTTGGGGTGGGGAAGGTCAGGGAGTACGGGGGCCTAGGATCCAGGGCAGAATCATGGAAAGGACACAGCCGCCCCAGCCTCCCCTGCCTCCCCTGCCTCCCTGACCTCCTCTGTTCCCTGGCCTCTCCTGCCTTCCTGGCTTCCCCTTCCGCCCCGGCCTCCCCAGTCTCCCCTGTCTTTCCTGCTTTTGAGGTGGGCCAGGAGCTGCTGGTGCTCACTTAGTCTGTCCTGGACTCTGGGTGTAGCACTTCGATGTCCAGAAAATACCCCCGGGTTCAGCTTATCACACAGCCAAGAAAGGAGCTCCACACTGACACTAAGGGTGCATCCTGGGCTCATTCATCAGGACATGCCTCCAAAATATTTCTCCATGTCTCCTCCCTTTGCCCACCTGCATTGTCTCTGTGCCTCAGCCCCAGCTGGGGGCCTGCAAGGATCCTCTATCTCCTCTGCCCCTGCACGGCTGGGTCTCAGACAATCTGTCTGCCCACCACACCTCTCTCCTGTTGCCCACCACGCTCCAGCCCCACAGTCCTCTTTCTGCTTCTTTCCCAGCCTCTGGGCTTTTGCACACGCTGTTCCCTCTGCCTGAACACCCTCCACTGGGCTGAGAACAACTCTCTGAGACCTCTCTCAGCTGTTGCTTCCTTTGGAAAAGCCGCTGCTTCTGTCCCTCTCCCAGCTCAAAGACGTGCTGAGCCTCCTCTCTTTTTCAGTTCCCATGCCCCCAGCACTTCTCCTTGGCCTCCTTTGGCCCAGTTGACAATGTCCATTCTCAATGCCTTCCCACCCAGAGCTGAGCCTCACTGGGTGAAGGCAATGCCTGTCATGTTCTCCACAATATCCCCTCCCCCATCACCACGACTGGTCCACAGTGATGCTCAAAAAAGATCTGTTGGTAGGCAATGGGAAGGTGCATTCATGTCATCCTGCAGGAGGAATTCTCCACGAGTTTTGAGCAGCCTCGGGTTTCCCACCACCTCCAAATCATGGAAGACACAGGGTAAGAGCAAAGACAAGGTGGCTTTGGCCGATGTCCACCCTCTCGTGGCGTCCCTTCTCTTCTCTCCTCCTTGAGCAGGGAGACCATCGGGGTGCAACCTGGCCGGGGCGGGGAGGAGGTGCAGGGCATTGCCAGAGCGGGCCTGTCCATGGGCAAGGGATAGCGACCTCCTGGGCCAGGACATGTGACAGCTGCGCAGGCCTGGGCCCGGCGTGGCGGAGGTGCGCGAGAGCGGCCAGAAGAGGGCGCCAGAGTGCCAGGAGCCGCCCGCGGAGGAGCCCGCACCGGCCCCGATACCCAGCTCCGCGCCACGCGGACCCACCGAGCCCGCGCTCAGACGCCCCAGCTCCGCCGAGAGGCCGCTCGCGCCGTGTCCTTCCTCTTCCCCAAGTTCAGGCAGAGCCCCCGGAGCCATGGCCAGCCCTTCCAGCAGCTCCGAAGACACTGGCAAGCCCCGAGGCAGGGATGGCCGGCCCAGAAGGGAGGAGGAGGAGGACGTCCCTCCCGAAGAGAAGAGGCTGGGGCTGTAGCTGGAGGGGGGAAGCGCACAGCCCGAGGACTGCGAGGACAGGGAGGACCCGCCGCTGCCGGGCACGAAGGAGACCGGCACCCAGACAGGTGGCGACGGCAAAGGAGTAAGTGACGCGGGCGCGGGGGTCCGGGAGTGCCAGGGGCGCGGGGGTGCCGGGGACGCGACGAAGGGACGTCGGGAGGCTCCGTGGCCGTCCCCGGGTTGAAGTTGGGAGTGCAGCCTTCATTCTGAACCCATTTAGGCAGCATGGGCAGCCCTCCTCGCCATGGGCAGGATCAGAGCCCCCCCGCCCAGTCTTGGGGTTGCTCCTGGATGCTGTCTGGGAGGCTTGCTCATGGTGACATCCTCATCTCCCCGTCCACGTTACCGCATTCAGAGCTTGGGTCACCTGGACACTGAACTCAGGTGAATTTTCTCTGAGATCCCGGGAGAAGGAGGACAGTTCTTTGGAAGGTTTTCCAGGGCCGATCACGGAAAGGATGAGAAGGGAGAGGTCCTGGTCGGGGACACAATTATGGTGGCAGTGTAACGCCGGGAAACTTTATTGCATGAAGTCCCTCTCACTCCCTCTACCTCCCTCTTTTACGTGGACTCTGCCAAAGACCAGGATACCAGAATGCGGTGGAGAGGCCAAGTGTAGTGAGACCTTGGGAATGCGATTCTGGAGCCAGGCGGCTGGGGTTTGCATCCTGGTTCTGCCCTTCCTTAGCTGGCTGACATGGCACAAGCCACTTACCCTGTCTGAGCCTTACTGTCTTCAGTGGCAAATGGATCTGTCAACAGGCTCCATTGCCTGGGGTTGTTGCTGCTGAGATTAAGGGAAGCTCGTCCATAGAAGCACTTAGCGTTGTGCCTGGCACATAGTGTATGGTGGATAAGTGGGACTTAAGACTAAAACTCATGCCCTGATGTGTTTTTGCAGTGATGTTTTGTTCTGGAGTACTTCACAAGAGACAAGGTCCTTGGCTGGGCATGGTGGCTGAAGCCAATAATCCCAGCACTTTGAGAGGCCGAAGGGGGAGGATCGCTTGAGCCCAGGAGTTTAAGACCAGCCTGGGCAACATGGTGAAGCCTCATATCTACCAAAAAAAAAAAAAAAAAAAAAAAAAAGGCAGTTATGGTGGTGTGTGCCTGCAGTCCCAAGTACTTGGGAGGCTGAGGTGGGAGGATTGCTAGAGCCTGGAAGGTTGGGTTGCAGTGAGCTGTGATCACGCCACTGCACTTCAGCCTGGGTGACAAAGTGAGACCGTTTCAAGGAAAAGAGAGAGAGAGACAGACAGACCCACAAGAGTCTTAAGCCAGAATCTCCATGTTAAAATGCTTTCTGGAGGCTAAAAGGATGATATGTTGATAATGAAATGTTTAAAAGGCAGAAACCCCGCTGAATTTTTTGGTCCACAGAGGGAAATGGGAATAGCATGACCTGAAGGATGATGGATGAACTGAATAGAAACCATCCTTGTTTCCTGAATCTGAACATGGCACCCTCTTTTCACGGTGCCTGTATCTGCTCAGTCCGGCAGCCCCTTGAAAAGAGGGAATCTTGATTTTCAAACTTAAAATTTGGCCCAAAGCTTGCTGCTGCCCACAATGCCCGCCAGACACATTCCTCTTCCCTTTTAGTTCCTATGGGAATACTCTCTTTGAAGAACCCATGAAGCAGTGTCAGGCTGGTACGAGGATCAGCAGTGATTTCTTTGAGGAGGAGAGCCCGTTTCTTCACTCACAGGCCATGTCTGAGTGGATCAAGAAGAACAGAGTGCCCTTTTATGAGATTTTGTCTGCGTAGACCACTAGCTTGGTAAAAATGTCAAAACCATCCTCGTTCTTTAATAACAGATTATTTTGGACTTTTCTCTGCAAGAAGCAGCATGGGCATTCAGATGCTTTTAAGGATAAAATGTTCTTTCTCATCACCAGGCCTGGTGCTCTGGATGGCTGAGGTTTTAATGTGACTGGATGTCCCTTGGAGTGGCTCCCAGGCTGTGCTCTTGTGGTTGGGTGGCAAGCGGTTGCTTTATTCGGTGGTGGCTAGAGGATGTTTTAGCAGATTAATCGGGACCCCAGGAGCCCTTGAGTGTCAAGTCCTGCTGCAGGGCATGTGTTTATGGTGGGGAGGTGGGGGAGGGGGGAGGATGGGGGCATTGATTTCCTCCCAATATCAGAAGTTTCACAGGCTTCTTGTTTATCCACAAACACCCACCCCATTGAGAAGGCCTAGAAAATCTGCCCCTCCTCAAGCCTTTATTGACCGCTTGTGAATGATCCCAGTGTGTGTCTGACCCACAGCTCCTCCTGGAGGGAGAGAAAAGTCTCTCCTAGGTATTTGGTTGTCAACCTCAACTGCTTGCTGAGCCTTCCCCAAGACCAGGCACCTTGGCAGAGATTTCTGGGTTGTCAGGCAGAACCGAGCATTCGAGGGTGATAACTCACTGGAGTCCCTGAAATCCCTGATGGACGCACCAGGTAAAAGCATCCAGGGTTGAAACCAGATCAGGAAGGTTATTGTCAGCCTGGGGCTCCTGTAGAGGTGCATCCACGTTGCAGGGATTGTCCTTTTTGCTGAGGAGAAACCTGGGTTTCTCAGCTTTGGCACAGTCAGAATATTTGTGGTGAGACCATTCGTGGTGCTGGTGGTGGGGCTGTCCTGTGTATTGAAGGATGGTTAGCAGCATCTGTGGTCTCCATCCTCTAGGTGCCATTCTACCTTCCCTGCTATGGCTACCCCAGACGTCTCCAGATGGTTTCAAATAATGTGGGGCAAGGGAGCGGTACGTGAGCAAAACCACCCCAGTTGAGAGCCATTGGTCTACACTTGTGGAAATGTTTGAGGGTGAGAGTGTCGAGCTTGGGTCCCTGCTGTACCCTTTATGAGCAATGCGGTCTTGTAAAATTAATACTACTCCAGGGGCCTCAGTTTTCTCATCTATAAAATGGAGATAAATGAGATACACTTTGATAGGAAGGTTATATGGGATTCACCGAGATAATAAGACAGTACATGGAAAATGCTGGGTATAGCATTTATTTATTTTAATTTTTTTTTAAGACAGAGTCTTACTCTGTTGCCCAGGTTGGAGTGCAGTGGCATGATCTCCGCTCACTGCAACCTCCACCTCCTGGGTTCAAGTGATTCTCCTGCCTCAGGCTCCCGAGTAACTGGGACTACAGGCGTGCGCTATCATGCCCATCTAATTTTTGAATTTTTAGTAGAGATGGGGCTTCACCATGTTGGCCAGGATAGTCCGATCTCTTGACCTCGTGATCTGCCCGCCTGGGCCTTCCCAAGTGCTGGGATTACAGGCGTGAGCCACCGTGCCTGGCCAAACATAAACTTACTTTCTTACCTCTTCTGCTGAACTCTATTTGCTTCTTTTCCCAAATGTCTTTATCCAGAAGAGCTTTTAGCAACAAAGTTACCCAATGCCCTTCCCTAGTCTCTCCTTGCAACTGGCTCTCAGCAGTGGGTGGGAGGAAATCCTTGACAGAACCAATTTACATGACTGTTTGGAGGACTCTGGCTAGCCCCAGGAGGTGTTTACATTTTTAAATTGGTTACTAGTGTCAGAATGTTTCATGAATAAGAGCCCAGCCTCTATGTTGGATGCCCTGAATTTGAATCTCAGCATTGCCGCTTTGTATATAACCAGAGGATGGATTTGGGGACCCAATGGACCTACCGTGACATGAACTTGCACCAACATTCACCTGACCTTCAAAATGCCTATTCTGACTGGTAGACCCTAGTCTCATCCTAGTGCCAGTTCAGAGCCTGTGTCCAGTGATCCTGCACAGGTTCCATTAGTTCCTTTTCTCCTGTTCAGTCATCCTAGCAAAAGGCTGTTTATTCCCTTGGGAGCAGGCTGGGAGAAAGATTGACAGTATAAATTTTTGGCAGTGTAGCAGAGTCCTTTCTGGAGGGGACCTGGCTTCCCATTCACACAAGGGACTCCGAGTCTGTGAACTGGCTTATGTCTGGAAATTGACCGGGGACTGTGACTCTGTTTTTATTAATCAGATTAGACTTCTGCTCACTTGACCTAGAACACTTCTGCAAACACAGTTCCAGTAAAAATGTGGCAGGCTTCTTATCTATTTCACTTCTAGGAAAGCCAGGATCAACAGGCACCATAGGTCGCTGCGAGTCAGGCTATTCTGGTTGCAGCTTTGACTCTGCTGTCTTTTATGGTAACTGCATCCACCTTGCCTTTGGGGATTGAGTGCTCTGATCACTTGACCCCAGCCCCTGTAGTGTGCGTATGTCACTTACCCTCTTTATACCTCAGTCTCCTCCTCTATAAAATGGGCATCCTCATTGCACCCACCCCCAGGGCTGCTGTGAGGTATAGATGGATTAGCATATGGAAAGTAATAGAAGAGGGTCTCAAAGTCCATGTGTCGTTATCAGAATTATTTCGTGACAGGGGAGAGCTGGAGGAGAGAGGAAGGTGCTGAGCAGACCCACGTGCTCTCCCACCAGTGTTTCCTCAGCACCTACTATGTGCTGCCCACTGTGAGAGCTGTTAGGGTTGAAACAGGGAGCACAGCAGGGTAGGGGCTGCCATCAGGAGCTTAGTGGGGAGACCATTGTGCAACATGGTTCCAGCGCTTGGGGTGGGGAAGCTCAGGGAGTTCAGGGGCCTAGGATCGAGGGCAGAATCATGGAAAGGACATAACCTCCCCAGCCTCTCCTGCCTCCATTGCCTCCCGGGCCTCCTCTGCTTCCCTGGCCTCTCCTACCTTCCTGGCTTCCCCTTCCGCCCCGGCCTCCTCAGTCTCCCCTGTCTCTCCTGCTTTTGAGGTGGGCCAGGAGCTGCTAGTGCTCACTTAGCCTGTCCTGGGCTCTTGGTGTAGCACCTCAATGTCCAGAAAATACCCCCGAGTTCAGCTCATCACACAGTCAAGGAAGGAGCTCCACACTGACACTAAGGGTGCATCCTGGGCTCATTCATCAGGGCATGCCTCCAAAATATTTCTCCACGTCTCCTCCCTTTGCCCACCTGCACTGTCTCTGTGCCTGAGCCCCGGCTGGGGGCCTGCAAGGATCCCGTATCTCCTCTGCCCCTGCACGGCTGGGTCCCAGGCAATCTGTCTGCCCACCACACCTTCCTCCCCTTGCCCACCATGCTCCAGCCCCACAGTCCTCTTTCTGCTTCTTTCCCAGCCTCTGGGCTTTTGCACACGCTGTTCCCTCTGCCTGAACACCCTCCACTGGGCTGAGAACAACTCTCTGAGACCTCTCTCAGCTGTTGCTTCCTTTGGAAAAGCCGCTGCTGCTGTCCCTCTCCCAGCTCAAAGACGTGCTGAGCCTCCTCTCTTTTTCAGTTCCCATGCCCCCAGCACTTCTCCTTGGCCTCCTTTGGCCCAGTTGACAATGTCCATTCTCAATGCCTTCCCACCCAGAGCTGAGCCTCACTGGGTGAAGGCAATGCCTGTCATGTTCTCCACAATATCCCCTCCCCCATCACCACGACTGGTCCACAGTGATGCTCAAAAAAGATCTGTTGGTAGGCAATGGGAAGGTGCATTCATGTCATCCTGCAGGAGGAATTCTCCACGAGTTTTGAGCAGCCTCGGGTTTCCCACCACCTCCAAATCATGGAAGACACAGGGTAAGAGCAAAGACAAGGTGGCTTTGGCCGATGTCCACCCTCTCGTGGCGTCCCTTCTCTTCTCTCCTCCTTGAGCAGGGAGACCATCGGGGTCCAACCTGGCCGGGGTGGGGAGGAGGTGCAGGGCATTGCCAGAGAGGGCCTGTCCATGGGCAAGGGACAGCGACCTCCTGGGCCAGGACATGTGAGAGCTGCGCAGGCCTGGGCCCGGCGTGGCGGAGGTGCGCGAGAGCGGCCAGAAGAGGGCGCCAGAGAGCCAGGCGCGGCCCGCGGAGGAGCCCGCGCCGGCCCCTATACCCAGCTCCGCGCCGCGCGGACCCACCGAGCCCGCGCTCAGACGCCCCAGCTCCGCCGAGAGGCCGCTCGCGCCGTATCCTTCCTCTTCTCCAGGTGCAGGCAGAGCCCCCGAGCCATGGCCAGCCCTTCCGGCAGCTCCGAAGCCACTGGCAAGCCCCGAGGCAGGGATGGCCGGCCCAGGAGGGAGGAGGACGACGTCCCTCCGGAAGAGAAGAGGCTGCGGCTGTAGCTGGAGAGGGGAAGCGCACAGCCCGAGGACTGCGAGAACGGGGAGGACGCGCCGCGGCCAGGCAGGGAGGAGACCGGCACCCAGACAGGTGGCGACCGCAGAGGAGTAAGTGACGCGGGCGCTGGGGTCCGGGGGTGCCGGGGGCGCCGGTAGGGGCGGCGGGAGGCTCCGTGGCCGGCCCCGGGTTGAAGTTGGTATTTTAGCTGCAACTCCGAAGGGCGCGGAGTGACAGCGCGTGACGGCCTCCGAGATGCCAGCTGCCGCTTCTCGGCTGTGTGGCTTTGACTTCCTGATTCTCCCACGACGTCCCTGGCTGGGAGACCCACTGGACTCTGCGGCTGGCCAAAAAGAGAGGGGCAGCCCCGCGTCCTGGGGGCCCCTAGCAGGGGAAGTGGCGGGTGTTGCGCTGGGCATCCTGTCTGGGGCATCTGTCTGGGACCCTGTCGGTGCCTCTCACCTGGCGAGGGGCCAGTGGTGGGGGTAGGGGGGAAGTCCCTGGCGCCAGGCTTGGCCAAGCCCTGCTCGGCTGGACTGCGGGCTGGCGGCGCTCACCCAGCTCCTCACCTGTCCCGCATCTTCCTGTTCTTCTTCCCTTTCTGGTTGGGCAGCAAGAGTTGAGAGGAGGCAGATGGCTTCCATCCCAGAAATCGCTCTCCTCTTTCCATCCCTACAGAGAGGGACAGAGAGGCAAAGTTCCTTGCATCCCCGGGGCGCTGTCCCTGTGAGCTCCCGGTGTCCTGCAAACGTTGGCCCCTGAATCACCGGGCCAGTGTGTGTGGGATGGGGCTGCGTAGCCAGGCTGGCCTCCTGGGGTTCACTTTCTGCTTTCCTACCCCAACTCTTCCTGTGTGGCTTTGCTGGCCTTCCACTGGGGAGGCATGTGGGTTTGGAGGGCAGATGAGGGCCAGCTGGAGAACTGTACCCCTCAGTGAGGGCCGCCACCTTGATGGTTTTTAATGGATAATGGGGTTGACCTCTTTGTTCCTTCCACATGTTTTTATGTTTGACCATTTGCTCAGCTGAGCTTGTCTTAATAATTGGATTCATGGTTAATGAGCCCCACATGGGAGAGAGGGCGGTCTTCATTCTGAACCCATTTAGGCAGCATGGGCAGCCCTCCTCGCCGTGGGCGGCATCAGAGCCCCCCCGCCCAGTCTTGGGGTTGCTCCTGGATGCTGTCTGGGAGGCTTGCTCATGGTGACATCCTCTTCTCCCCATCCACGTTACCGCATTCAGAGCTTGGGTCACCTGGACACTGAACTCAGGTGAATTTTCTCTGAGATCCCGGGAGAAGGAGGACAGTTCTTTGGAAGGTTTTCCAGGGCCGATCACGGAAAGGATGAGAAGGGAGAGGTCCTGGTCGGGGACACAATTATGGTGGCAGTGTAACGCCGGGAAACTTTATTGCATGAAGTCCCTCTCACTCCCTCTACCTCCCTCTTTTACGTGGACTCTGCCAAAGACCAGGATACCAGAATGCGGTGGAGTGACCAAGTGTAGTGAGACCTTGGGAACGCGATTCTGGAGCCAGGTGGCTGGGGTTTGCATTCTGGTTCTGCCCCTCCTTAGCTGGCTGACATGGCACAAGCCACTTACCCTGTCTGAGCCTTACTGTCTTCAGTGGCAAATGGATCTGTCAACAGGCTCCATTGCCTGGGGTTGTTGCTGCTGAGATTAAGGGAAGCTCGTCCATAGAAGCACTTAGCGTTGTGCCTGGCACATAGTGTATGGTGGATAAGTGGGACTTAAGACTAAAACTCATGCCCTGATGTGTTTTTGCAGTGATGTTTTGTTCTGGAGTACTTCACAAGAGACAAGGTCCTTGGCTGGGCATGGTGGCTGAAGCCAATAATCCCAGCACTTTGAGAGGCCGAAAGGGGGGGATCACTTGAGCCCAGGAGTTTAAGACCAGCCTGGGCAACATGGTGAAGCCTCATATCTACCAAAAAAAAAAAAAAAAAAAAAAAAAGGCAGTTATGGTGGTGTGTGCCTGCAGTCCCAAGTACTTGGGAGGCTGAGGTGGGAGGATTGCTAGAGCCTGGAAGGTTGGGTTGCAGTGAGCTGTGATCACGCCACTGCACTTCAGCCTGGGTGACAAAGTGAGACCGTTTCAAGGAAAAGAGAGAGAGAGACAGACAGACCCACAAGAGTCTTAAGCCAGAATCTCCATGTTAAAATGCTTTCTGGAGGCTAAAAGGATGATATGTTGATAATGAAATGTTTAAAAGGCAGAAACCCCGCTGAATTTTTTGGTCCACAGAGGGAAATGGGAATAGCATGACCTGAAGGATGATGGATGAACTGAATAGAAACCATCCTTGTTTCCTGAATCTGAACATGGCACCCTCTTTTCACGGTGCCTGTATCTGCTCAGTCCGGCAGCCCCTTGAAAAGAGGGAATCTTGATTTTCAAACTTAAAATTTGGCCCAAAGCTCGCTGCTGCCCACAATGCCCGCCAGACACATTCCTCTTCCCTTTTAGTTCCTATGGGAATACTCTCTTTGAAGAACCCATGAAGCAGTGTCAGGCTGGTACGAGGATCAGCAGTGATTTCTTTGAGGAGGAGAGCCCGTTTCTTCACTCACAGGCCATGTCTGAGTGGATCAAGAAGAACAGAGTGCCCTTTTATGAGATTTTGTCTGCGTAGACCACTAGCTTGGTAAAAATGTCAAAACCATCCTCGTTCTTTAATAACAGATTATTTTGGACTTTTCTCTGCAAGAAGCAGCATGGGCATTCAGATGCTTTTAAGGATAAAATGTTCTTTCTCATCACCAGGCCTGGTGCTCTGGATGGCTGAGGTTTTAATGTGACTGGATGTCCCTTGGAGTTGCTTCCAGGCAGTGCTCTTGTGGTTGGGTCGCAAGGGGTTGCTTTATTCGGTGGTGGCTAGAGGAGGTTTTAGCAGATAAATCGGGACCCCAGGAGCCCCTGAGTGTCAAGTCCTGCTGCAGGGCATGTGTTTATGGTGGGGAGGTGGGGGTGGGGGTGGAGGATGGGGGCATTGATTTCCTGCCAATATCAGAAGTTTCACAGGCTTCTTGTGTATCCACAAACACCCACCCCATTGAGAAGGCCTAGAAAATCTGCCCCTCCCCAAGCCTTTATTGACCGCTTGTGAATGATCCCAGTGTGTGTCTGACCCACAGCTCCTCCTGGAGGGAGAGAAAAGTCTCTCCTAGGTATTTGGTTGTCAACCTCAACTGCTTGCTGAGCCTTCCCCAAGACCAGGCACCTTGGCAGAGATTTCTGGGTTGTCAGGCAGAACCGAGCATTCGAGGGTGATAACTCACTGGAGTCCCTGAAATCCCTGATGGACGCACCAGGTAAAAGCATCCAGGGTTGAAACCAGATCAGGAAGGTTATTGTCAGCCTGAGGCTCCTGTAGAGGTGCATCCACGTTGCAGGTATTTTCCTTCTTGCTGAGGAGAAACCTGGATTTCTCAGCTTTGGCACAGTCACAACATTTGGGGTGAGACCATTCGTGGTGGTGGTGGGGGGGCATCCTGTGTATTGTAGGACGGTTAGCAGCATCTGTGGTCTCCATCCTCTAGGTGCCATTCTACCCTCCCAGCTATGGCTACCCCAGATGTCTGCAGATGGTTTCAATGCTGTGGGGCAAGGGAGTGGTACGTGAGCAAAACCACCACAGTTGAGAGCCATTGGTCTACACTTGTGGAAATGTTTGAGGGTGAGAGTGTCGAGCTTGGGTCCCTGCTGTACCCTTTATGAGCAATGCTGTCTTGGAAAATTAATACTACTCCAGGGGCCTCAGTTTTCTCATCTATAAAATGGAGATAAATGAGATACACTTTCATAGGAAGGTTATATGGGATTTACTGAGATAATAAGACAGTACATGGAAAATACTGGGCATAGCCTTTATTTATTTAATTTTTTTTTAAGACAGAGTCTTACTCTGTTGCCCAGGCTGGAGTACAGTGACATGATCTCTGCTCACTGCAACCTCCACGTCCTGGGCTCAAGTGATTCTCCTGCCTCAGCCTCCAGAGTAGCTGGGATTACAGGTGCCCACCACCACACCTGGCTAATTTTTGTATTTTTAGTAGAGATGGGGTTTCACCATGTTGGGCAGGCTGATCTCAAACTTCTGACCTCAGGTGATCCGCCTGCCTCGGCCTCCCAAGTTGCTGAGATCACAGGTGTGAGCCAGCACACTGGGCTTGTCATCGCATTGTAACACAGACAAAGCACAAAATACTTGGACAATATATTTTTACATTTGGCTTGTCTAGACTCCATCCTCCATCCTCTCGTGCACTGGTGTGGTGCAGACCAGAATATCGCCCTCCTAGACTGCAGAGTGGATTTGGGTGGCATCTTGGCTTTCTGCACAAGACTTGCCTGCTCCCCACCACATCCCCCTGGTTCTCAGGGTCCAGGATTCCAGGAGGCCGGGATGTGGGTAGACAGGTCAGGTGGCCCACCCAGTTCACTCTCACACTGGGGACCTGCAGAGCCAGCTCCCTGAGACAGGGTGTTTTGACCAACATCTGGGTTTTTGGATTTCCATTTGAGCACAGCTGGACTACACAGGCTGAAGTTCTCTGCCGAGATATAGATATTTCCCTGGCGATGATCTTTCAAGTTGACATGAAGACATGGCCACCCGCTGGAACGTCGTGGGTCTGCCGTGGCGCTCTTGTAATTTGTGAGGCAGGCTCCTGATGAATGCAGTGAGTAAGTGGGAAATGGTAGGATGTTCTCCCATCCTCCCCTTGCCGAAAGTGCTGCCTGCGCAGGTTGGTGGACGGTCCTTTGAGCAGGAAGAAGACACGGAGCACATTCCTGTTAGCTACGACAGAGAGGGGCAGGGTACACACTGGACATTTCAAGCCCCTGTAGAGAAGCAAGTCTTACTGTGCTGGGAGTACTTGTGGAGTGGGGGCTGTGTTGCCCTGGGCTTTAATTATTTCAGGAACATTTAACCACAGGGCCAGCAGGCTGGATCTTGATATGTGTTTCTCAGTTGGAAAGATTTTGGACCATAGAGAAATGTCTTCTCAATTCTTTTAATTTCATTAAGGTGGTCATTTTTCTTCTTGTGGCCTCTGGAATGTGACACAGAACTCAAGGGACAGGAAGGAGATGAGTTGGAGGCTGGGACAGGGGTCCCTGCCAGGGATGCTGGTGACTCACGTGACGGTGTTGATGTGTGGAGTCCGGTGCCTGGTTTGGGGAATTTTCGTGGGATATGTTCCAAAGGACTGATGGACCTATCAGGTACTGGAGGTGAATGGTCAAGTCTGATCTCAGGGCTGACAGTGTCAGGCAAGGACAGGAAGTTGGCATTGGTCTCATTGGCTGAGGTTGCTGGGGACCCAGGGGGCAATGTGTGCCAGGACAGATGGGTCTGG
The DNA here is from genome assembly GCF_000001405.40 of Homo sapiens. Classification (NCBI taxonomy): domain Eukaryota; kingdom Metazoa; phylum Chordata; class Mammalia; order Primates; family Hominidae; genus Homo; species Homo sapiens. Next base: position 7,216,438 of record NC_000008.11, on the reverse strand, counting down.
GGCTAGGAAGGCAGGTTTGGGCTGGCGACCCGGGCTTGGGATGCATCCCAGGTAGACAGTGGTTGAGGCTGTGGAAATGACGGCGATTGCCTGGGATGAGAGTGGAGACAGACAAGATGGGGGTTTTGCTTTAAGCCTGGGGAGCCCACCTCCCAGGTTCAAGCGATTCTCCTGCCTCAGTTTCCCAAGTAGCTGGGAATGCAGGTGCGTGCCACCATGCCTGACTAACTTTTGTATTCTTAGTAGAGATGAGGTTTGACCAGGCTGGTCTCAAACTCCTGACCTCAAGTGATCGGCCCACCTTGGCCTCCCAAAGTGCTGGGATTACAGGCATGAGCCACCATGCCTGACCATTTTTAAATATTAATTTTTATGCAATATTTTCAAACACATTTTACTGTACATTGGAAAAGTGAATCATGATTTGAAAACTTTATAAAAATCCAATCAAATATCAATTAACCATTTAATTGTGGATAAGTAAGGAGACTATTTTGACCAAAACATGTTAGAACAATTACCACTTATAGAAATAATCTGTGTTTTAATGTTTTAGTTGAATTAAACAATCTTTTATATTCTGTCCAGGTGCAGTGGTTCACACCTGTAATCCCAGCACTTTGGGAGGCCGAGGCTGGCGGATCACCTAAGGTCAGGAGTTCGAGACCAGCCTGGTCAACATGGCAAAACTGTCTCTACTAAAAATACAGAAATTAGCCAGGTGTGATGGCACACACCTGCAATCCCAGCTACTTGGGAGGCTGAGGCAGGAGAATCGTTTGCACCTGGGAGACAGAGGTTGCAGTCAGCCGAGATGGAACCACTGTACTTCAGCCAGCCTGGGTGACAGAGCGAGACTCTGTTTCAAAAATAAATAAATAAATAAAATAGAATTCTGAATTTTATTTTTAACAATTATTTTTGTAAAGAGAATGTCTTGTTTTTTGGAGTTGTTGAATTTATTGAATTGGCAAAAATTATGTACAAGAGGGTATACAACATGATGTGATTGAGGTATGTATACATTATGAAATGGCTAAATCAAGGTAAATAACATATCACCTCCCAGACTTACTTTTTGGGGTGAGAACACTTAAACAATCTACTCTCTTAGTGATTTCCAAGTATATGATATGTTGTTATTAACTATAGGTACCTTGTTGTCCCATGGATCTCCTGAACTTATTCTTCTCTAAAAATGACATTCTGTGTCCTTTGGCATCTGCCCACTTCCCCACCCTGGCAACCATCATTCTACTCTGCTTCTGTGAATTCAACTTTTTTCTTCTCTTTTTTTTTTTTTCCTTTTTTTTGGAGAAAATCTCCTTCTATTGCCCAGGCTGTAGTGCAGGGTTGTGATCATGGCTCACTGCAGCCTTGAGGTCCCAAGTTCAATCAATCCTTCCACCTCAGCCTCCTGAGTATCTGGGAGTACAGGCATGCACTACCATGCTCCACTAATTTTTGTATTTTTTGTAGAGATGGGGTATTGCTATGTTATGCAGGCTGGTCTCGAACTCCTGGGCTCAAGCAATCCTCTGGTCTCAGCCTCCCAAAGTGCTGGGATTACAGGCGTGAGCCACCATGCCTGGCCGAGTTCAACTTTTTTAGATTCCACATGTAAGTGAGATCATGTGGTATTTGTCGTTCTGTGCCTGGCTTATTTCACTTAACATAATATCCTCCAGGCTCATCCATGTTGTCTCAAATGGCAGGATTTCCTTCTTTTTGAAGACTGAATAGTATTCCATTGTGTACATACACCACATTGTTGCTGGAAGTTTAATGGAGGCCAGTTGGGGGAGGATGGGGAGAAGATTCACTCTAAGTCTAGATGCTCCAGTACCCACCCAGGATGTGTGCAAGGAAGTGCAGGATGCTCCTGGTCTTGCAAACTGTGGTTTGTGGGACTCCAAAGCCCCTATCCTTCCACGATGCTTTCTGTCCTGTTATCACATTTCCTTGGAGGAGAACCCAGCCTTGGTGGAGAGCCCTGCTCTGGCTTTGTCCCTTGGCATGAGATGGCAAAGGATGGTGCCGCTGGGAGACCCTCACATCTGCACACTGGGGGCTGTTTGCCTTCTCCATTCCTCCTTCAAGTATCTGAGCAGCTCCTGTGTGCCAGCTGCTGGTCTACAAGATGGATGGGTCCTTGGAGATCACCCTGTAGCAGAGGAGGCAGGCTATAGCCCACAGGCCAGAACCAGCCCCCTGCCTGTTCACACAAATAAAGTTTTATTGGAACACAGCCACACCCATTTCAGTGCCTATTGTCTGTGGCTGCTTTCCTGCTACAATGGAGAGTGGAGAGTTGAATAGTTGGGACAGAGACCTATGGCCTGCAAAGATGAACTATTTACCATCTGGCCCTGGAGAGAAAGGAAAAAAATGCTGATCCTTGTACCCCGACAGTCTTAGGTTAAGAGGACTTCGTACCACTCTGACGTCCCAGGCGGCCATGAGTCCAGCCACCCTTGAAATGTACACAAGTCTGGGCTGAGGTTGCAGCAGGTGAGGCCCAATTTTGCAGGTCTTTGGTATCAGGGGCACAACCCAGGATTTTGTGTGGGGTTTCTTCCTCACTGTGGCTGGGCACTGGGCAAGGGTGCTTTCTGATTTTTGTATGGGGAAGAGAAAGGAGGGAGGAAATGGCAACTTGTTGCCCTGTTCTAACATTTTCCTAAGATGGGTCTCGAGGCCAGGGCTTGGGATCTCACCTTGCACAGCTTAGAAAACCCAGTGAGGCCGGCTGTCTTGGCGCTGCCACTCTGAGGGATGGAGCCCACAAATGACTAGGAAGGGAGATAAAAGAATGGTTTCTGCAAGCACAAGAAGTGGCGTTATTGAAATTAACATTTCCCCCAAGTTTTACAATGTCTAGGCATGCATATTTAAGTGTCTGCCTCAAAAGCTCATGCTAATAAGGAGATGGTGCATTTAATTTCCTTTTTTTGTTCTCTGAGCAACATGCAGCTTCCTGCACAGCCCTCCTTGCAGGCAACTGCACTGAGGTGACAGTCCTCCTGACTGCCAGCACAGATCCCCAGGGCCTCTGAGGGCCCTGTATTCTGGGGGCAGTCTTTCACTTTCTATTCGGCCCCAGCTGGAAGGGAGCAGTTTAACCACAGCCCAGCACAGGTCTCCCGCCTTAGCTTCTCTAAGGAGTCTGGCTCCCTCTGACACTCTAGACCTCACCAGCTGAGGATCAGAGCCCCGGGGCAGGAGCCAGGGCCAGGGGGCATTGGGGCGTGGTTTGAGAGTGCAGCTCTGGAGGGGGGCAGTGCGGGCCCAGGAAAAGCTGCTCAGGGGAGACTGCAAAGAGATGGCAGAGTTAGTACAAGAGGGTCGGGCATGGTGGCTCACATCTGTAATCCCAGCACTTTGGGAGGCCGAGGTGGGCGGATCACCTGAGGCCAGGAGTTTGAGACCAGACTGGCCAATATGGTGAAAACCTGTCTCTACTAAAAATACAATAATTAGCCAGACATGGTGACACCTATAATCCCAGCTACTCGGGAAGCTGAGCCACGAGAATTGCTTGAACCCGGAAGGTGGAGGTTGTAGTGAGCTGAGATTGTGCCACTGTACTCCAGCCTGGGCAACAGAGCAAGATTCCATCTCAAAAAAAAAAAAAAAAAAAAAAAATAGGACAGGAGGAGGAGGGAAGAGAAGGGAGCTGTGCGGCAGCGGCCAGGACCTTAAAGGCACAGAAGAGGAAGCTTGGATTTCCAATTCCAAAGGACATGAGGAAAATTCACACACCTTTATTTAACCTGCTCCTGGTGAGGCTGGGCTTTGTGTATTTTCCTTGTTTTCCTTTTCCTTGTATTCAGGCTGTTGTAGAAACAGGTACACAGGGGCTCTGTGTGGCGCCCTGTTCTAGTTGCCTTCAGGAAGCATGGGGTGCCCTGGTTTCCTTGGCTTCGTGTCCCCCTTTCCTCCTGCCACCCCTGACTGTGCCCCCCACCTTGTCCCTCAGAACATCTTCCTGGAAGGGCCTGGCCAGGGCTTGTGTCCTTGCTAGTCTCTGGGGAGGAAGACTCTGTGGCTTGAAAGGCTGTCGGCTTAAGTTGCAAGATGTAGGTGCCTGGGAGGGCATGTGCACGGCCCTCTTGACTGATCCATTCATGTTTTCCTTTTTTGACTCTGTTCTATGTTGTCCTGATGGAGGGGTAAGCCCCTGCCTTCTGCCTTTCCTGCCTTGGACTCTTGCAATTGGACCAGATGAGAGGGTCCATGTGGTCTGAGAATTCAAGCAATGCAGGCCAGGCGTGGTGGCTCACACCTGTAATCCCAGGACTTTTGGAGGCTAAGGTGGGCAGGCCAGGAGTTTGAGACCAGGTGGCCAAAATAGTGAAACCCTGTATCTACAAAAAATACAAAAGTTAGTCGGGCTTGGTGGTGCATGCCTGTAATCCTAGTTATTTGGGAGGCTGAGGCAAGAGAATCCCTTGAACCCAGAAGGAGCAGGTTGCAGTGAGGAGCAGGTTGCAATGAGGAGGAGGTTGCAGTGAGGAGGAGGTTGTAGTGAAGAGCAGGTTGCAGTGAGGAGGAGGTCGCAGTGAGGAGGAGGTCGCAGTAAGGAGGAGGTTGCAGTGAGGAGGAGGTCGCAGTAAGGAGGAGGTTGCAGTGAGGAGGAGGTTGTAGTGAGGAGCAGGTTGCAGTGAGGAGGAGGTTGCAGTGAGGAGGAGGTCGCAGTGAGGAGGAGGTCGCAGTGAGGAGGAGGTCGCAGTGAGGAGGAGGTCGCAGTGAGGAGGAGGTCGCAGTGAGGAGGAGGTTGCACTGAGGAGGAGGTTGTAGTGAGGAGGAGGTTGTGGTGAGGAGGAGGTTGCAGTGAGCCGAGATTGTGTCCCTGGACTCCAGACTGGGCAATAGAGCGAGACTATGTCTCCAGAAAAAAAAAAAAAAAAAAAAAAAATTTATATAGAAAACAGAAAGCAAAACTACCTCTTGATTTGCTTTTCTTGATCTTGCATCTCAGAGGTAACACTGGGAAGGGTTGGGTTATACCTCTCCCCACCTTTTTCTTTGATTTCTTTTTATTTTTTATTCTACGTTCTGAGATACATGTGCAGAATGTGCAGGTTTGTTACATAGATATACATGTGCCATGGTGGTTTGCTGCATCTATCAACCCGTCAACTAGGTTTTAAGCCCCACATGCATTAGGTATTTGTCCTAACGCTCTCCCTCGCCTTGTCCCCCACCCCCGATGGGCCCCGGTGTGTGATGTTCCCCTCCCTGTGTCCATGTGTTCTCATTGTTCAACTCCCACTTATGAGTGAGAGCACACCGTGTTTGGTTTTCTGTTTCTGTCCACAGCTTTTTCCTCTGTGCACACAAGCACATGTATTTGCACATAAGTGTTTATTGTAATATTTTTAAAAAAGTAAAAATGAAATAATGCTATATTTATTCTTTGGAAAGCCTGCTTTTCAGGCAGCATGTCTTTGACATTGTCTCACGTTGGAACCTGGGTACCACCTTCTTCTCCCAGCAGTTATTCTGACCTGTGGATGCACCACGCTTCGTTTAACCAGCCCTGCACCGATACGTCTTTGGATGGTTTCCGCCTTTTCCCAGTCACAGACGGTGTTCTGATGAATTTCCTTACACACATCACTTGGTGCTCTGTGCCTGCATTTCTGTGAGATGTTCCTGGAAGTGGGCTGTCTAGGTCAGAGGGGGATCTGTGCTCAATTTGCATCCTGTGCAAAATTCCATCCAGTCATCCACCTCCCCAAGGGCTCACATGGTACTGTCCTCTGTAGACATCATCTTCTGCAGATGATGGCATGACAGCCCCTCTTTCTTTTACTCACACCAGTCTGCACCCTGGTGTCCTGGGGGTTCCAGCCCCTACCCACTTGTCTGCCCTCACCCCACAGTGCCCCCAGCCCCTGCTAACAGGGACTCTGGCTTCTGAGCTCTGGCAGACTGCCTCACTCTGGAGAAGTTTGCTTTCTCAAACATTCCTGGCAATGTTACTGCAAATCTCGAGGCCTGCATTTGCCTTCTTCAGGCCTCAGTTTCCTCAAAAGTAAAATGGGGATAATGTGATGCTACTGTCTGCATCCTAGAGCTGCCATGAGGGTTCAGTGAGATCACTGTTGAGAGCACGTTCACAGCGCCGGCCTTGTGCGCAGTCAGCACGTGTGGGGCAGGGCTGTTGCTGATACGTGGTTGACTGTCATTGCTAGACTGTGGCTTTACCAGGGTCAGTGTCTTTAGTGCTGAGCCCAGAGCCACCCCTAGTACCTGCTGTGTTTATAGAGTGATTGAGTGGCAGGGTCAGAGACTGGGGCAATGGCAGCAGAAACAGAGGAAAGAAGTGGGGCTTCTAATAGTTCCTGCACCAGTGGCCCTTGAGATGAAGCCTTCTTGCCAAGGTCTGGGGCTGTGCTGTGTGTTCTAGGCCCGAGACTGGAAGCTAGGCCTGGCTACAGTCCCAGCTGACCTGGGGAAGTGCATGTCAGCATCCTGCTTCATTAGGACACCTCCAAGCCCAGCTTAGACGTGGATTCCAGGTGACCCCCTGTTTACTCTGAGCCCAGACAGAGGACAGAGAAGTGTGCAAGGGTGGGGACCCTCATCACAGCCCTTGACTCTGTAAGGCATATGGGTTTGTGCACGTGTGTGAGCACGGCCGTGGCTTCTCTGTGAGTTTCAAGCTCGAGGTTGTGTTTATGCAGGGTTAGGCTTGCCAGGTAAAATACAGGAGGTCCAATTAAACCTGAACTTCTCATTAACCCTTTTTTTTTTTTTTTTTTTTTTGGTGCAAATATATCCCATGTAATATTTGGGACCTGCTTACCCTAAAAAATGATTTGTTGTTTATCTGAAATTCAAGTTAAGCTGGCATCCTGTCTTTTCACTTGCTACGTATGAGAGTTCCGTGTGGGGGTTATCAGTGTGCATTTGTGAGTTCCCATGTGAAGGACTCTCTCCAAGTGTCTGTAGGTGCCAGGATGGAGATGGACAGAGAAGGTCCTCTTGGGCTGCTTTAGTGGCACCTAGAGGCTGTGGGGTTGGACACTTCAGCCCCAGGGGCCTGGGCAGCACTGTCCAGCACGTGCCTGCTCCTGTCTTCTCCACGGGGGCTGACTTCCCTGCCATCTCTCTCCAAATACGGTGGCAAGAGCTATCCCATCTGCCCCCATCTGGAGCTCGGCGTCCCAGCCAGACAAGATGGCAAACAGTGTGCAGAGGGTTGCAAAGCTTTCCCAAGCTCCTTCTGCAAGGGGCCTGCAGATGAAAGGGAAGCCCTCATCCTCACCGCCTCCCCCTTCCAGAAAACCCAGGCAACAGCCACCTCTGAATGCTGCTTTAGAAGCTTCTCCCTCCTGGTGATTAAACCACCACAAACAAATAAAGCACTGCATTTCCACCATAGACTTGTTCATATGCACGCAGCCAGTTGTCTTGGATCTGCCCCTGTGCCTGATTCATCAGGGTGAGGGGTTCTCCTCTGAGGTGCTTGCAAAGAGCTGCCTAATTTTCATGTGAAAGACTCTCTGTAGAAACCAGGCCCAGCTTTGGAAGAAAGCCCTTTCTCCCCCTTTAGCAAATTCGGTGTCATTTTTTTTTTTTTTCTTTTTTGAGACGGAGATTCACTTTTGTTGCCCAGGCTGGAGTGCAATGGTGCAATCTCAGTTCACTGCAGTCTCTGCCTCCTTGGTTCAAGCGATTCTCCTGCCTCAGCCTCCTGAGTAGCTGGGACTGCAGGCACCCACAACCACACCCAGCTATTTTTTTTTTTTTTTTTTTTGTATTTTTAGTAGAGAGGGAGTTTCACCATGTTGGCCAGGTTGGTCTTGAACTCCTGACCTCAGGTGATCCACCTCGGCCCCCAAAGTGCTGGGATTACAGGCATGAGCCACCACGCCTGGCTGGAATTCTGTGTCATTCTGGATACTTATCATGACTTCAAGCATCCAGGACTCTGTCCTGGGTATCCTGAGCCTGAGGGTTTATGTGTGTCCAGCTGGCTTGGAGGTTGTCTACAGACAGGTTGAACTTGGCTTCTGAGTGCATGGCAGCCTCATGTGGGAAATACCACCAAGGAGCCTCATCGTGTGCTTTTAGGAGATAGTTTCTATTTAGTCATTGCTGAATCTGTTACAGACAGGGTCTCGATTTCTTGCAAGTCCTGTATGAGGTCGGTGCTGTGATTATCCACATTTTCACTTGCTCTCTCTGGCCTCTTTCAGGCTCTTGCACTTCCTTTGTTCTTTTCCTGCCACAGAGTCTTTGCACATCCTGCTCTTTCCGCCTGGAAAAATTTTCCCTCTCCCTGCTTCTTCACCTGGTCACGGTCTCATCTGACACTGGAGTCACTACATCCTCAGGGACGTCTGGCCACACTGACTCAGTCACAGCAACCCCCTGTTATCTGCTTTCATGACACCAGGTGCCTCTCTGTGGTAGACACTAGCTCAGCTATGGCTTCCTATTTCTGTGCGTGTCATCCTTCCCCTTCAAGACTGTGGTCACCATAAGGGCCAGGGACATGCCTGTTCTGATTCTCATTTGTGTCTCTGGTGTTTAGTATATGCTCACCTAGAATTTGATTAATGAATGACAACATACCCATTTTACAGATGAGAAAGTTGAGGCTTGGGAACATTATGTAACTTGCTCGGTATTAGATAGTGATGGTTTGTAGCCATCTGGCCGGTCGCTGGGTGCACACTCTTAACCACTTTACTATGGTTCTTCTCTCATGGTAGCTCTCCAACAGCAGGAGTGAGAGACAACTTTAGGACAGGTGTAACTAGAATCTCAGGGCTTATCCTAGAAGGTGTTGTCAGGAACATACTTGCCTATGGGCCTTCTTACTGTATTGCATAAAATACCCAGTTTTTCTGACTCACCTTTAGTAAAGACCTTAGCAATATTTGAAGCACAGTTGTCAGTAGGAAAGGGTGGATGTTTATACTTTTTTAAAAAGGAGGCTATATCATATTTATCTTGTGGTCTACCATGCCCCCCGATCTTCTTCAGCTTCAGTTATGCAAAATTCACACTTGTTCTCTTGACTGCCTCTCTCTTACCTGTTCAGTTTCTTTTCTGTGATCGAGATTGCTTAGAATTTTTCCCCATTACTACAGTCTGCTTCCCAACTGCATCCCCCACCCAGCTTGTTCTGGATTTTGTCAACAACAGTTCCAGCGTTTAGTGAGGGCTGGACTGAAGGAGAGCCTTGGAAAAGGCTGTGTGATGAAAGCTGAAGACACCTAATGGGCAGGCCGTCATCAGGGTTAATTCAAAGGCTGGAAGAAGGGCTGACCTGGAGGACTGGAAATGTCTTTGAGCTGAAGGTCATGTGCAGGTGGAACGAAGAGGGTGAGCATTTTGGGGTGAACTGCAAGTATTTGATAATATCCCTGTCCCCATTGTTGGGGAAGTCTTGATAAGCATCCTCAATGTGATGGAGGGATGAAGGAATCCGTGGCTCTACCTGCCCAGCATGACAGTAATATGACACAGCGAAGTTATTGATTCTTGGTTGCCCAGCTGTCATCAGCTCAACATCTTCTGTTAGTTATAGCTGCAATTTGCATTAGTTATCAATGCCAGTTTTGACTTTCCTAGTCAATAAAGCGTTCTGAGAGTGGTGACTAAGGCTGAGCACTACCTATAATCATGAGTATTACAGAGGCAAGCCCCCTTGCCCACCTACCTGCAGGTGATGAGACACCCTAGGGAAATCACTCAATTCTTTGGAGGACCCCGAATAAATGCCCAAGTCCATCTGTTCATCTGTCCATCCATCCATCCACCCTTCCTTCCTTCCATCCGTCCATCCATCCATCCATCCATCCAGACATGCATACATCCAACCACCCACCCATCTATCCACCCACCCACCCATCTATCCAACCAACCCACTGTCTTATGCACCCAGCTATCATCCACCTACCCACCCACCAACCCATCTGTCCATCCGCTCACCCATGCATCTATCCACCCATTCACTCATCTAACCATCTATCCACCCACCCATCCATCCATTTATCCCTTCAACCCCTCACCCACTCATCCATTTCTCCACCCACTCAGCCATCCCTTCACTGACTCAACCATCCATTCATTCGTCCACCTGCCCACCCACCCATTATCCATCCATCCACCTATGTATCCATCCATCTGTTGTCCTTCTGTTCATTTATGCCACAAAGACTCGTTAACCACCTGCTAGATTCTGGGGAGGTACCTGCTCTAGTAATGGAGAACATGGTCTCTGGAATATGATTCCCTGGGCTCATACTGAGCTGCCTCCTAGTTAGCTGCTTGGGTAAGTTATAGAAACTGTGCTTTGACTTTCTTATCTGAAAATTGGCTATTAATACCTTCTACTTTTGCAGATATAGTGAGGATTAAATAAGATGTCACATTAAAAGTGCATCATCGGCACTCAATAGAAATTAGGTTTTACCATTCATTATTATTCTTGGCAGATGCTGCAGACAACGTGGAGAGCATATGAAAGACACATGTTTGAACAAATAGTGACATACAGGTGCTACGTTCTGCAGTAGGGGAAGGTCAGAGAGCCATGGAGAGGGCCTAGCCCAATCCTGGAGCCTCAGAAAAATGTTCCCCGTTGAATTCCTGTTTTAGCTGAGACTTGTGGGATGGATAATAGTTGGAGATCCCAGACAGGATGTGACCGAGTTAGCCAGGGAAAAATTGGGTCCTGGCACCCATGGCAGAATTGATTGATCAGTTCTTCTGTCTCCTGTGTTTGGAAGTCCACTAGGTCTGGGAATGTCAAGTTGGGGGAGGGCGCTGACAATGATCATGACCTTCACCTGTCCTCACATGTCCTCTGTGTATCTGCAAAGCCTCTGCCTCAGTCTCCTCTTTTGGAAAGTGGGATTGGAAACCACATCTACTTCTCTCCCAGGACTGCTAGGAAGACAAGATTAGATGGCAGGTGAGAGCTCTTTGAAAATGAAAACATTCTACTATTTGAGTGCAAAGTGTTCTTCTTTGCCTGTGATGTTTCCTAATCTGTGAAATCATACTGGACCTCGAAGCTGTCTATTAAAAAAATAGCAAAGTGGCTGGGCATGGTGGCTCATGCCTATAGTAGTTCTAGCACTTTGAGAGGCTGAGGAGGGTGGATCATTTGAGGCCAGGAGTTCGATACCAGCCTGGCCAATATGCAAAACCACATCTCTACTAAAAATACAAAAATTAGCCAGGTGTGGTGGCATCTGCCTGTAGTCCCAGCTACTCGGGAGGCTGAGGCACAAGAATCATTTGAGCTCAGGAGGCAGAGGTTGCAGTGAGCCAAAATTGCACCACTGCACTCCAGCCTGGGAAACAGAGTGAGGCTCTGTCTGAAAAAAGAAAAAAAAAAGCAAAGTTAACACTTCCTCCATCTCTCCCCTGGGGGAGGCAATTTGTCAAAGATTGTTGTTGGATTTTACACACAGGGAAATCTAAGGAAGGTGTGGAAATCAGACCAAGACTCCATACTCTGGTCTCTCTGTTTGCAGGGTCTTAAAACGGGGAGCCACTTTGGGTTCTTTCTACAAGATTGCTTTTATAAAAACAAACAAACAAACAAAAAACTCAAAAAAAAAGCCCTGACCTAAATATTCACAAGGGACCTTAGGCAATATCTGCTAACAAAAGTGAGTGAGGAGTGGAATCTGTCATCTTTACAACTAAGACAGCTCCAGAGTTGAAGCAAGTGGAAATATCTCTAGAGACAGAGACTTGGGCGGGTTTTACCACTTACAAGCTATGAGAACCTGGGCAGTTTTACATCTCTGAGCTTCTGTGACCTTGTAAAATAGGGTGCATTGCGCTAAACTTGCAGGAGGAATCCCAGCATCCTCCTGTGCACAAGGCTGGTTTCTTCCCATCCTTTTCCTTGTTCTGCCTCTCTCCTCCTCTCCAAGAGATGAATACATTTGGAGCCAGTAGGGGTCTATGTTTGCAAAAACTCGCAGGTGATTCTCATGCAGCCAGCCTGGCTCTGGCACTGAGTTCTTGGACACTTCTGGAGGCACATTTACTAGTGAGGAAGTTCACTGTGTGCTGAAGGCATGATTCATCTTCCATTCCTTTCTTCCATGAAGCAAGACGCATGGGTCGACTGAGCTGGGAGAGTCCACGGTGTCAGCCTCCCCCACGCTTCCCTCCCTCCTTATTCCTTGTGTGCTGTACTTTGTCTTGATTTCCTGTACTCTGCACCAAGCCAGGAGATGGTAAGATCTCAAAAAAAATCATTTTTTTGGGAAATGGGATCAAGACGGTTTTTGTTTGCTTGCTTGTTTGTTTGAGACAGGGTCTGTCGCCCAGGCTGAAGTGCAGTGGCATGACCTTGGCTCACTGCAGCCTTGACCTTCTGGGCTCGGGTGATCCTCCCACCTCAACCTCCTGAGTAGCTGGGACTGCAGGTGTACACCACCATGCCTGACTAATTTGTCTATTTTTTGTAGAGATGAGGTTTCACCATGTTGTCTAGGCTGGTCTCAAACTGCTGGGCTCAAGCAGTCCTCCATCCACCTCAGCCTCCCAAAGTGCTGAGATTACAGGCATGAGCTGCTGTGCCTGGCCGAGGTTTTTTTTTTTTTTTTATTGTTATTACGAAAACTTTTCAATAAACATAAAAGTAGAGACACCAGTTTAATGAGCTATCATATACCCATCACATAGATTTAAAAACTATTAACATTTGCAATATTTACTCCATTTGTTTTTCTGAAGTATTTACAAAATAGTTTACAGTAGTTATTTAATTGCATCCTGATATTCACCGCTACATAATTTACTTTCCCTCTAAAAACATGAGGGCATTTTTTATATGATCATTGTCATACCTAATCAAATTAGCAGTAATTCCTTAATATCCTCTAAGATCAAGTTTACATTCAGATGTCTTGTCCTCAAAATGTCAATTGTGATTATTTTTTTCTTTGACCAAAGAAAATAAGATCTCAAGATTTAATGACAGAGATTCCATGTTAGCCCTGATGTCTAAGTTCTGTGGTCCATTGTGGCTTTACTTGAAAGTCTGACGCTAGACGTGGTGGTTCACATCTGTAATCCCAGCACTTTGGGAGGCCAAGGTAGGCGGATCATAAGGTCAAGAGATCAAGACCATCATGACCAACATGGTGAAACCCTGTCTCTAATAAAAATACAAAAATTAGCCAGGTGTGGTGGCGGGTGCCTATAGTCCCAGCTACTCGGGAGGCTGAGGCAGGAGAATCACTTGAACCCGGGAGGCGGAAGTTGCAGTGAGCTGAGATTGCACCACTGGAGGCCAGCCTGGGTGGAAAGAACGAGACTCTGGAAAAAAAAAATAAAGTCTGTCACTGTGGTCTCATAATAAAAGGACACTCCATTTCCTATCTGGCCCCTGCTCCTTAATGTTAGCCTCCTCCTGTGGGGAGGAGGGGGTGACTTTCAGCGCAGGTTCAAACATTCCCAGGGCTGGCTCTGATCTCACTAAAGCCCATCGTCATGAATGAATGCTTCCCTTGCAGGTTATTCTAAGTATTGTAAAGAGTGCACGTGGAGTGTCCTCATGATGCCTGGAATGGTAGTGAATATTTATAGGTTTCTTTTAGTGCCTTTTTTTTTTAGTGTTTTCTATACTTCCATGTTTCTACAACCCTTAGGAACATCAGAATCATGTGTGTGTGGGTGCTTATTAAATAAACCAGTTCCTGAAGCTCACTCCCAGTGACTGCCAGCCTGATGATTAGGGTCTCAGCTAGGACCTAGGTTTGCAAAATCTCCCAGCTGATCCCATGCAGACAGCCTGGCTCTGGCTCTGGCGCTGGGAGCTGGGTTGGGAACTAGTCTTTGGTGCTATTCTGCTGATACTTCAAGTTGGGCTCTTTGACTCTGTCTTGTATTGTCATCACTTGTATTCAGGTCTGTTCTTCCCCTGGATTGTAAACTCCTTGATGTCTGGGTCATCTCAGCTCATGAGCTGAGCTTTCAGTGGGTGCTCAGTGGAACAGGTGCTGAATGGAGTCCGGCTCTAGGGAGGCCAGCGTGTGTTGGTAAGTGAGAGACAAAAATCATTTTAAAAAGAAACTTTTTGCCCTTCAGTTGTGTTTGCCATGAGTTAATGTGATTTACTCTAGTGGAAGCCAGTGCAGCTTAAGTGGAGGTCTTGCCCTGAAATGGAGCCAGGTTATGGATCAGCAGAGCTGCCAAAAGCGTTTTGGGGGAAATGTTTCTGTGTCACCCTCAGTTGATTGAACTCAAGTTTTCACTCCCGTTTAACACCACGTGGGGGCCATTCTGACTTCTTCAGAGTGGGTATGATCAGATCTTCTGTAAAAGTGTACATGAGGGGGCTGGGCACGGTGGCTCACACCTGTAATCTTAGCACTAGGGAGGCTGAGGTAGGTGGATCACTTGAGGCTGAGAGTTTGAGAAAAGCCTGGACTGCATGATGAAACCTCATCTCTACTAAAAAATACAAAAATTAGCCAGGCATGATGGTGCATGCCTGTAATGCCAGCTATTCAGGAGGCCGAGGCAGGAGAGTCACTTGAACCTGGGAGGTGGAGGTTGCAGTGAGCTGAGGTTGCACCACTGCACAGCATTCCAGCCTGGGTGACAGAGCGAGACTCTGTCTCAAAAAAAAAAAAAAAAAAAAAAAAAAGTGTACGTGAGAAAACTGGAATTGAGCTTGAGGATGTTGGGGGATGGAGTTACTTCATTTACTGAACAACAAAAACCATAGGATACCAATGCTGGAGGAAGAAGCATCATCCTCAGTTTCTGCTAACTCAACCACGCATGAGATGGGGATTTGGTGGCCGAGAGAAAAGCTTCTTTTTAGGTCTTGAACCTTGATCAAACCATTTCTGAATTCCTCATACACATATAATCAGGTGCTATGAGTGGTACTGATTGGATAATCTTTCTGTCGTTTCCTGTGCTAGGAAGGAAAATACATGTACAGCCAACTTCCTTGAGGGTTCGTTCTTTTGCATCAGGGTGTCTCAAACTGCTGCCCTTAAAACACCTGTAAGAGAAGCATCCAGGGGGCTTGCTCGGTCTGCATGCAGGCCCTTTAGAATCAGAGTCAGAATCCCTGGGGCTGGAGCCACAAAATGATATGACATTTCAACGAGTTTGTCATCATGTGAGGGAGAATAGGTGAGTATTTGAATACCTATAATACAAAGTAGATTGAAAAAGAATGACTTGATTATTTTAAATGTTGTGTTTTTAAAAATTTAATACAGAAAAGGCTGGGCGCGGTGGCTCATGCCTGTAATCTTAGCACTTTGGGAGGCCAAGGCGGGTGGATCATTTGAGGTCAGGAGTTCAAGACCAGCCTGGCCAACAAGGTGAAACCCCATCTCTACTAAAAATATAAAAATTAGCCAGGCAGTAGTGGTGCTTGCCTGTAATCCCAGCTACGTGGGAGGCTGAGGAAGGAGAATTGCTTAAGCCTGGGAGGCAGAGATTTGGTGAGCTGAGATCGTACCACTGCACTCCAATGTGGATGACGATTGTTTAACCACCACCAACATGGGTTCTGTGTCCAACTGTTAACATGAAGATGACATCCATTGTGGTCTTGTACATTTTGTTGCCTTTCTGGGGTGAAGGACATTGGTGACCATTTGTTTCCTCTGGAGCGGTCGATTGGTCATGAACTTCCTGGTCCAGATAGTTGCTGTGTCATTCATCATGGTGGTTGATCCTCAGGTAGTTAGGGAGGAAAATAAACAAGAAGTTATATATTTAAAACCACGTTTCAATTTTACACCTGATTAATTGACTAAATAAAGGGCATTAGCACTTCTACTTCCTACAGTCCCTCCCTTTACCTCTGGAAACTAGTGATTTCTAGGTTGTTTTGTGTTGTTAAGGTGGGCCACCTTTTCTTTCTG
The DNA here is from genome assembly GCF_000001405.40 of Homo sapiens. Classification (NCBI taxonomy): domain Eukaryota; kingdom Metazoa; phylum Chordata; class Mammalia; order Primates; family Hominidae; genus Homo; species Homo sapiens. Next base: position 7,200,551 of record NC_000008.11, on the reverse strand, counting down.
TTCTGCACTCATAGTCCTATTTTTAAATGGATTCACCTCTCATCACTAGCCTTTTGTCATGGTCATTCAATTCACAAGTTGCTTATTTTTTAATTTCTTGGCTGACTAAATTTTATTATGAAGACTTTTTTTTTTTAAAGAGCTCAGAAATACTGTATTCTTTAAGTTCTTGAACTTGTGATAGTGTCTATTGCCTATTTTGATTGGGCAATAATTTAGCTGGCTATAAAATTCTTGGATTATACTCTATTTCCCTTAGAAATTATAGGCACCCATCCACTGACATTTCACTGTGCTTTTTTTTTTTTTTTTTTTTGACATGGAGTCTTGCTCTGTCACCCAGGCTTGAGTGCAGTGGTGCGATCTTGGCTCACTGCAAGCTCTGCCTGCCGGGTTCACACCATTCTCCTGCCTCAGCCTCCCGAGTAGCTGGGACTACAGGGGCCTACCTCCACGCCTGGCTAACTTTTTTGTATTTTTAGTAGAGACGGGATTTCACTATGTTAGCCACGATGGTCTCGATCTCCTGACCTCGTGATCCACTGGCCTTGGCCTCCCAGAGTGCTAGGATTACAGGTGTGAGCAACTGTATGAGCCCAGCCTCATTGTGCTTTGTACTGACCCCCTCTCCCTGGCCTCTTCCAGCTTGTCTTTTTCTCTCCCAGTAGTTTCTTCATGAAGAGGCCATGTGCTATATTCCATGAGATATTTCACACTCAAAGAAGACTTCTTTTATACTCTTGTGATAATTTGTCTGGGAATCACTGTCTTCATTTATAAGGGAGTTTGTAATAAATACAGTAAAAGAGAAACACACAACATATTTTGAGATATCAGAGAAGGGGGAAACCAATTCTATTAATATTTGGGGTTAGCAGGGAAGGCTTAGTTAAGAGGTAACATTTGAACTAAGCCTTGAAATAAGGGAAGGATTTGGCCATCCAGTAATGGGGAGAGAGTAGAAGCAAGACATGATGGTTAACGGTATGTATCAATTTGACTGGGTTGTGGGGTGCCCAGATATTTGGTTACACATTATTCTGGGTGTGTCTCTGAGGTATTCTGGATGAGGATAACATTTAATTGGTAGACTGAATAAAGCAGATTGTCCTCCCCAATATGGGTGAGCCTCATCCATTCCACTGAAGGCCTGAACAAAACAAAAAGGTAGAGTCAGAGAGAATTTGCTCTTTTTACCTGATTATATTTGAGCTGGGACATCAATCTTCTCCTGACTTTAGATGTGGACTCGAGTTGGAACAATATCATTGGCTGTCTTGGGTCCCCAGCTTGCTGGCTGCAGACTCCAGGACTCCTTAGCCTCCATAACCATGTGAGCCATCCTTTACAACAAATCAATCTGTCTCTATGTGTATAGATCTACCTCTATCTCTCTGCTCTTTCTCTGGAGAACTTAGAGTAATACACAAGGTTACATTAGAGAAGAGGATGACCCAAGGAAAAGCGTGGAGGCAGAAAACTGCAAAGAGGGTTTGGGAAGACGGGGGTCTTGATGGGGAGTTTGGATTTCACTGTGTGTAGCATGAAGAATCTTTGAAAATATTCAAGAGGTGAAAATTGTATTTGTGGAAGAACACCAGGAGTATGTGAAAAGAAAAACACTCACTCCATTTTAACTCCACTGAAGGGGGCATCAAAGGGATGCACTGGGGACATGGGTTGGAGGGTAGTTGAGGCCATATCTGGAGGATCTTTACTTCTAGGCTGAGTCTGAAGTTATCTTTCTGGGGAGTGGGAGATTACAAATCTTTGAGCTCCACTCAAGAGATGGTTTTGCTAACAATGGCAGGGCGAAGGTGGTGGTGGTGGTGGTGGTGGGAAACTGTTATCATGAATTCTAATTGGGCTTCTGTTATTCTAGCTGAGAAAGCTGGGGAATGGACTTTCAGTAGAATAATACAGATCTGGGAATCAACTGCATGGAGGAGGTAGTTATAGGTGATGAGATGGCTCAGGGACAAAGTTTGGTAGAAGGAGAAAAGATACTAGGCTGGTACAAAAATAATTGCTATTTTTGCCATTACTTTTAATGGCAAAATCCGCAATTACTTTTGCACAAACCTAATAGGATGCAAACTTCGGAGCCATCTGCATCAGAGGGATTGATGAAGATCAACAAAGTTTGGGAACACAGGAAAGGAGCGGGGAGGGTAATGACTTGAGGGCATAGCAGGGATAATCAAGGTTTTTCTTATTAGCATGTGGAGACTTAAGCATGACTATATGTTAAATGCCTGGCACATACATGGTGCAAAATATTTATGAGTGAAATGACAAGTGAAGGTGGTGAGTCATGGGAGTTCCAAGGGAACGGGTGATAAAGGGAGGTCTCAAATGAGGCACAAGTGGGGAAGGTAGCTTGGGAAAGGAGAAGGATGTTTCTCCTTATAAGATGGGAAAGGCAGAGGAAGAGGGTCAAGATACAGTGATCTAGGGGTGAGATGGAAGTGAGTTGAGAGAACTCAGCTCTGGGCTCTTTTCACCCCTAGGGATGGGTTTGGGGGTTTTTGAGATATGGAAGAGGCTTAAAGTCAATTGTTATGGCAAATATGGTTTGGAATTTATTTGCGATGCTTAAAAATATTGCTGAACAGAAGTGAAGTCTTTCCTAGAGTTGGACGGTGAGATTATTTAGTGGAACTACGAGATCCCTGTTGTGATTCTTTCCAGTATCATTCAGCAGCCCTTGGTCAGTTGCGAGGCAAGTCATCAATGGGGTATGGAGATTTTCCAGGTGGGTGTGGTTGAAGGCAGGGAAGAACGCGTTTAGGAGCACATTACAAGAGGAAGGTATCTGTTAAGTCCAGGCTGAGCAGGAATGTATAGCAAGAAGGAAACATGAGGTTGTGAAGAGAAGTTTAGAGGGATGAGGAGTCAGGAGAGGTGAACAGTTGCAGGACGTAGCTAGAGTGGCGATGTTAGATCTTGGGGCCAGAGAGCTTTACAATGAGTATGAAGATCAAAGGGCATTAGAATCAAGCTATAAAGAGCCACTGTTTGATGTTGGTATGTAAGTATGCTGCAGGTGGATGTCTGCACATTGATGGTGAGAACGTGGTCACCCTGGCCCTGCTGGGTCTTTGCTAAAGAGACTCTGCTCTGTTCTTGGGGCCGTTTTCATCACCTGATAAGAGCAGTGGTTCCCAAATTGTGTTCTTTGGACCATCTGTATAAAATATTCATAGGTCAAGGATAAAATGGAAAAACAGAGAAAATGTCACAGAAATGTGCCCATTGGTGAAAGACCACCAGCTGTCCTTTTTGGAGGATTTTTCTTTATTCTAAAAATGTATATATTCTATTCTATTAAAACATTTTTGTATTTGCATTTTTTTCTCTTTTATGAAATGCCATGGGGTAGAAATTTGTAATGTATCCAATTCTCCTGTCTCCATGCATTGCAGTGTGGTGGGGGAAGGGATGTGGCTAGTACTGGCCAAGAGGCTGGGGGCAGAAGTGCAGTGTTAGACTTCTAGCCCGAAGCATTTAATTCTTAGTACAAGGCTCTCTAGCATTCTTCTCCCTCTGTTCCCTGCTTGGTGATACTCGAGGTATTGCAACCCCCATTAGCCTTACTCTTAGGGAAAGTTTGATGGGAAACAGAGCACCCCACACCTCCCTGCAGATATAGCATGAGTAAGAAACACAACTTCTGATGTTTGAAGTTACCAAGATTTAGGAGTTGTTTGTTATTGCAGCAAAACCTCACCTATTCTGACCAATCATGGTGGAAATTCCGTGTGTGTGTGTGTGTGTGTGTGTGTGTGTGTGTGTGTGTGTGTGTGTTTGTGTGTGTAACTGGTAGTTTAAAAAATTTCCTTCTTACCAAAAAGAAAAAGAAAATAGCAACCTTATGTTGGTTCTCAAATTAAAAAAAACAAATTTTACCCGTTTATAAAATAGAAAAATCTGAGAATCTGTAGCTTAGAGAACTACTGTGTGGGATGTCTTTAAAGACCAGGTTATTTTATCAGCTCCTAACACCCCTTAATAGAAGCTTAGCCAAGACTTGGACTATTTCAGTCTTTCCCATTCCACATTCCATGGACTCTTGAAGAGACATTGATAAAACGGTGCAGCCATGAACCACCCTAACTCAATCCTAGTGGCAGAACCTGCCTTTTACTGCAGAATGAGCTTCTTGCTACAGTGATACTTCAACCCCTTAGATATATCCTGTACTATTTATATTAAAACACGACCAATGCTTTTGCTTTGTTGTCCCCCAAATTAAACACATTAATCACGAGAACCCAGAGAATTGGATTTAGTGTACCTGATTCCAAACTGTCAGTAAGAACATAATTAAGTTATATTTTTCTCCAATTCAAATAAAAGAAAGTTGACAATAAAATGCTGATCAATATGTGTAGCTCAGGAGGTAGAGCCTGCTTTGAGATGCAGAAGTGTTTGCTTTTTTTAGATCTATATTCTTGAGTAAAGAAAAAAATCCATCTCTCTTTCCTAGAAGGGAAGAGTTTCAGAACTGCGCTTGGCAACAGCCTGACTATCAGAGGCTGAATTAAACAAATAGGTACCTCCCTGGAGTGAATGGTGGGTTTCTCCAGTTCGGGAAACCGTGCTTTTATGTTGGAGTTTGCTTTCTGTCTTGGTGTCCGGATGTGTGTATCTGTGGGTGGATGTCTGCATGCAAATGGCAGTGTATACCTGTGTGGGTGTGTACAAAATTCCCATGTGAATCTCAGCTTTGTGGGGATTTCCGGATCTTGAGCCCAGCAGATGCCATTTGAAGAAAAATCACTTGAAAATGAGATAGAAAGAATGGAAACTAAATCCTAGCTCTAAAGGCACCAGGCTGATTAAAAAAAAAAAAAAACAAAAAACTCTGGATCTTCTTTGTTTTGGACTCTACCTACCTCCTAATAACATTTCTGTTTCCTATGAGATGATTAGAATGAAAGAGATCCTGAGCACAAAAGAGCAGATACTGTGTGATAGTGTGTATGTCAGGGTGTTAGCTGTGACACTGCTGGCATTTTGGCTCAGCAGTTTCTCTGTTTTATGTGTGGGGGTTCCCTGTGCATTTCAGGATGTTGAGCGGCATCCCTGGATCCCTGGACTCACTGGATGCAGTAACACAACTCCCCCCAAGTAGAGACAAACCCCAGTGTCTCTAGATATTGCCTAATGTCCCCAGGGGACAAAATAGCCCCATCTGAGAACTGCTGCTTTCATAAAGTACAATGTCAGGTGAAATAGGTGGAGGCTGTTTGTAGTCAGGGGTTAGTAGAGATGGAAAAGACCCCAGGAATATCCTGGAAGGGGCTGTAATATTTTGTTTCTTGAATTCGGTGTCAGTAATATGGAGATGTTCAGTTTTTTGTTGTTGTTGTTGTTGTTTTTTTGAGGCAGGATCTTGCTCTGTCACCGAGGCTGGAGCACAGTGGCACCGTCATGGCCCACTGCAGCCTCTGCCTCCTGGGCTCAAGCAGTCCTCCCACCTCAGCCCTCCTGAATAGCTGGAACTACAGGCATGTCCCATCACTGTTGCTGAATTTTTGTATTTATTTATTTTTTGTAGAGAGGGGTGTATCACTATGTTGCCCAGGCTGGTCTTGAGCTCCTGGGCTCAAGCAATCTGCTCACCTCGGCCTCCCAAAGTGCTGGGATGACAGGCATGAGCCACTGCGTCTGGCCAGTATGTTCAGTTTGTAAGAAAAGTACTGTGTTGACCTCTTCTATGTGCACATTTCTTTAAGTAATAATTCAATAAACCATTTAGAAAAATTGGTCATAATAAGAGTGATTTGTAGAGTGATTGGCATGAAAGCTGATCACCTTAATTTGAACTACTCTGAAATGAGCACCAGGGGACACCAAGAGGACCCTTTCAAGGTGTCATAGCCAAGGATAGGAGTGTGTTGTGTACATCTCTGCATAAAGGATTTGCTGATTATATGGAAGGATGAAGCCTCCTTCTGAGGACAGAGGCAGCAAAGCAAGTGGAAGCCCAAAGCATTGAGCTTTCTAAATGGACTTTGCTAAAATCTTGTGGATGACTCATGCTCTTAACATACACCCATGTACATATTGTCCATATAAACGTTAATTCTGTAACAAGGCCCACACTTAAGGGTTTTTTTTTTTTTCTTTTGGGACAGTCTTGCTTTATTGCCTAGGCTAGAATACAGTGGCATAATCGTGACTCACTGCAACCTCTGCCTCCTGGGTTCAAGCAATGCTTGTGCCTCAGCCCCCCGAGTAGCAGGGACTACAGGTGCACACCACCATGCCTGGGTAATTTTTGTATTTTTAGTAGAGAGGGGGTTTCACCATGTTGGCCAGGCTGGTTTCAAACTCCTGGCCTCAAGTGATCTGCGCACCTCAGCCTCCTAAATTGTTGGGATTACAGGTGTGAGCCACTGCGCCTGGGCCCACACATAAGGTTTGAGTTGAGATAGAGAAACTCTGGCAGGACTGAGGAATTTGGCCACAGTCTCTGGGAAATATGCACAATTTCTGGAATCTTCTCTACTTGCAGAGTTCCCACTTTCTATCTGTCTCCTATTTATTCAACAAACTTGTATGGAACCACAGTGTGTCTAGAACTTGCCAGGTATGGAGGATAAAAAGATGACTGAGATCGGACATGGTGGCTCATGCCTGTAATCCCAGCACTTTGGGAGGCCAAGGCAGGCGGATCACTTGAGGGCAGGAGTTTGAGCACAGCCTGGCCAACATGATGAAACGTCTCTACTAAAAGTACAAAAATTAGCCAGGCATGGTGGCATGCATATGTAGTCCCATCTACTTGGGAAGCTGAGGCAGGAGAATCGCTTGAACCCAGGAGGCAGATGTTGCAGTGAGCTGAGATCACACCGCTGCATTCCAGCCTGGGAGACAGTGAGATTCCATGTCAAAAAAAAAGATGACTGAGATACAGACTCCATCAGGGTTGACTCTAACACAAATTAGGTAAGAGCCCAAGGTCTGGCTGGGCAAGGACCTTGATCGGCCTCATCCTGCAGTGTCTACTAGAATGAAGAACACTTTTTTCTTTACCCATGAAAATGTTCTGTGCTTCATACCTACAATACAATTTGTGTTAATTCTGCAAAACTTGCCGCATAACTCTGCCTGTATTCTTAGCATTTTTCTTTTGAGAGATTTCTCAACACATCATCTTTGGACTATGTGGAATTGGAAGTTTACTTAGACTCAACAACAAGTACAGGAAAGTTAGTTCTTAGTCAAGAGTTAGGTTTTCAAAGACAGTGGATAAAATAAAAAATCTAGTACAGTCAAGATTATACGTGCAAATCCCCTCATCATTCATGAAGTTTAGCAGTCAGTCTTACCGTGGCTCACCAGGTCCAATCCATACTTTTTCCTCCATGATTGGAGCAGAGGGTGATTTTTTTTTATGAGCAACTGATGAAGTCATTTAGAGACCATTTGCAGTAGGAGCCCTGTGTACTACAGACCAATCAATGTGCCCTCGTGGCTCCATTTCTGCCTCTCTCCCTCTTTGTTCTTGCCAAGTACCGATAGTTCATTTTCCATAGATTAAAAGAGCCCAAGTTGGGCCTATACCTAGAAGTACAATTGCTGGGTCATTTGGTAACTCCATGTAGAATTGTTTGGGAAGCTGTTAAACTGTTTCTCACAGTGGCTACACTATTTTAATTCCTACCAGCAGTGTATGAAAATTCTAGTTTCTCTGCATCCTCACCAACACTTGTTATTTTCTGTATTTTTTTTTTTTTTTGAGACAAAGTCTTGCTCTGTAGCCCAGGCTGGAGTGCAGTGGCACAATCTCAGCTCACTGCAACCTCTGCCTCCCAGATTCAAGTTACTCTCCTGCCTCAGCCTCCCGAGTAGCTGGTATTATAGTCACCTGCCACCATGCCTGGCTAATTTTTGTATTTTTTTAGTAGAGACAGGGTTTCACCATGTTGGCCAGGATGGTCTCAAACTCCTGGCCTCAGGTGATCCACCTGCCTCGGTCTCCCAAAGTGCTGGTATTACAGTCATTAGCCACCGCACCAGGCCAATTTTCTCTATCTTCGATTCTAGCCATCCTTATGGGTGTGAAGTGGTATCTCATTGCGGTTTTGATTTCTGTTTCCCTGATGAAGAATTTCATTGAGCATCTTTTCATGTGCTTATTGGCCACTTGTATGTCTTCCTTGGAGATGTGCCATATTTTCATATTCAAAAATGAAAGCACAGGTCCACACAAAAATTTGTACATGAATAATTACAGTAGCATCACTCTTAATAACACAAAGAGGGAATTAATCCAAATGCCCATCACCAGATGAAGAGAGACACCGATTGTTGTCTACACACATGGTGGAATATTATTTGATCACAAAAAGGAGGAATGTACATATGCTACAGCGTGGATAAACCTTCAAAACAGATGAAAGATCACATTCTACATGATTTCATTCAGATGGAAATCTATAGAAATAGGAAGTCGATTAGTGGTTGCTTAGGGCTGGTAGGGGCATGGGAGGATGGGGGTGTTAGCTAAATGGTATGAGGTTTCTTTTTGAGGTCATGAAATGTTCTAAAATTGACTGGTAATGTTTGCGTATATCTCTGAATATATTAAAAACCATTGAAATGTAAAAAATGCAAAGAAAAAACAGCCCAAGTTGCAATTTTATTCAACACTTGATTGCTTTAAAAATAGATTCCAGGCTGGGCATGGTGGCTCACACCTGAAATCCCAGTGCTTTGGGAGGCTGCAGTGGGAGGATTGCTTGAGGCCAAGAGTTCCAGGCCAGCCTTGGCAACATGGCAAGACCCTGTCTGTACAAAAAAAGAAAAAATAAATATCAGCTGGGTACAGTGGCTCACACCTGTAATCCCAGCACTTTGGGAGGCTGAGGCAGGCAGATCACCTGACATCAGTTCAAGACGAGCTTGGCCAACATGGTGAAATCCCGTCTCTACCAAAAATATAAAATTTAGCCTTTTGGTACTCTAAGCAGCACCATGGCGGTTGTTAAGAACAAGTGCCTTATGAAAGGTGGCAAAAAGGGAGTTAAGAAGAAAGTAGTTGGTCCATTCTCTAAGAAAGATCAGTATGATGTGAAAGCACCTGCTATGTTCAATATAAGAAATATTGGAAAGACTTGGTCACCAGGACCAAAGGAACCCAAATTGCATCTGATGGTCTCAAGTTTCTAGTGTTTGAAATGAGTCTTGCTGATTTGCAGAATGATGAAGTTGCATTTAGAAAATTCAAGCTGATTACTGAAGATGTTCAGGGCAAAAGCTGCCTGACTAACTTCAATGGCATGGGTATTACCTGTGACAAAATATATTCCAAGGTTGAAAAATGTTCAACAATAATTGAAGCTCATGTTGATGTCAAGACTACCGATGGTTACTTCTTTCTTCTGTTTTGTGTTGGTTTTACTAAAAAACACAACAATCAGATACTGAAGACCTCTTATGCTCAGCACCAACAGTCTGCCAAATCCAGAAGAAGATGATGGAAATCATGACCTGAGAGGTGCAGACAAATGACTTGAAAGAAGTGGTTAATAAATTGATTCCAGACAACATTGGAAAAGATGTAGAAAAGGCTTGCCCATCTATCCTCTCCATGATGTCTTCATTAGAAAAGTAAAAATGCCGGAGAACCCTGGATTTGAAAGGAATAGAGCTTCCTGGTGATGGTGGTGATTCTGGAAAACCCACTAGGGACGAGATGCGTGCTAAAGTTGAATGAGCTGATGGATATGAACCATCAGTCCAAGAATCTGTTTAAAGTTCAGACTTAAAACAGTAGCAAATAAGAAGTCCTATTTGTGAAAAACAAACAAGAAACAACAATGAAAGAGCAAAATTAGCCTGGTGTGGTGGTGCATGCCTGTAATCCTAGCTACTCAGGAGGCTGAGGCACGAGAATTACTTGAACCCGGGAGACAGAGGTTGCAGTGAGCCAAGATTGCACCATTGCACTCCAGCCTGTGCAACAGAGTGAGACTCTACAAAAAGAAGAAAAAAAAAATAAGTATCCGGGCTTGGTGGCATGTGCCTGTAGTCTCAGCTACTCTGAAGGCTGAGATGGGAGGATGGCTTGAGGCCAGGAGTAATTTGAGGCTGCAGTGAACTATGATTGTGACACTGCACTCCAGCCTGGACTTGAGAGCAAGACCCTGTCTCTTATACATACACACACAAACACACACACACACACACACACACACACACACATATATATACACACACATACATACATATCCAGGCTCTACTTCTAGTGATTTTGACTCAGTAGGGTGGGGTATCCCCTAGGGATCCTGCTGTTCAGCCTGGTCTGGGATCCACTTTTCATTGGGAACTGAGACACTGGCTGTGAGCCCTTCTGTCCTGAGATGTAGAGGTCATGGGGATGCAGGTTCAAGCTTAAGGAGACCTGACTGTGTGTTAGGTATTGTGTTGAACATCATCTCTTACTCTTACAGCAACATCCGTAGAAGGTTGATGATGTGTCCCTGCTCTACAGATGAGGAACTGAACTTTCAGAGGAGTTTAGCTTGTTCAAAACTTATTCTTCCTATTGGAAACTTTGTACCCTTTGACCAGTGTCTCCAATCCCCTCCCTTTCCTTCACCCCATCCCCAGATAACCACTGTCCTACTCTCTATTTCTGTGAGTTCTACTTCTTTAGATTCCACATATAAGTAAAATCATGCAGTATTTGTCTTTCTGTGCCTGGCTTATTTCACTTAACACAATGTCTTTCAAATTCATCTATGTTGTTGAAAATGACAGGAATTCTTTCTTTTTTAAGGGTTAATAGTATTCCGTTGTGTGTATATAGTCCATTTGCTTTATCTTTTCATCCACTAATGGACACTTAGGTTGATTCTATATCTTGGGTATTGTGAATAGTGCTGCAGTGAACATAGGAATGTAGGGATCCCTTCGACATATTGATTTTGATTTTTTTTTGGTCTATATCCAGAAGTTGGGTTGCTGGATTATATGCTTTGAAATCTATAGCACAGTAGCGTGACTATAGTAAATAATAATGTATCTTTCAAAATAACTAAGTGGGTACATTTCAAATGTTGCATCATGAAAATTGTCAGTAAATTAGGGGATGGACGTGTTCATTAGTTTGATCTAATCATCCCACATTGTATACACATATCAAAACATCACATACATGTGTACAATTTTGATTTGTCAATTAAAATAACTTTAGTTAAAAAAATAAGTAACTTGTTCAAAGCCCCAGTTGGGATTGATGGAGCTGGGACATGCACCAAGGCTGTTGCTCTCAGGCCCACAGAGTCCTTGGTCCACGAATGTTGAAGCCCTACCTGAGATTTCAACTGAGATCAGTGCAGGGATTCAATGTCTCAGAATCATCCCATCCTCCAGGGCCCACAAGTCCATGACCGCTGCCTCTACCACCGACCCTACTGACCTGAAATGTGGCCCCTGCTTTCATTTCCGGGAGCATACAACACTTACACCAAGCATTGATGGGTTTTGTTGACTTCATTTGAGATGTGGGGTCGTGGAGAGGGTCCCATGATCCTTGTTTGGTGTTGGCCAACTCATTGACTTCTCTCCTTTGACTTCACCCTTCCCTTTTCTACTCACCTCCTCTGTCATGGATTGTTCTGGTAATTCTGAGCCCTGGTTCCTTTATTTTGCTGATAACCTTCTCTCGTGTCTGCAACGAATCCCAAAAGTGTGTAGTTGAGCTGACTGCAAGGTGCTTGACACGCAAGAGACTCCACAAATGGGATTCGGCCTCTGGAAAGTGGTGGTAGTTCCAGATTTATGTGGATGTTACTTTATTTTTCCGTATAAAATCTATTCTTTAAACTCTCAAGCTCTTGGGTCCTGGCTGCAGTCCTTTGCTGGTGGTAGTGGGCTGGGTACTGCCACAGGGGAGAAATGCTGCCCACTTAGAGAAAGGGAAACTGGTTCTCTTTTAGAGGCAGAGGGAGGTTCCCAGTGTCAGTTTGTTTGGAGGCAAAATGGCTGTTGTATTAAAATTGCCCAAACTTGGGTTGGTGCCTTGTGTGTTTAGAGCTCAAAGCCACGATTGTTTTCTTTTTTTTTTTTTTTTTTTTTTTTTTTTGGTGGTTGGTTTTCCATCCTTTTGCCTGGCAGGTTCCTGCTAATAGCTTCAACCTCAAGAGTCCCATTATACAGACACTAATAGCACCTACTATGTGCCAGTCTGTAGTGCCTACTATGTGTCAGGCATTGGAGATAATATAATGATGAACAAGATACACATGGCATTTGGAAAAGAGAGTCTACTTCCCACTCTCAGCCCACCCCAAAGAGAGGCCAGAATTGGGCTTCCAAAGATCTCAGATGCCCTTGCAGCACCTCCCTAAAGAGGGCGGGTGAAGCTTTGGTGTCTGAAGAGAATTTGGCTGGACAATCCCCCAGGTTTGGAAGGATGGGAAGGAGCTGCCATCTGTGTTTAAGGTGAGAAGTTGGGGAGTGGCTGGATATCAGAGGAAGCCAAGATGAAGAGAAGGTTTTTGTGAGTTCCTATGCATAGTGGAGACCTGTTCTAGTGAGGGTCCCTGGGGCTGAGCCTGTGGGTCAGTGGAATGATGCTGTGAGTAGGGTCTTGCTATAGCAGGTGGCCCAAAGAATGTTGATGGATCATGAGCAGGTGGAAGAATGGAGAGTTCAGGGGATGTAGTTCCTACCTGGCTTTCCAACAGTGTGTAAGCCCAGAATTCTTACATAAGCCCATGGAGAAGGGAAAGGAATGCTGGTAACGACAAGATTGAATTCTCCACCTGCCAGGCATCCAGGGACTCAGAGCAGATTTAAGTGAAGTTACAGAAATAGGAATGTGACATTTCCTACATCCGGGTGTGCTGGAGCAAATGTATTCCCTCTCTGGTTTGTGGGGAAGGAGAATGCTAACAGACAAGACTCCAGGTTTTCGCTCTTAAACCTGGTGCCTAGAAATGCATTTTCTACTGGATGCAGACAGAAGCTCCATATAGACATATCCATCGCTGCATCTCTCATGCCTTGTGTTCTCCCTAATTTTCCCTTTTTCACCCACAGAGGAAGAAAGTTCCAGCATCACTTCTGGCCTCTCAAGAGTGAGTTAGGTGGCCAGGTGGGGTTATTCATGCCTGTAATCTCATACTGAAGGGGTGGCCTGCCCCTCCACACCTGTGGGTATTTCTTGTCGGGTGGGATGAGAGACAGAAAAGAAATCAGACACAGAGACAAAGTATAGAGAAACAACAGTGGGCCCAGGGGACCGGCGCTTAGCATACCAAGGACCTGCACTGGCACCGTTCTCTGAGTTCCCTCAGTTTTTATTGATTATTATCTTCATTATTTCAGCAAAAATGAATGTAGTAGGAGGGCAAGGTGATAATAAGGAGAAGGTCAGCAACAAACATGTGAGCAATAGAATCTATGACATAATGAAGTTCAAGGGAAGGTACTATGACTGGACGTGCATGTAAGCCAGATTTATGTTTCTCTGCACCCAGACATCTCAGTGGAGTAAAGAATAACAAGGCAGCATTGCTGTAAACATGTCTCGCCTCCCACCATAGGGTGGTTTTTCTCCCATCTCAGAATTGAACAAATGTACAATCGTGTTTTATACCGAGACATTCAGTTCCCAGGGGGCAAGCATGAGACAGCGGCCTTCCTCTATCTCAACTGCAAGAGGCTTTCCTCTTTGACTAATCCACCTCAGCACAGACACTTTATGGGTGTCGAGCTGGGGGACCGTCAGGTCTTTCTCATCCCATGAGGCCATATTTCAGACTATCACATGGGAAGAAACCATGGACAATACCCAGCTTTCAAGGGCAGAGGTCCCTGCGGCTTTCCACAGTGCATTGTGCCCCTGGTTTATTGAGACGAGAGAATGGTGATGACTTTTACCAAGTATACTGCTTCCAAATATTTGGTTAACAAGGCACGTCCTGCACAGCCCTACATGCCTTAAACCTTGATTTCATACAAACATGTTTTTGTGAGCTCCAGATTGGGTCAAAGTGGTTGCGGCAAAGTGGCTGGGGCAAAGCTACAGATAAACAACATCTCAGCAAGCAATTGTTTAAAGTACAGGTCTTTTTCAAAATGGAGTCTCTTATGGCTTCCCTTTCTATGTAGACACAGTAACAGTCTGATCTCTCTTTCTTTTCCCTACATATCCCCCTTTTCATTTTGACAAAACCACCACCATCATCATGGCCCCTTCTCGCTGGTCGCTGTCTCTCTGGAGCTGCTGGATACACCTGTAGACTAAAAATAGAAAGGACAGACATACAAGGATTAATAAAAAATTTGCAATAGTGGAATTTCCGGTGGTTTTAACCCAAGTGACGGGGGCAAGAGGACGGTGTGGCTGCTGCGGCACCAACGCAGTCTCCCACCTCCTTTGTGTCTTAGTTGCTGTTTCTCATAGTTTTCAGTCTTTCTCCTCACCTGCTCACTCGCACCTTTTATCTCTTTGTCTCCCTTCTCTTACGGTCTCTCTCTCTCTCTTTTACACTATTTCTCTCCCCAATCTCTTTCTGTGTCTTTCTCTGATCTCTGTCTCTTTTTCTTTCTCTTCCTCTCCCTGGCTCTCCACATGTGCCATTTCCTTGGTGGATTGTAACTTCATTTGTTCTTCTGATATCACATTTTGTTCACCCTGCGAGTCGATGATGCTCGATTGCGGGTTTTCTGTCTCTGCAGAGGCACTTTCATTTGCATCTCTGATGGGTTCACTGTGGAACTTCAAATGTCTAGTGGGTATCCAAACAGGAAGCTGATTTTCTCCTGGTGAAACACAAGCAAAACCTCCCACCATGTTATCACCTTACCTATTTCCCATGTTTTGTTTTTGTTGTCTTTCCACCAAATCAGTTTTCCCTCATGTGGGCTATTCTTTTTACCAGTAAAATGTTCTGCAGAAGTAGTGGTCTGATTTCTATGTATGTCTAGAAAATCTAAAGTATAGAGTGTTTCATTAAGTTGCATCTGGGGAGTGCTATACTCCTTACTGTCTTTTTCCTTTTTTTGTTTAACCAATTGAGTTTTGAGTGTTCTAAGCAGGACAGGTAAGATCTGCTTCTGGCACAGTCAGCCAGGTCTCCTTACCCTGAGCTTCCCTTTCTGCCTGTGACTGAATGGGCATGTCAGGGTCTAGTAGAGGATCCAGGAGGAGGAAGCCTCATTAAATTCTATTCTGCAGCAATTGATGGCCACCCAACTTGAACAGTGGGGGCTTATCATCTCATGTACTAAGATCAGAGATAGCTGATGCCAAGGTTGGCTAAATTAGTAGCTTGAGATTTTAGGTTTTTCATTTGAGGTTTCTATGCTGCTATTGTCTTCTGCTCTTGGTCACAGAGGCTGCCACAATCCGCATGTCAAGTCCTCATGTGACAATATCCAGAGACAGCAAGGAAGAGGTACAGTGTATTCCTGCATGTTTCTTTAAAAAAAAATGTTTTCGATAGAGAATAATTGTACACATTTATGGGGTCCATGTGAGATTCTGGTACATGCGTGCAATGTGTAATGATCAAATCAGGGTCTTTGGGATATTAACCACCTCAAACATTGATCATTTCTTTGTGTTGGGAATATTTCAAATCTTATTGTTATTTAGAAGTACATAATAATTCTATTTATCAGGATATAAAATCTATGTACACAAATCAGTAGCAGTGCTATACACCAACATCTACCAGGCTGAGAATCAAATCAAACCCTTTTATAATAGCTGTAAAAATAAAATACTTAGGAATATACCTAACCAAGGAGGTGAAAGACCCCTACAAGGAAAACTACAAAACACTGTTGAAAGAAATCACAGATGACAAAAACAAATGGAAACACATTCCATGTTCATGGATGGGTAGACTCAATATTGTGAAAATGACCATACTGCCAAAAGCAGTCTACAAATTCAATGCAATTCCTATCAATGTATCATCATCATTCTTTATAGAACTAGAAAAAAAATGCCAAAATTCATTTGGAACTAAAAAAGAGTCTGCAAAGCCAAAGCAAAACTAAGCAAAAAGAACCAATCTAGAGGCATCACATTACCCAACTTCAAACTATATTACAAAGCTATAGTCACCAAAACTGCATGGTGCTGGTATAAAAATAGGCACATGACCAATGGGACAGAGTAGAGAACCTAGAAATAAAGCCAAATACTTAACAGCCAACTGATCTTCGACAAAGTAAACAAAACCAAAGTAAGAAAAGTACACCCTATACAACAAATAGTGCTGGGATAGTTGGCAAGCCACATGTAAAAGAATAAAACTGGATCCTTATCTCTCACCTTATACAAAAATCAACACAAGATGGATCAAAGACTTAAATCTAAGGTCTGAAACCATAAAAATTCTAGAAGATAACATTGGAAAATGCTTCTACACATTGGCTTAGGCAAAGAGTTTATGACCAAGAACCCAAAAGCAAATGCAACAAAAACACAGATAAATAGATGGGACTTTAATTAAACTAAAAGCCTCCTGCACAGCATAGAAAATAATCAGCAGAGTAAACAGATCACCCACAGAGTGGGAGAAAATTTTCACAAACTGCATCTGACAAAGGGCTAATGTGCAGAATCTACAGGGAACTCTAATCAGCAAGAAAAAAAGAATCTCATCAAAAAGTGTGCCAAGGACATGAATAGACAATTCTCAAAAGAAGATATACAAATGGCCAACAAACATGAAAAAATGCTCAACATCACTAATTACCAGGGAAATGCAAATCAAAACCACAATGCAATACCACGTGTAAAAGAAACAAAAAGAGGGCGAGGCGTGGTGGCTCACGCCTGTAATCCTAGCACTTTGGGAGGCCAAGGTGGGCGGATCACGAGATCAGGAGTTTGAGACCAGCCTGACCAACATGGTGAAACCCAGTCTCTACTGAAAATACAAAAATTAGCCGAGCATTGTGGCAGTTGGCTGTAATCCCAGCTACTCAGGAGGCTGAGGCAGGAGAATTGCTTGAACCCGGGAGGCAGAGGTTGCAGTGAGCTGATATGGCACCACTGTACTCCAGCCTGGGCTACAGAGTGAGACTCCATCTCAAAAAACCAAAAAACAAAACAAAACAAAAAAAACAAAAGTTGATGTTGGCATGGATGTGGTGAAAGACAACGCTTTTACACTGATGGTGGGAATGTAAGCTAGTACCACCACTATGGAAAGCAGTATGGAGATTCCTTAAACAACTAGAAGTACATCTACCATTTCATCCAGCAATCCCACTGCTAGGTATCTACCCAGAAGAAAAGAAGTCATTATATGAAAAAGATACATTTGCACACATGTTTACAGCAGCAGAATTCACAGTTGCAAAACTATAGAACCAGCACAAATGTCCATCAATCAATTAGTGGATAAAGAAAATGTGTTATATATATGTATACCATAGAATACTACTTAGCCTTAAAAAGGAATAAAATAATGGCATGCATAGCAACCTGGATGGATTTGACCATTATTCTAAATGAAGTAACTCAGGAATGGAAAACCAAACATAGCATGTTCTCACTCGTAAGTGGGAGCTAAGCTATGATGATGCAAAGGCACAAGAATGAAACAGTGGACTTTGGGGGCTCAATGGGAAGGTGGGAGGGAGTGAGAGAGAAAAGACTATACATTGGGTAAGCTGCTTTGGTGATGGGTATGCCAAAATTTCAGAGATCACCACTAAGGAACTTATCCATGTAACCAAATACCATCTGTTCCCTAAAAACTATTGAAATTAAAAAAAGAAATACACAACAAATTGTTGTAGTCACTTTCTGTGATAATGAACACTAGACCTTATTCCTTCTATTATATATTTTTATATTCATTAATCAACCTCTTTTCAAACCCCTCCTCTTCCCAGCCTCTATTAACTATCATTCTACTCTTTATCTCTATGATATCAATTTTATATAGCTCCAGGGCACACAAGTCCATAACTGTGGTCTCTATCCCTGACCCTACTGACCTGAAACGTGGCCCCCACTTTGATTTCCAGGAACATAAACCGCTCACATAAGTGAAAACATGCAATAGTTTTCTTTCTGTGAATGGCCTAGTTCACCTAACATTATGACGTTTAATTTCATCCATTTAGCTGAAAATGGCAGGATTTCATTCTTTTTTAAGGCTGAATACTATTCTGTTATGCGTATATTCCCATTTTCTTTATCCATTCATCCATTGATTGACACTCAGATTGATTCCTTATCTTGGCTATTGTAAATAGTGCTGCAGTAAATATGGAGGTACAGATATCCCGTTGATACACTGATATCCTTTTTTTGGATGTATACCCAGGAGTGGGATTGCTGGATCACGTGGTAGATTTGTTCTTAGTTTTTTTGAGAAATCTCTGTGCTTTTTTTCATAATGACTGTACTAATTTACATTCCCACCAACAATATACAATAATTTTCTTTTCTTCACATGCTTGCCAGCATTTGTTGTGCTTTGTCTTTTTAATAATAGCCATTCTAACAAGTATGAGATGATATCTTATTGTGGTTTTGATTTGCATTTCCGTGATGATTAGTGATGTTGAATATTTTTTCATAAACTTGGTGATTTGTATATCTTCTTTTGAGAAATATCTGTTTGTTTTTTGATAGTTTCTTTTGCTGTGCAGAAGCTCTTTCATTTAATTAGATCCCATTTGTCAATTTTTGCTTTTGTGGCAATTGCGTTTGGCATCTTTACCATGAACTCTTTGCCCATCACTATGTACTGGAGGGTATTGCCTAGGTTGTCTTCCAGCGTTTTTATAGTTATGGGTTTTAAATTTAAGTCTTTAAGCCATCTTGAGTTAATTTTTGTGTATGGTGTAAGGGAGGGGTGTTGTCTTTTCACTCTGTTGATTGTTTTCTTTGATATGCAGAAGGTATTTAGTTTAATATAATCCCATTTGTCTGTTTTTGTTGCTTGTACTTTTTAAGTGTTAGCCATACAATCTTTGTTCTCAAGCTTTTCTCCTGTGTTTACTTCCAGTAGTTTTATAGTTGTGGCTGTTACATTTAAGTCTTTAATTGATTTTGAGTTTATTTTTGTAAGTGATGAGAGATAAGGGTCTAGTTTTATTCTTCTGTGTTTGGATATCTAGTTTTCCTGGCACCATTTAATGAAGAGGGTATCCTTTATTCAATGTATGTTCTTGACAGCTTTCTTGAAAATCAGTTAGCTGTAAATATGTGGATTCATTTCTGAATTCCTTAGTCTGTTTCCTTTGTTTTTGTGTCTTTTTTAATACCAATACACGCTGTTTTGGTTACTGTAGCTTTGCAGTACATATATATATATTTTTGTTTTGTTTTGTTTTTTGAGATGGAGTCTTGCTCTGTCGCCCAGGCTGGAGTGCAGTGGCACGATCTTGGCTCACTGCAAGCTCTGCCTCCGCCTCCAGGGTTCACGCCATTCTCCTGCCTCAGCCTCCCGAGTAGCTGGGACTAAAGGCACCCATCACCACACCTGGTAATTTTTTTTTTTTTTTTTTTTTTTTTTAGTAGAGACAGGGTTTCACCATGTTAGCCAGGATGTTCTCGATCTCCTGACCTTGTGATCCACCCGCTTCAGCCTCCCAAAGTGCTGGGATTACAGGCATGAGCCACCGCGCCCGGCCGCTTTGCAGTATATTTTTAAATCAGGTAGTGTGAGGCTTCTAGCTTTGTTCTTTTTGCTCAGTATTGCTTTGGCTATTTCGGGTCTTCTGTGGTTCCATATGAATTTCAGGGCTTTTTTTTTTCCTGTTTCTGTGAATAATATAATTGATAGGGATTATACTAAATCTCTAAACTGCTTCGAGTAGCATGGTCATTTTAACAGTATTAGTTATTCCAACCCACGAGTATGAGATGCCTTTCCATATGTTCCTGTCCTTCTCAATTTATTTTATCAATGTTTTGTGGTTTTCACTGCAGAGGTTTTTTGGTTTATTTTCCCCCTCCTTGGTTAAGTTTATTCCTAGGTATTTTATTTTTGTAGCTATTGTAAATAGAATTTCTTCTTTGATTTCTATTTTAGCTAGTTTCTTACTGGTATATAGAAACATTACTGATTTTTCTAGGTTGATTTTGTGACCTGAAGCTTTACTGAATTATACATCTGCTTTTTAAATTTTTTTTATTTTTTATTTTTTATTTTTTGAGATAGAGTCTCACTCTGTTGCCCAGGCTGGAGTGTAGTGGTGCAATCTTGGCTCAGTGCAACCTCCGCCTCTCGGGTTCAAGCAATTCTCCTGCTTCAGCCTCCCAAGTAGCTGGGATTACAGACACCTACCACCATGCTTTGCTAATTGTATTTTTTGTAGAGACAGGGTTTCGCCATGTTGGCCAGGCTGGTCTCAAACTCCCAACC
Source organism: Homo sapiens (assembly GCF_000001405.40). Lineage (NCBI taxonomy): Eukaryota > Metazoa > Chordata > Mammalia > Primates > Hominidae > Homo > Homo sapiens. Next base: position 7,180,179 of record NC_000008.11, on the reverse strand, counting down.
TCAGGTGATTCGCCCACCTTGGCCTCCCAAAGTGCTGGGATTACAGGCATAAGCTACCATGCCCAGCCTAATTTACCCATTTTAAGAGTTTTTTGGTGGAGTCTTTAGGTTTTTCTGTTTACAAGTATAAGATTATGTCATCTGCAAAGTGAGACAATTTGACTTCCTCTTGTCCATTTTGGATGCCTTTTATTTCTTTATCTTGTCTGATCACTTTGGCTTGGATGTCCCATACTGTGTTGAATAAGAGTGGTGAAAGTGGGCATCCTTGTCTTATTCCAGTTCTTAGAGGAAAGGCTTTTCAATTTTTCCCAGTGAGTAGGATGTTAGCTGTAGATTAGTCATATATGCTTTTCTTATGTTGAAATGTTCCTTCTATGCATAACTTGTTGAGAGTTTTCATCATGAAGGAATGGTAAGTTTTACTGAGTGATTTTTCTGCATCTGCTGAGATGATCAGATAGTTTTTGCCTTTCATCTTGTTGATGTGATGTATCACATGCACTAATTTCTGGATGTTGAGCCATCTTTGCATTCCTGGGATAAATCCCACTTGATCATGGTATATTATCTTTTTCATTCATCATCAGATTTGGCTTGGTAGTATTATGCTGAGAATTTTTGCATCTGTGTTCATTAGGAATATTGGCCTGTAGTTTTCTCTTTTTGTTGTGTCCTTGTCTTGATTGGATATCAGGGTAATGCTGGCCTTATACAATGAGTTAGGAAGAATTCCCTCCTCTTCAATTTTTGAGAATAGTTTGAGAAGAATTGGTGTTGTTTTTCTTTATAAATTGGGTAGAAATCAGCATAAAAGCCTAGTCTAGGGCTTTTCTCTTTGGGGAGACTTTTTGTTACTGATTCAAACCTGCTATTCATTTTGGCTCAGTTCAGGTTTTCTGTTTCTTCCTAGTTCAATCTTGGTAGGCTGTGTATTTCTGGGAATTTATCCCTTTCCTCTAGGTTTTCCAATCTGTTAGCATATGGTTGTTCCTAATAGCCTCTAATGATCCTTTTTATTTCTTTGGTAACAGATGTAATGTCTCCTTTTTCATTTCTGATTGTATTTACTTGGGTCTCTCTCTTTTTTTTTTTTTTTTTGTTAGCCTCACTAGTGGTTTATCAATTTTGTTTAACTTTTCAAAAAACCAACTTTTATCTTGTTGATTCTTTGCATTTCTTTTTTGTCTCCGTTGCATTTGGTTCTGCTATGTAATTTATTATCTTTTCTTTCTACTAATTGTGTGTTTGGTTTGTTCTTGCTTTTTGAGTTCCTTGAGGTTCATCGTTAGGTTGTTTATTTGAAATCTTTCTACTTTTTTGGTGTAGGCATTTATTGCTATGAACTTGCCTCCTAGTAGTGCTTTTGCTGTATCCCATAGGTTTTGCATGATGTGTTTCTATTTTCTGTTTAAAAAAAAAAAATTTGATGTCCATCTTAGTTTCTTCATTGCTCCAATGACCATTCGATAGCATGTTTAATGTCCATGTATTTGTACAGTTTCCAAATTTCTTCTTCTTATTGATTTCAAGTTTTATTCCATTGTGGTCTGAGAAGATACTTGATATGATTTTAATTTTTAAAATTTTGTTGAGCCTTGTTTTGTGTCCTAACATATGGTCTATCCTGGAGAATGTTCCATGTGTTGATGAGATGATTGTATATTCTGCTGCTGCTGGATGAAATATTCTGAAAATATCTGTTAGGTCCATTTGGTCTAAAGTGCAGCTTAAATCTAATGTTTCTTTGTTGATTTTATGTCTAGATGAACTGTCCAATGCTGAGAGTAGGATATTGAAGTTCTCAACTATCATTGTATTGGATTCTATCTCTCCCTGTAGATTTAATAATATTTGCTATGTGTGTCTGGATGTGCTTTTGTTGGTTGCATGCATATTTAGAATTGTTATACTTTCTTGCTGAATGGATCCCTTTATTACCATATAATGACCTTCTTTGTCCTTTTTACAGTTTTTGACTTAAAGTCTGTTTTATCTGATGTAAGTTTAGCTACTCCTGGTTACTTTTGATTTCTGTTTATGTGGTATATCTTTTTCAATCCCTTCACTTTCAGTCTGTGTGTGTCTTTACAAGTGAAATGAGTTTCTTGTAGACGTTGTTGGGTCATTTTTTGTCCATTAAGCCTGCCTCTATCTTTTAGGTAGTTAACTTAACACATATTTGAAGTTATTATTGATAGGTGAGGACTTATTCCTGTCATTTTGTTCATTGTTTTCTGGTTATTTTGTATATCCTTTTGATATGGTTTGGCTGTGTCCCCACTCAGATCTCATCTTGAATTCCCATGTGTTGTGGGAGGGATCCAGTGGGAAGTAGTTGAATCATGGAGGCAGGTATTTCCCATGCTATTCTTTTGATAGTGAATAAGTCTCTTGAGATCTGATGGTTTTAAAAGGAGTAGTTTCCCTGCTCAATCTCTCTCTTTGCCTGCTGCCATCCCTGTAAGATGTGACTTTCCTCTCCTTGACTTCTGCAATGATTTCGAAGCCTCCCCAGCAATGTAGAATTGTAAGTCCATTAAACCTCTTTCTTTTGTAAATTTCCCAGTCTTGAATGTGTCTTTATCAGCTGTGTGAAAATGGACTAATACAGTAAATTAGTACCAGAAGTGGGGTGTGGCTAAAAGATACCTGAATATGTGGAAGTGACTTTGGAACTGGGAAACAGGCAGAGGTTGGAACAGTTTGGAGGGCTCAGAAGGAGACAGGAAAATGTGGGAAAATTTGGAAGAGATTTCCTAGAGACTTGCCCAAAATGCTGATGGTTATATGGACAATAAAGTCTAGGCTTAGGTTGTCACAGACGGAAATGAGGAACTTGTCAGGAACTGGCACAAAGGTGACTCCTGTTATGTTTTAGCAAAGAGACTGGTGGCTTTTTGCCCCTGCTGTAGAGATTTGTGGAACTTTGAACTTGAGAGAGATGATTTAGGGTGTCTGGTAGAAGAAATTTCTAAGCAGCAAAGCATTCAAGAGATGACTTAGGTGTGTTAAAGGCCCTCAGTTTTATAAGGGAAGCAGAGCATGAAAGTTTGGAAAATTTGCAGCCTGAACATGCAATAGAAAAGAAAATCCCATTTTCTCAAGAAAAATTCGATCTGGCTGCAGAAGTTTGTTTAGGTAACAAGGAGTCAAATGTGGATCCCCAAGACAATGGGGAAAATGTCTTCAGGGCATGTCACAGATCTTCATGGCAGCCCCTCCCATCAAAGGCCCAGAGGCCTGGGAAGAAAAGATGGTTTTGTGTGCTGGACCCAGGGCCCCCCTGCTGTGAGCAGCCTAGGGTGCCTGAGTCCTAGCCACTCCAGCTGCAGCTAAAAGGTGCCTAGGTACAATGTGGGCTGTGGCTTCAGAGGGTGCAAGTCCCAAGCCTTAGCAGCTTCCACATAGTGTTGAGCCTATGGGTGCACAGAAGTCAAAAATTGAGGTTTGGGAACCACTGCCTAGATATCAGAAGATGTATGGAAATGCCTAGACGTCCAGGCAGGAGTTTGCTGCAGGGGCAGGGCACTCATGGAGAACCTCTACTGGGGCAGTGCGGAAGGGAAATGTGGGGTCGGAGCCCCCACATACAGTCCCTACTGCTGCGCCACCTAGTGGAGCTGTGAGAAGAGGGCCACCATCCTCCAGACCCCAGAATAGTGGATTCACTGACAGCTTGCACTGTGTGCCTGGAAAAGCGGCAGACACTCAATGCCAACCCATGGAAGGAGCTAGGAGGGGGTTTATACCCTACAAAGCCACAGGAGTGGAGCTGTGGCCTTTTTTCTCCCAAGGTCATGGGAGCCCACTTCTTACATCAGCATGACCTGCATGTGAGACATGGAGTCAAAGGAGATCATTTTGGAGCTTTGAGATTTGACTGCCCCACTGGATTTTGGGCTTGCATGGCGCCTGTAGCCCCTTTGTTTTGGCAATTTTCTCCCATTAGGAATGACTGTGTTTACCCAATGCCTATACCCCCATTGTATCTAGGAAGTAACTAACTTGTTTTTGATTTTATGTGCTCATAGGTGGAAGGGATTTGGCTTGTCTCACATGAGACTTTGGACAGTGGACTTTTGAGTTAATGCTGAACTTAGTTAAGAGTTTGGGGGACTGTTGGGAAGGCATGATTGGTTTTGAAATATGAGGATATGAGACTTGGGAAGGGCCAGGGACAGAATGATATGGTTTGGTTTTGTCCCCACCAAAATCTCATCTTGAATTCCCACATGTTGTGGGAGGGACCTGTTGGGAAGCAATTTAGTCATGGGGGCAGGTCTTTCCCATGCTGTTCTCATGATAGTGAATACGTCTCACAAGTTCTGATTGTTTTAAAAAGGGCAGTTTCCCTGCAGAAGCTCTCTCTTTGCCTGTTACCATCCATGTGAGACATGACTTGCTTCTTCTTGCCTTCCAACGTGATTGTGAGGTTTCCTCAGCTATGTGGAAGTGTAAGTCCATTAAACCTCTTTCTTTTGTAAATTGCCCAGTCTCAGTCAGGTATGTCTTTATCAGCAGTGTGGAAACAGACTAATACACCTTTATTCCTATTTTCTCTCCTTAGTGGTGATGTTTGAATCCTTTCTTCTTTGTGTGTCTGCTCTACCAGTGAGTTTTATACTTTCATGTGTTTTCATGATGGTAGATATTGTTCTTTTTCTTCCCAATGTAGGACTCCCTTAAGCATTTCTTGTATGACCACAACAAACAATACCCAAACAAACAGTCTTTTACTTATCTGAGAAATACTTTTTTCTCTTTTATTTATTTGTTTATTTATTTTTAGCAATGGAGTCTCACTCTGTCACCCAGGCTGGAGTACAGTGGCATGATCATAGCTCACTGCAGCCTTGAACTCTTGGGCTCAAATGATCCTCCTGCCTCAGCCTTATGAGTCTCTGAAATTACAGATGTGAGCCACTGTGCCAGGCTCCTTCATTTGTGAAGGATAGCTTTGCTGGGTATAGTATTTTTGGCTTACTTTTTTTTTTTAACTTGTAGTATACATCCCCTTTTCTCCTAGCCTGTAAGGTTTCTGCTGAGAAATCTCGTTAGCCTGATGGGGATTCTCTTATAAGTGACTTGTTGCTTTTCTCTTGCTGTTTTTAGCATTTTCTGTTTGTCTTTTGACAATTTTACCATAATGTGTCTTGGAGAAGACCTTTTTGAGTTGTATTTATTTGGTAATCTTTCAGCTTCCTGTATTTGAAGCTTTCAGGAAGTTTTCAGTTATTATTTTATTAAATAGGTTTGCTATGCCTTTACCCATCTCATCTCCATCCAGAACTCCCAGAATTTCAGTTTTTGGTCACATAGGTGTCCCATATGTCATGTAGCTTTGCTTCATTCTTTTTTCTTTCTTTTTGTCTGACTGGATTATTTTAAAAGACTAGTCTTCAGGTTCAGAAATTCTTTGTTTTGCTTGATCTAGTCTATTGTTAAAGCTGTCAATTATCTTTTGTATTTCTTTCAATGATTTATTCTCTTCCAGGATTTGTGTTTGTTTCTGTGTTACGCTGTCTATCTCTGTTGAATTTCTCATTCAGATCATGAATTGTTTTCCTGATTTTTTTGTATTCATTATCTGTGTTCTCTTGTATCTCCCTGAGTTTCTTCAATAACATTATTCTGAATTTTTTTCAGGCATTTCATAGATTTTCTTTTCATTGGAATCTGTTGCTGGAGAATTATTGTGCTTCTTTGGAGATGTTATGTTTCCTTTTTCATATTTCTTGCATCCTTATGTGACTATCTGTGCCTCTGACATAACAGTCACTGCTTCCAATTTTATGGATTGGCTTTTATATGGGAAAGACCTTTTCTTATAGCTATATCTACAATGTTCATTGGATATCACAGTTTGGCTTTGATTCTGGGTGGGTACAGTGGTATAATCTGCATATGATTTCTTCTGCTGTAATTGGATGAGTGGTGTCTGTGAGTCATTCAGTGGCTTAGACTGTAGTTTTTGTTTGGTTTTGTTTTTTTTTTTTTTTTTTGTGGTTGTTGAGATGGAGTCTAGCTCTATCACCAGGCTGGAGTTCAGTGATGCAATCTCAGCTCACTGCAACCTCTGCCTCCTGGGTTCAAATGATTCTCCTGCCTCAGCCTCTTGAGTAGCTGGGAGTACAGGCACGTGCAACCATGCCCAGCTAATTTTTGTACTTTTAGTAGAGACGGGGTGTCACCATGTTGGCCAGGCTAGTCTCAAACTCCTGACCTCGTGATCTACCCACCTCGGCCTCTCAAAGTGCTGGGATTACAGGCGTGAGCCACCACACCTGGCCAGAATGCAGTTGTTATTGGAAGCTGTGGTGAGGCTTTGCTGAGGATGGGGATGCCAGGAAGTCTTGTCCTTCAGCCTCAGTGGTAGTGGTGGTGGACCAGGTTTGTCAATACTAGGGACCACAGGCAGTATACATGGGCACTGATGATAGCCTGTCTGCATGGGCCAATCCCTGGGCCTCCAGGTGGCTTCTTTGGTTGCTGGCAGTGGCAGCACTGGGCCAGTTGGGCAGGTGCACCACTGGGCTCCTGGGTGGTGTGTGTGGCAGTCTGATCTCTAGTTCTCCAGGTGATCTGTGCAGGTTCTGGTGGTGGGTAGGCAGGTGTTTCCTCAGGCCTCTCAGTAGTAAGGGTGAGCACTAGCTCTGGAGGCAGGTGAGTCAATCTCCAGGCCCCCGGATGGTACATTCAGGCACCAGCATATTCCTATGCATTTCTAGATAAAAGTATTTTTCAGAAAACCTGAGCATATGTCCTATTAATACAACTTGTCCTCATCAACTCTGCATGAGAAGAAGGGAGAATTCCCTCAGTAGAACATTCAGAATGGAATCACAGACTTGTTTTGAGCCAGTCACTGGTAAGGGGGGATAGGCTAAAATGATAAGCTCAGAATCTAAACCTTAGACTAGGGAATGGCAAACTTTTTCCATAAAGAGGCAAACAGTAATATTTTAGGCTTTTGGTCTAGATAACCTCTGTTGCAGTGACCCAGTGGTGCCATTGTAGCCTAAAAGCATATGTAAAAAATGCATAAATGAATGGACCTGGTTTTATTCCAATAAAACTTAATTTATACCAACAGTCAGAGGGCCAGATTTGGCCCTTGGTCTATAGTTTGCCAACCCTGTTTAGACCAGTCACAATTTATTCCCTGGGGCTGGGCCAAATTTTTCTTAAAAAAAAAAAAAGCAACCTACTGTCAGAATAAAATAGGGTTTCTATTTAAAAAGAAGAAGAGGCTGGTGTGGTGGCTCATGTCTATAATCGTAGCACTTTGGGAGGGTGAGGCAAGAGGAGTGCTTGAGGCCAGGAGCTTGAAACCAACTTGGGCAATATAGTGAGACCCTGTCTCTGCAAAGAATAAAAAAATTAGCCAGGCACGGTGGCACATGTCTGTAGTCTTAGCTACATAGGAGGCTGAAGGGGAAGATCACTTGAGCTCAGGATTTTGAGGTTACAGTGATCTCTGACTGTACCACTTGTACTCTAGCCTAGGCAAAGATGGAGAACCCAAAAACAAAACAAAATAAAAAAAAGGTTGGTTGGGGTGGGTTGGAGAAGAAAGTATTTCTGAATTTCTGGGTAGGTTACTGGTAGTATCAGGCCAAACTAGCTCTACAGTCATATTCATTATAAATAAAGGCAACTAGAAGATCTCCATCTAGCTATTAAAAATTGGTTAAAATCTACAGCGATAAAGGACGGTGACCCTTGTATCAGTTAGTTGTTGTCACAAAATGCTGCATAACAAGTCACTCCAAATCTCAGTGGCATAATACAACAATCATTTATTTTCATGGACCTATGGATCAGCTGAGGATTGGTTAATCTGGCATGAGCATGTCTCAGAGGCTCGACTTCGCTCTTGGTGTCTCTTATCTTCTGCTGGAAGCAGCAGTCTGGCCTGGGCTTGTTCTCATGGTGATAGCAGGAGTGAGCGAGCACAAATGAATGCACACTTTCCAAGTTTTTGGTCATGCAGGTTAATATTCCAGTGGCCAAAGCTAGACACATGACTAAACCCAACATTAGGGGCTGGAGAAATATACTCCGATTCTTCAGTGGGAGGAACTGCAGAGACAAATGGCAGAGTCTTGGATACAGGGAGGACATGGATCCATTAATGTACCTTAATCAACCGCAACCCTCTAACCACCAATGCAATTAAATATTTGTTGAATGCACTTGTGCCTGAATCCTTCTGGCTGCAGCCCAGGCAATGGGGGCCTGACTGGGGAGGGACCATAGCAGAGACTCGATGTCCTGCAGGTCTGCATGTAATTGTGTACGGCCGACTCCACATTGGTCATGGCTGACTTGCTTTGTCCTGCATCCCCAAGGGGCAACAATTGGCTGATTTTATTTCTAAACAATTTTGACAAAGTTGTTTTCAGGAGCCCAGGAAGCAAATCAGTTGTGGATTTGAATTTTGCAGGGGGTCAGAATTGTTGAATATATATATAGTCTTTTACATGTTGATAATCATTTCCATACCACAAAGAAGGCCGGCTATTAGGAGGCTGCTGTTCAATTCCTTTGCCCCATGAACTCATGAGCTGTGGCTATGTGGGGGGCACTCAGTTGTTAGAGCTGTTTCCTTTCATAACAACATCAGCCAACATTCTAAATAAATGCAGGAAATTAAATAGTCTTCCCCAGACAGGTACTTTGCCCTTCTAAAGTGAATTACACATTGTAAAATAAAACACAGTCACATTAAAAAACCAAAAGGTCTTTGTGTCAGGTTGGTCTGGCTTCAGCAAAGATAATATTTCCCTCCAGAGTAGAAGATCCTTGGAATCCATGGTATTGCTTATGGCAGCCCCACATCTTGTTTCCTTTTCTTTTTTTTTCGTTTTTAACTAAAAGAGTTGACAATTCTATTTTCACATTTCCCAATACAAATGAAAACTGCATCTTTTTTGGTCCCACTTCTCCCCTCCAAAACTATTCTCTTTGATGGGGCAAGGGGGCAAGTCTTCCTTATGCTGTTAAGAAAAGCCAGCATCACAGCGGCACGATCTCCTGGTGAAGGGAGCAGGTAAATATAAAACTCATACAGGCCGGGCGCAGTGGCTCACACCTGTAATCCCAGCACTTTGGGAGGCTGAGGCAAGCGGGTGACGAGGACAGGAGATTGAGACCATCCTGGCCAACATGGTGAAACCCTGTCTCTACTAAAATAAAAAAAATTAGCCAGGCATGGTGCACATGCCTGTAGTCCCACACTACTCAGGAGGCTGAGGCAGGGGAATCACTTGAAACCAGGAAGTGGAGGTTTCAGTGAGCTGAGATCGTGCCACTGCCTTCCAGCCTGGGTGACGGAGGAAGACTCTGTCTCAAAAACAAAACAAAACAAAAAAACGCACAACAATAACACCAAAAAAGCAACACTGATGTAATGAGCCCTCCCCTCTATCCTTATCTGTCTGGTCGAGTCATTCTGGGCTGACTGGGCACCATCATGAGATAGGCAGGAGGTCTCATCATTGGGCACCCAGGCATCACGGGCATGTGGCCTCCCATGGGCGGCCTCATTCCAGGAGCAGGTCCCACTGGCATCATCCCAGGAGGAGAAGGGCCCATCATTGGCATCATGGGAGGGCCTCCCATATGGGTGCTGCCATCATACTGAGATGTGTGAGAAGTGTCAAATACACATTAGATTGTGAAGCCTAAATATAAAAAGAAAGCAAAATATTTTGTTAATGTTAAAATATTTTATATTTGTAGACCTGGTATTTTGGATAGATTTGTTTAAATCTGTGATATTATTCCAGTTACCTTCACTTCTTTTGTTTTCCTTTTTAAAATGTGGTTACTACAAAATGCAAAAGTAAATATGTGGCTTGCATCATATTTCATCATATTTAGTGTGGACCCTGAGGGTCTAAGGGAGTTATGAGCCTTAAGTTGAGGGTGACCCAGCTCATCGTGAATTGCTCTGAAAGAGAAGCAAAGGGCATAAAGAGAACGTATAAATGGAGAGAGGGAGCTCGGTCTTACAGGGTGAGGAAAGGCTTTCTTTATTACACAGTCTGGCACTTCTTCAAAAGCTTGAACACAGAGTTCTATGACCCAGCACTTCCACTCCAGTTTATGGAAGAAATGAAAATATATGTCCCTGCAGAAACTTGTACACAAATGCTCACAGCAGCATTATTCATAATAGCGCCAAAGTGAAAACAACACAAATGCTTGTCTACTGATGAGTAAAGAAATAGAACATGGTTTGACCAAGCAATGGAATATTATTCAGTCATCAAAAGGAATGAAGTACTAACACGTGCTACAACACGGATGAACTATGAGAATATTAAGCTAAGTGGAAGAAACCAGTCACAAAAGGTCACATATTATAAGATTTCATTTATATGAAATGTCCAGAACACGCAAAGCTATGAAGACAGAAACCCTGTCTCTACTAAAAATACAAAATTAGATGGGCATGGTGGCATATCCCTGTAATCCCAGCTACTCGGGAGGCAGGAGAATTGCTTGAACCCGGGAGGCGGAGGTTGCAGTGAGCCGAGATTGTGCCACTGCACTCCAGCCGGTGACAGAGACTCTATCTCAAAAAAAGTAGATTGTCAGGGCTTAGTGGGAGGAGGAAATGGCAGGAACCTGCTCATGGATACAGGGTTTCCTTTTGGGGTGATGAGAATGTTTTAAAATTGATCATGATGGTGGTTGCCGACCTCTGTGAATGCACTGAAACCATTGATTTGTTCACTTTAAATGGGCAAATCATACGGTACCTGAATTATATTTTAATAGTTATATTAAAAAAGTAAAATCTTCCTTGAAGAGATGACACTTAAGGAGAGACCTAGGGGGTGGGATGAGTTCGCTATGTAGAGAAATGAGGAACAGCATTTCAGGGTGAGGAACAGCATAGTGAAGTCCCTGAGGTTGATAGGCATAGAGCAGATTTAAGGGACTTTTTTTTGAGACGGACTTTCAGTCTTGACGCCCAGGCTGGAGTGGAGTGGTGTGATCTTGGCTCACTGCAACTTCTGCCTCCTGAGTTCAAGCGATTTTCCTGCCTCAGTCTCCCTAGTAGCTGGGATTACAGGCGCCCTCTACCACACCTGGCTAATTTTTGGATGTTTAGTAGAGATGGGGTTTCACCATGTTGACCAGGCTGGTCTCGAACTCCTGATGCCAGGTGATCCACCCGCCTCAGCTTCCCAAAGTACTGGGATTACAGACGTGAGCCACTGCGCTCAGCCAGATTTAAGGGACTTTCAAGAAGTTTGTGTGGCTGAAGCCTGCAGGGCAAGCGAAAGAATCAGGAAATGAGGCTGGAGAAAGAGAGGGGCTAGGTCATGGAGGGTCTCACATTAGTGTGTGGAAACTTCATACGAGTGGTCCCACCTTGGGCATCCCACGTAACTACTCTTTGTCCCAGCTTCCCCACTCGTGAAATCAAGGGTGATGTAGGGATGGACTGCGATAGAGTGTGCTAAGTAAAGGTGAGCTTTGATCATTGTTTTTTGTTTGTTTGTTTTGAGATGGAGTCTCACTCTGTCGCCCAGGCTGGAGTGCAGTGGCGCTATCTCGGCTCACTGCAACCTCCGCCTCCCGGGTTCACGCCATTCTCCTGCCTCAGCCTCCCGAGTAGCTGGGACTACAGGCGCCCGCCACCACGCCTGGCTAATTTTTTTAATATTTTTAGTAGAGACGGGGTTTCACCGTGTTAGCGAGAATGGTCTGAATCTCCTAACGTCGTGATCCACCCGCCTCGGCCTCCCAAAGTGCTGGGATTACAGGCGTGAGCCCCCGTGCCCGGCTGAGCTTTTATCATTGTTAACCCATAGAGCAGTGGGAGCCATTGAAAGTGAGTGATCTGTTTGGATGCACCTTCTGAAGTGATTGCTTTGGTCCCTGTGAGGAGTGCAGATTGTCACAGGGCCAGGGGAAGACAGAGGCCAGTGAGGAGGCATTTGCAGTCAAACAGCTGGAAGTGATGGTGGCTTGGTTTATGGTGGTGTCAGGAGAGTGGCTGAGCAGTGAACGGATCTGAAAAGATTTAGGAGGTAAAACCCACGTGACTTGGTCACTGAATGTGGGTTGGGTGGGCTGGAGGGAAGGTAAGAAAGAATGAGAAGAAAAACATACTCAAGTGGGCCCTCCAGCCTAAGGTTACTTGAGGTCCCTTTGTGAAGAGGAATATTTGTGTTTATGATGAAGATGTCTAGACTTTCAAAGGCCACTTGCAGTATTTTTTTTTTTAACAGCCAACAACTCCTCCTTCCCTATGCCCTAAACATATGAATTTTTTTTGGCCCTAATTTATTATAGAGGGATGGATGTTCATTTGCTTTAATGAGAAACGCAGTATGCCAATAAGAAAGCATATTCAATTAATCTGGATTGCTGTGAGGGAGTTTAATCTGTTTCGATGTGCACCAGTGTTACTATAATAGTTTGCTCTAAACCCATTTCTGGCCTGTGGCTGCAGGAGTTTGACTCCCAGCTTGCTTTCATTTGAAAGATCCCAGCAACAAGCACACTTGGCATTTCCAGCCAAACCCACTTTGTGCAGCGAAGAAAAAGTTGAGGAGTGCCTCTGTTGTTTTCCCCCAAATCATTTGGCAGAAATGTGGCTGGGAGTTTCATTGCTGATTTTTTCAGTTTTAGTATTGCTGTGGAAAGCCTGTACCAACACTCAGCCATGTTATTCATCCACAGCTCCAGTCTGGGCTGTGATTTGTTTTTCCTTTGAGTGAGACTGAATGCAAATAGACACTCATGCACCATCACCATCACTCCCCCTGATTGGCGGAGGGAAGTCAATGGAGTGATTCTAGTTTGGTGTTCATATCGGAGGGTTTTATTTATTCTGAGACGGAATCTCTCTCTGTCACCAGGCTAGAGTGCAGTGGCGCACTCTCGGCTCACTGCAACCTCTGACTCCCTGGTTCAAGCGATTCTCCTGCCTCAGCCTCCCGAGTAGCTGGGCTTCGAGGCATGTACCACCACGCCCGGCTAATTTTTTGTATTTTTAGTAGAGACGGGGTTTCACCGTGTTAGCCAGGACGGTCTTGATCTCCTGACCTCGTGATCCGTCCGCCTCGGCCTCCCAAAGTGCTAGGATTATAGGCGTGAGCCACTGTGCTAGTCCTGGAGTTGTTTTTAAAAGCACATTTCTCTCACATTAACTCCGAGGTGTCCCACTGTGACTTGGGCAAAGGTTTGGATTTTCTGGAGGTGGAAAGTCGAACTTCAAATAGAATTTGGAGGCTGCCACTGTGGCTCATGCCTGTAATCCCAGTACTTTGGGAGGCTGAGGTGGGTGGATCATTTGAGGCCAGAAGGTCGAGACCAACCTGGGCCACATGAAAAGGCCTCGTTTCTACTAAAAATACAAAAATTAGCCAGGCGTGGTGGTACATGCCTGTAACCCCAGCTACTTAGGAGGCTGAGGCAGGAGTTATCGCTTGAACCTGGGAGGCAGAGATGTCCTGTGTCCACACCCCATGAGGCGTATCAGCTGGCTGAAGATAAAATCGGTCACGCTGTGTTGGGATTGGGGTTGCTGTTATCATCCCTCATCCCCACCCCTGCTAGGCATCCACAAATAGTCGTCTTCAATGAGACGTCCCTCCTGCCCCTGGCTGCCTTATTTCATCTGCACCCAACCTTATCCATTGCTTGTCAGTGGGTCTCAACCTTGGCTGCACCTTGGAATCTCCTGGGGAGATGAGACAATACCAAGGCTCTCTCTCACTCAGCGTGATGTTTCCAAGTTCCATCCACATGTAGTAGGCACCAATACTTCCATTGTACGGATACAGCACATTTTGTTTATTCATTCATAAACCGAATGACCATCTTTGTTGTTGCTACCTTTTGGTTATTATATATATTACATGATTCCATTTATGTGAAAGGTCCAGAATACGCAAATCTGTAGAGGCAGAAAGCAGGTAAGTGGTTGCCAGGAACTGGGGGAAAGGGGAGGGGATGGAGAGTGCTTGATGGATACAGGGTTATTTTTTGGGGGGCGGGGGGTGTTAAAGAAAATGTTTTGGAACTAGACAGAGATGATGATTGCTTAACATTGTGAAGGTATTTAATGATACTGAAGTGTATGATTTCATACAGGGACTTGTATGTTATGTGTATTTGGCCTCATTAAAAAAATAGTGCTTGGAGCAATGGCTCATGCCTGTAGTCCCAGCACTTTGGGAGGCCAAGGCGGGCGGATCACCTGAGGCTGGGAGTTGGAGACCTGCCTGGCCAACATGGTGAAACCCTATCTCTATTAAAAATACATGAATTATCCCTTCACATCTTTGGGGGGTAACTTTTACAGTGCAGTCTAACAACCAGCTGCCTCAAAATCACTGGGATCCCTCGTAACCAGGTAGCTCCCCCATCTCCAACTCTGACCCGCCAAGTCAGAATCTTGTGGGTGGGGCAGAGAACGGTACATATTGAAACAGACAGTAACCTGGGAACTATTTCTGAACACCCCTGTTTCCCCTGTGTTTGCCCTTTCACATTTGGACCCCTTTGTGTGCTGACCACTGGGCTGTTTCACGTGGACATAACATAAAAAAGACAGGCCAGGTGCAGTGGCTCATGCCTGTAATCCCAGCACTTTGGGAAGCCAAGGTGGGCGAATCACTTGAGGCCAGGAGTTCGAGATCTGCCTGACCAACATGACAAAACCCCATCGCTACCAAAAATATGAAATTAGCTGGGTGTGGTGATGTACACCTTTGATCCCAGCTACTCAGGAGGCTGAGGCTGGAGAATCCCTTGAGCCCAGGAGGCAGAGACTGCAGTGAGCCGAGATCGCACCATTGCACTCCAGTCTGGGTGAGAGTGAGACTATTAAAAAAAAAAAAAAGACAGAGATGGTCCCTCCTTTAGGGAGCTCTCAGTAAAATAAGAAAGCTCACGATGTCCTGGCATTTGTCAGAAATATATTTGGTATATGTAGCTGGGTTCACATGCTTGACATGCCTATTGAAAGCTTCTGAGTAGGAAGAGAACAATCATCACAGCATCACAGCCTGGCATAACTGTCTCCCAGGACAGGTCTCCCTGGGGAGACAACTCTGAAATCAGAGCTCAAATCCAGGTTCTACTTTTCGCTCAGTAATGTACATGATGTAGGACAGTTTTTATATTAGTTATCTATTGCTGTGCAAAAATATTACTGCAAACTTTGTGGCTTGAGACAGCAAACAGTTACCACTGCACGGTTTCTGTGGATTAGAAATCCAGGTGTGACTCAGCTGGGTTCAATGCAAGCCTGTGGCCATAGTGTCAGCCAGGGCTCAGTTCTCATCTGGAGGCTTGACTGGTGATTGATCTGCTTCCAGGCTCATCTGGTTGTTGGCAGCATTCAGTTCCTTGCAGGCTGCTGGACTCAGGGCCCCAGTTTCTTGCTGCCATCAGCTTCTTGCCACATGGGCCTCTCCATCTGGCCGCTCATGACATGGCAGCTCACATCTTCAAAGCCAGCAAGACAGACAGCCTCCTAGCAAGACAACTTAACATCCTATCTATCTAACATAATCACTACATCCTGTCACCTCTGCCATATTCTCTTGGTTATAAGAAAGTCATAGGTCCCTTTGTCAGATGAGTAGATTGCAAAAATTTTCTCCCATTCTGTAGGTTGCCTGTTCACTCTAATGGTAGTTTCTTTTGCTGTGCAGAAGCTCTTTAGTTTAATTAGATCCCATTTGTCAATTTTGGCTTTTGTTGCCATTGCTTTTGGTGATTTAGACATGAAGTCCTTGCCCATGCCTATGTCCTGAATGGTATTGCTGAGGTTTTCTTCTAGGGTTTTTATAGTTTTAGGTCTAACATTTAAGTCTTTAATCCATCTTGAATTAATGTTAGTATAAGGGGTAAGGAAGGGATCCAGTTGCAGTTTTCTTCATATGGGTAGCCAGTTTTCCCAGCACCATTTATTAAATAGGGAATCCTTTCCCCATTTCTCGTTTTTGTCAGGTTTGTTAAAGATCAGATAGCTGTAGATGTGTAGCATTATTTATGAGGGCTCTGTTCTGTTCCATTTGTCTATATGTCTGTTTTTGTACCAGTACCATGTTGTTTTGGTTACTGTTGTCTTGTAGTATAGTTTAAAGTTAGGTAGCGTGATGCCTCCAGCTTTGTTCTTTTGGCTTAGGATTGACTTGACAATGCAGGATCTTTTTTGACTCCATATGAACTTTAAAGTAGTTTTTTCCAATTCTGTGAAGAAAGTCATTGGTAACTTGAGGGGGATGGCATTGAATCTATAAATTACCTTGGGCAGTATGGCCATTTTCACGATACTGATTCTTCCTACCCATGAGCATGGAATGTTCTTCCATTTGTTTGTATCCTCTTTTATTTCATTGAGCAGTGGTTTGTAGTTCTCCTTGAAGAGGTCCTTCATGTCCCTGGTAAGTTAGATTCCTAAGTATTTTATTCTCTTTGAAGCAATTGTGAATGGGAGCTCACTCATGATTTGGCTCTCTGTTATTGGTGTATAAGAATGCCTGTGATTTTTGCACACTGATTTTGTATCCTGAAACTTTGCTGAATTTTGGTATTTTTAGTAGAGATGGGGTTTGCTGAATGCAGCCCCCAGTCACGTACTCCCTGCTTGGTCAATCGATCATGACCCTCTCATGTGGACTCCCTTAGATTTGTGAGCCCTTAAAAGGGACAAGAGTTGCTCACTTGGGGAGCTGGGTTGTTAGAGACATGCGCCACCATGCCCAGCTAATTTTTTTATTTTTAGTAAAGACGGGGTTTCACCATGTTGGTTGGCCAGAATAGTCTCGATCCCTTGACCTCGTGATCTGCCCACCTCAGCCTCCCAAAGTGCTGGGATTACAGGTGTAAGCCACTGCACCCAGCCCAGAGAAGGCTTTTCCTACTTGCTTCACAGCCTCCTGCATCCTACACCAGCACCAGGCTCTCACCACCTGTGGGCTGCCCTCATCTGTGATCATCTCTCCCCAGGCCTGCTGTTCCTCAAGAAAGGAAGTTGTAATGGACAGAATACTAAGACAGCCCCCAAGAGACCCACTCCCTTATATCTGCTCCCTGTATCATCTCCTCTTCTTGAGTGTGTGCAGAGCTTGTGATTTGGCCAAGAGGAAGGAATTTTGCAAATGTGATTATGGTCACAGTTGCTTTGTTAAGCACATTTGTTCAGCTGACTTTGAGTTCATCCAAAGCAGGATGATCTTAGGTGGGCCAGACCTAATCAGGTGAATCTTTTAAAGGTGAAGTTTCAGAGGTTCAACCCTTAGCCTCCAAGGAGACACAAATGGCCATGCTGTGAGCTGTCTTTGGAGGTGGCAGCTCTAGGAGTTGAGGGCCTTCATTCAACAATTGCAAGATATTGAATTCAGTCCACAAACTGAATAAGCTTGGAAGAGGATACTGAGCATCCCATGAGACCCCAGCTCCAACTGACACTCTGGTTGCAGTATTGTGACCCTGAATAGAGGACCCAGTTAAACCCTGCCCAGACCCTTGGTGGTGTTTTAAGCTGCTCAGTTTGCACTGGTAAATCCACCAACAGGAAAGTAATATAGAAGTTAAATGGGCCGGACGTGGTGGCTCATGCCTGTAATCCCAACACTTTGGGAGGCTAAGGTGGGTGGATCACAAGGTCAAGAGATGGAGACCATCCTGGCCAACATGGTGAAACCCCGTCTCTACTAAAAATACAAAAATTAGCCAGGCGTGGTGGCACACACCTGTAATCCCAGCTACTTAGGAGGCTGAGGCAGGAGAATCACTTGAACCCAGGAGGCGGAGGTTGCAGTGACCCGGGACCATGTCACTGCACTCCAACCTGGGCAACAGAGAGAGACTCCATCTCAAAAATATATATATATATATATATTTTTTTTTTTAAACGAATACTTTTGACCATTGATGGAAGTTACTTTCATTCCCTCTTACTTAATCATCTTTATCTTAGCCCTGAAAGAGGGATGCTTTAACCTCATTTGTAACAAGTGAGTCTGAGGCTCAGGAAAGTGATAGAATTTAGCAAAGTTCACCTTGCTACCTGGTGGCCCCAGCTAGAACTCAGACCCAGATCCATATACCTAAAGTCATTACAACATCAACTAAAATTTTGCCCCTCACTCCATGCCTTCCTCTTAAGAAGCCTGTTCCTTCAGGGATAGATCCCAACCCAGTGTTACAAGGTACTGAACTCTGATTTTCACAAAATATAGTAACTACCCCCCAAAATTAGTAATAGTATTTTTGAGCCGGGCACGGTGGTTCATGCCTGTAATTCCAACACTTTGGGAGGCTGAGGTGGGCAGATCATGAGGTCAAGAGCATCCTGGACAACATGGTGAAACCCCATCTCTACTAAAAATACAAAAATTAGCTGGGAGTGGTGGCAGGTGTCTGTAATCCCAGCTACTAGGGAGGCTGAGGCAGGAGAATCGCTTGAACCCAGGAGGCAGAGTTTGCAGTGAGCTGAGATTGCACCACTGCACTACAGCCTGGCAACAGAGCAAGACTCTGTCTCAAAAAAAAAAAAAAAAAAAAAAACTAAAAAAAACTATTTTTGAGTCCTTATGTGTCAACCACTGGGCTATCCCAACACCAACAGATACTATGATTATGATTAGTTTTTCCATTTTATTGATGAGGAAGCCAACACATAGAAAGGTAAAGGAACTTGCCAAAGGTGATGGTCACACAGCCAAAGAGCTGTAGAAGCAGCACAGGAATCCCAGCAAACTCACAGCCAAGCTCTGCTTTTCACCTTCACATCATACTGTCCTCAGACTAAAACCCTAACTCTGACCTTCCCAATCAAAAATCATACTCAAGGCCGGGCACAGCGGCTCACGCCTGTCATCTCAGCACTTTGGGAGGCTGAGACAGGTGGATCACCTGAGGTCAGGAGTTCCAGACCAGCCAGGCCAACATGGTGAAACCCCATCCCTACTAAAAATACAAAACTTAGCCAGGTGCGGTGGTGGTTGTCTGTAGTCCCAGCACTTTGGGAGGCTGAGGCATGAAAATCACTTGAACCCAGGAGGCAGAAGTTGCTGTTATCCATGATCATGCCACTGCACTCCAGCCTGGGCAAGAGAGTGAGACTCTGTCTCAAAAAAAAAAAAAAAAAAAAAAAAAAAAAAAAAAAAAAAATTGTGCTTAGTAATAGCTTGGAAGTGCACATATCTTCTGTGAAGTTTGATGGACTACAGTTAGCTTCAAAACACAAATAAGTAACTGCATTTAAATGAGACCTTCTGTGTAATAGCTAGGGAAAGTCAATGTAGATATTCATATTTTGGTTCCTCTTCCAGGCACAGAGAAGTTGCCCATGACTCTTTGATCTGTTTTGTCCAATGAACCATGAGCAGGAGCAACTTGAGTCACCTCCAGGTGGAAGTGTTAAGAGGCTCTATGATCCACCACATTCTCTTTCCCCTGAAGTGGTGATCAAGGACACATGCAGAGATGGGGCTTTTGTCAGCCTGGATCCCTGAGTGAACACAATGAACAGACCACCCCACAATGCCCTAACACAGCCCAGACATGCAACGTGACCAAGAATAAGCCTCACTGTGGCCAGACATGGTGGCTCATGCCTGTCATCCCAGCACTTTGGGAGGCCAAGGCGGGTGGATCATTTGAGGTCAGGAGTTCAAGACCAACCTGGCTAACATGGTGAAATACTGTCTCTACTAAGTACAAAAATTAGCCAGACAGTGATGGCATGGGCCTGTAATCCCAGCTACTCAGGAGGCAGGAGAATCACTTGAGTCTGGGAGGCAGAGGTTGCAGTGAGCTGAGATTGCACCACTGCACTCTAGTCTGGGTGACAGAGTGAGACCCTGTCTCAAAAACAAACAAACAAATACCTCACTGCATGAGGCCACTGAGATTTGGGGATTGTTGTTACAGCACCAGAACGCAAATCATCCTGACTGCTAGGGTGTCCTAACTAGGGTTTCTTACCAAAAGCAAAGGCATTTTTAAAGTTCGTGACATTTAAACAAAAGAGCAAATACCAATATCTACCACTTTGTCAGGCTAACAAACCCAAACAAAGCCAACAGCCAGAAGTTAAAATAAACAGATCATTAGGTTGAAAATAGAACTGTCAAAACAGGCCCAATTGACTTCATTTAGTGATTGCAAAGAACATCAGGCAAGACACAGGTATGCTCATCATAACATTTATCACATGCTTAATTGCACATGTTTGACTAAGAAAAACACAAAGTATTTAAGCTCATCTGTAGTTCAAAGTGCCTATCCATGTATTTATCTATTCATCCTGATGTATTTATTGAGCAACTCTTTTGTGCCAGGCACTGTGCTGTGTTGCGGGAAGTCAGGGACCCCAAACGGAGGGACCAGCTGAAGCCATGACAGAAGAACGTGGATTATGAAGATTTTATGGACATTTATTAGTTCCCCAAATTAATACTTTTGTAATTTCTTATGCCTGCCTTTACTGCAATCTCTAAACATAAATTGTAAAGATTTCATGGACACTTATCACTTCCCCAATCAATACCCTTGTGATTTCCTATGCCTGTCATTACTTTAATCTCTTAATCCTGTCAGTCGAGAAGGATGTATATCGTCTCAGGACCTGTAATAATTGCGTTAAGTACACAAATTGTACAGCATGTGTGTTTGAGCAATATGAAATGTGGGCACCCTGAAAAAAGAACCGGATAACAGCAATTGTTCAGGGAATAAGAGAGATAACCTTAAACTCTGACCGCCCGGTGAGCCGGGCAGAACAGAACCATATTTCTCTTCTTTCAAAAGCAAATGGGAGAAATATCGTTGAATTCCTTTTCTCAGCATGGAACGTCCCTGAGAAAGAGAATGCGCACCTAGGGGTAGGTCTCTGAACTGGCCCCCCGGGGCATACCTGTCTCTTATGGTCGAGATTGCAGAGGTGAAATAAACTCCAGTCTCCCATAGCACTCCCAGGCTTATTAGGAAGAGAAAATTCCCGCCTAATAAACTTTGGTCAGACGGGTTGATCTCAAAACCCTGTCTCCTCATAAGATGTTATCAATGACAATGGTGCCAAAACTTCATTAGCAATTTTAATTTCACTTCCGTCCTGTGGTCTGGCCCTGTCTCCACTTGCCTTGTGATATTCTATTACCCTGTGAAGTACTTGATGTCTGTCACCCACACCTATTCATATACTCCCTCCCCTTTTGAAACTCCCTAATAAAAACTTGCTGGTTTTTGTGGCTTGTGGGGCATCACGGATCCTACCAATGTGTGATGTCTCCCCCAGATGCCCAGCTTTACAATTTCTCTCTTTTGTACTCTGTCCTTTTATTTCTCAAGCCAGTCGACGCTTAGGAAAATAGAAAAGAACCTACGTGATTATCGGGGCAGGTCCCCCGATATCTGGCGCCCACGTGGTCTTTCTTTTTTCCTAAGTGCATGAGGGAACCGGATTCCCTTTGGTAGGTGCGGTGAAACGTCAATCGGCTTGGTCCACAGATAAGCGTGTTCAACTCCCCGACGAGTGGTGAGTAATCTGTGTAAGGTCTGGGTTAACTGTGGGTCATGTGTAATCTAACAAACTCCTGTTAAAACCGGTAACCATGAAAAATATGATCACTCTATTCAGGGCAGTAGAAAAATACTGTTCTTGGTTTCCTGAAAAAGGAACGGTGTATATAAAATTGTGTGATTGTGTCCGTAAGGCATTCCGAAAACTGATCTCGGCCGGGTATTATGTGCCCATCACTGTTTGGGGTGCTTGGTGCGTGACATCTTCGTGGCTTGCCAATCTCGTGACCCCCTGCAGTTGCCGCAGTTTTCTGCCTTTTCCTCAGTTTCTCTGCCTTTTTCTCAACCTTCCTCTCCCACATGGCCTTCGTTCAGACTCTCCCTTCAGCTACTCCTCCCCTCCCTAACGATTCTGAAAATTCGATTTCTAACTCTGGTAACTTTGGCTTAAAGTTACCCCCTACTTTTCTTACTTCTTCCCACGAAAAGCCGGTACTTCACACTCCTGCGGCTGTGACTCACAAAGCCCGGTAACATAAATATGCTAATTCTTCTCTCTTCAAACCTCCAGCATCAAATAATGGCTCTGGGACCAAACTACAATTTACCTGTCATTCTCCAGGCCCTCCCCCATCCACTACAGCCCCTCACCCTCCTGTCGTTTCAGTTCCTCAGCCAGTCTGCATCGATAGGCGCCGCTCAATCTTACCTTTTTAAAAACAATTTAAGGATGCTTGTACTCAGTATGGTCCTACTTTTCCTTATGTTCAAATGGTATTGCAAACTTTTTATACTGAGGTTGTTTTGCTTCCTTTAGACTGTGATCTTTTGGCAAAAAGCTGTTCTAAGTCCATCTCAGCCTGGTGGTCAGAGGAGGCCTGTTTACAGGCTCAGCTAAATCGGAGTAATGGCATTCTAATTACTCAGGCTCAGCTCACAGGCTCCGATAGTTTCTCTGATGCTTATGCCCAATTAAACTTTGATACTCTTACCACAAAACAAGTAACAAAAGTGTGTATGAGAGCTTGGGATAAACTACACTCCCGAGCCCAAGCTCTTGTTTCTTTTACTACTGTTAAACAAGTTCAATTGCTTTTACTACCTAATATCCTTTTAAACAAAGGAGATAAGACAAGTGGCCCTGGGATTCAGCAGTGGCCGCTTTCTAAAGAAAAACTGGAGGCTTTAAATCAATTGGTTTCTGAGCAGTTACAACTTGGAAATGTGGAACCTTCTCTTTCCCCTTGTAATTCTCCTGTGTTTCTAGTAAAAAAGAAATCAGGCAAATGGCGGATGGTAACCGATTTAAGGGCCATTAATGCTGTAATTAAACCTATAGGGGCCGTCCAACCCGGCATGCCTGCCCCTGCTTTAATACCTAAAGATTGGCCTCTCATACTTATTGATCTTAAAGAGGTTTTTTTTTTCATATCGCTTTACATAAATCGGATTGTGAAAAATTTGCTTTTACTGTACCATCTATCAATAATCAGGAGCCTGTAGCTCGTTATCAATGGAAAGTACTTCCTCAGGGAATGCTAAATAGCCCTACAATCTGCCAGCTTTATGTTGGACAAGTGCTTTCACCAGTTTGAGCCCGATTTCCCGAGGCCTATATTCTTCATTATATTGATGATATTTTAATTTCTGCCCCCACTGATAAAAAATTAATTGACTGTTACCAAATTTTGAACCGCTGTGTTACAGAGGCTGGATTACGCATTGCTCAGGATAAAATTCAACAGACCACTCCTGTTCAATATTTAGGAATGGTGGTCGATAAACAATGTATTCAACCTCAAAAAGTTCAAATTAGGAGAGATTCTTTAAAAACTTTAAATGACTTCCAAAAACTTTTGGGTAACATTAATTATTTAAGACCTACTTTAGGCATTCCGACCTATACCCTGTCTAACTTGTTCTCTATGCTGCGGGGAGATTCTGATCTCCGCAGCCCTAGGACTTTGACCCCTGAGGCTTTACTGGATCTGGAATTTGTAGAGGAAGAAATCCAGACCGCCCAGTTATCTAGAGTACAGACATTTCAGCCTTTTCAGCTTCTGGTTTTTGCTTCATTACACTCTCCTACTGGACTAATAGTTCAACATAATGATTTAGTGGAATGGTGTTTTCTTCCTCATTCTGTGTCAAAAACTTTATCTAGACCAAATAGCCATATTAATTGGACAGGTTCGGTGCAGAATACTTCAATTTTCTGGATTTGATCCAAGTGTAATTGTAGTTCCTTTAAATCAGCTCGAAGTTCAAGCTGCCTTTCAACATTCTGTACTGTGGCAAATTCACTTGGCTGATTTTATTGGTGTTATTGACGATCATTATCCAAAAAAACAAATTGTTTGATTTTATAAAAATAACGTCTTGGGTGGTTCCTAGATTAACCAAAAATCAACCCATTCCTGAGGCCGTTACAGTATTCACTGATGGCTCTGGTAATGGCAATGCTGGCTATACAGGTCCTGCAGACAAACTTCTTTCTACCTCTTATACTTCTCTTCAAAATGCGGAGTTAATTGCTGTGATTACTGCCTTACAGGATTTCCCCAAACCTTTAAATATTGTCTCTTATTCTACTTAACGTGGGGAAGAGGATATGCTTGTGTTTCACCAGGAGATCATCAATCCCCTGTCTGGGTGCCCACCAGAAGACTCAAGCTTCTTGTGAATACTGACAATCAAAACCACAGTGAAGAGACGTCTGTGTCAGAGACTGCCTTCAGATGTGGTGAGATCTGTGCCGACTCCTCAGAAACAGGCACACCAAATCACAATGGGTGTAAATCAATCCTCCCTGATGACAGTGGAGACCCATCTAACTAATCACACTTATCCTGATTACCTTTCTTTTTCTCCTTACAAACCTAAATATCTCACCATTTCTATTAGCCTGAAAATAACATCCCACTCTTCTTCTCTTTCTCCTTCAGCACTCCATCTCGCTTACACTAGGTTTTATTTAATGATTCTCCTCCTTATACTTTCTGTCTCACCAGTTTCCTCTCACACTGATTTACCTGCTACACATAATTATTCTTCTTGGGCTTAGGTGTCTTTTCCTCCACTTATTCGCTCTCTCACCCGGATAGATGCTCCCGCAGAAATCTACACTAACGATAGTGTGTGGATGCCTGGAGCCATAGACGACCCTTGCCCCGCACAACCAGGAGAAGAAG
The DNA here is from genome assembly GCF_000001405.40 of Homo sapiens. Lineage (NCBI taxonomy): Eukaryota > Metazoa > Chordata > Mammalia > Primates > Hominidae > Homo > Homo sapiens. The sequence continues at coordinate 7,155,475 of NC_000008.11, read as the reverse complement.
GCACTGCATTTAATGTTACCATGGGTTATAAATACCCACCTCTGTGCCTCGGACATGCACCTGGTTGCATCCATCTAGAAACTTAGTTCTGGGCTGCTTATCTTTCAGAAACATCAGCTACAGATAAAATGGGACATTTGGCCTCTGGCCTCTCCCTTTCTCCTTTACAACAAATGAAAGGAGGAGTAATGGGAGGTACCCCATACTTTCAATATAAACCTGCAGGAAAACCATGCCCTAAACATTTTGAGGGACCATCTAAAACTTTAATTTGGGAAGATTGTGTTAACTCACATGCAGTAATATTAAAAAATGACTCATATGGTTTAGTAATAGACTGGGCACCATAGGGCTATTTAAAAAACAATTGCTCCTCTGTGGAAGGGAATGCCTGGAGGCTACTTATTTTATTTCTTATCCGGAGAAAGAGAATCATCATTCTACTTTGCATAGAAGGATCAGCTCATTCTTTCCCTTAAAATGGGAAGATAAAGGCATTACCCGCCCCCTCCAGGCCTCCTATGACACTCCCTATTCTGAGCCCAGAACACCCAGAACTTTGGAAATTGGCTATTGCCATGGCTGGACTGCGAGTATGGGAAGGAAAAACTATTTTGACTGTTGTTCCCACTACCGTCCCATTCTCTCAGTATCATCGTAGACCCAGACATTCTGCTTCACTTACCTCCAACCTGACTGTTCCCATACAGAGTTGTGTTGAGCCTCGTTACATGCTATTGGTAGGAAATATCAAAATTTGGATGAATAATCAAACTGTCCAGTGCGTCAATTGTCATCTATACACTTGTATTAACTCCCATTTTGACTCCAGGAAAAGTGTAATGTTGGTTCAAGCTGGAGAAAGAATCTGGATTCCGATAACTTTACCTCGACCTTGGGAATTCTCCCCCTCAATACATTTAATTAATGAAGTGGTACAACGAATTCAAAAAAGATCTGGTACAACGAATTCTAAAAAGATCTAAGAGATTTGTTTTCACTTTAATCGCTGTTATCATGGGCCTAATTACAGTCACTGCAATGGCCACCACTGCCGGAATGGAATTACACCAGTCTATTCAAACGGCTCATTTTGTTAATGATTGGCAAGCCAATTCCACCCAAATGTGGAATTCTCAACAAGACATCGATCAAAAATTGGCAAAGCAAATTAATGATTTAAGACAGTCTGTTATTTGGCTTGGAGATCAGGTAGTGAGTCTAGAACATCGCATGCAAATGCAGTGCGATTGGAATACTTTGGATTTCTGCATCACCCCTATTCCTATAACGAGACTGATCATTCATGGGAAACGGTCAAAGGACACCTTCTAGGTAGAAAAGGTAATTTATCATTGAAAACAACTAAATTAAAAAAGCAAATTTTTGAAGCCTCCCAAGCTCACTTATCCATCGTGCCTGGAGCTCAGGCGTTAGATCAGGTGGCAGAAAATCTTTATGGATTAAGTCTATTGGGGGATCCACTGTACTAAATTTTGGAATTATGTTTCTCTGCTTAATCGGCTTGCTTTTAGTGTGCCGTACCAGTCAAATAATCCTGTGTCAAAATCGAGAGAACGAACAAGCCTTCATCGCCATGGCACATTTATATAAAAAGAAAGGGAGAGATGTTGCGGGAAGTCAGGACCTCAAACGGAGGGACCGGCTGAAGCCATGACAGAAGAACGTGGATTATGAAGATTTTATGGACATTTATTAGTTCCCCAAATTAATACTTTTGTAATTTCTTATGCCTGTCTTTACTGCAATCTCTAAACATAAATTGTGAAGATTTCATGGACACTTATCACTTCCCCAATCAATACCCTTGTGATTTCCTATGCCTGTCTTTACTTTAATCTCTTAATCCTGTCAGTCGAGAAGGATGTATATCGTCTCAGGACCTGTAATAATTGCGTTACATACACAAATTGTACAGCATGTGTGTTTGAGCAATATGAAATGTGGGCACCCTGAAAAAAGAACAGGATAACAGCAATTGTTCAGGGAATAAGAGAGATAACCTTAAACTCTGACCGCCGGTGAGCCGGGCAGAACAGCACCATATTTCTCTTCTTTCAAAAGCAAATGGGAGAAATATCGTTGAATTCCTTTTCTCAGCATTGAACGTCCCTGAGAAAGAGAATGCGCACCTAGGGGTAGGTCTCGGAACTGGCCACCCATGGCGTACCTGTCTCTTATGGTCGAGATTGCAGAGGTGAAATAAACTCCAGTCTCCCATAGCACTCCCAGGCTTATTAGGAAGAGAAAATTCCCGCCTAATAAACTTTGGTCAGACGGGTTGATCTCAAAACCCTGTCTCCTGATAAGATGTTATCAATGACAATGGTGCCAAAACTTCATTAGCAATTTTAATTTCACTTCCGTCCTGTGGTCCTGTGATCTCACCCTGTCTCCACTTGCCTTGTGATATTCTATTACCCTGTTAAGTACTTGATGTCTGTCACCCACACCTATTCATATACTCTCTACACTTTTGAAACTCCCTAATAAAAACTTGCTGGTTTTTGTGGCTTGTGGGGCATCACGGATCCTACCAATGTGTGATGTCTCCCCCCAGACGCCCAGCTTTACAATTTCTCTCTTTTGTACTCTGTCCTTTTATTTCTCAAGCCACTCGACACTTAGGAAAATAGAAAAGAACCTACCTGATTATCAGGGCAGGTCCCCCGATAGTGTTGGATGGTGGTAATGAAACGATGAAGATGGCAGGCATGCATCTGCCCTCCAGGAGTTTCTAGGATACAGAGGGACAAATAAAAAATAAGTAAATCCATGAAAGAAGTATAGGCAGAACCTGCCCCCAATATTTCAATGTAGGTTCTTTCTATTTTCCATAAGTGTCAGCCAGCTGAGAAATAAAGAGAGACACTACAAAGAGGAATTTTACAGCTGGGCTGCTGCGGGTGACATTACACATCAGTAGGACCGTGATGCCCCCTGAGTCTCAGATGAGCAAGTTTTTATTAAGGGCTTCAAAAGGGAAGGGGGTGTAAGAACAGGGAGTAGGTACAAAGGTCACATGCTTCAAAGGGCAAAAAGCAGAACTACTACTAAGGGTCTAACAAAGATCACGTGCTTCTGAGGGAACAGGACAAAGGACAAAAGCAGAACTACTGATAAGTGTCCAGCAAAGATCACAAAGCAAAGGGCAAAAGCAGAACCACTGATAAGGGTCTATGTTCAGCGGTGCATGTATTGTCTTGATAAACATCTTAAACAACAGAAAACAGGGTTCAAGAGCAGAGAACCAGGCTGACCACAGATATATCAGGGCGGAGTTTTTCTCCACCCTAGTAAGCCTTTGGGTACTGCAGGAGACCAGGGCGTATCTCAGTCCTTATCTCAACCGCATAAGACAGACATTCCCAGAGCGGCCATTTATAGAACTTCCCCCAGGAATGCATTCCTTTCCCAGGGTATTACTATTAATATTCCTTGCTAGGAAAAGAATTTAGCGATATCTCTCCTACTTGCACATCCGTTTATAGACTCTGCAAGAAGAAACATATGGCTCTTTTTGCCCAACCCTGCAGGCAGGCAGACCTTATGGATGTCTTCCTTTGTTCCCTAAAAATTGCTGTTATTCTCTTTTTCAAGGTGCACTGATTTCATATTGTTGAAATACACATGTTTTACAATTTGTACAGTTAACACAATTATCACAGTGGTCCTGAGGTGATGTACATCCTTAGCTTATGAATATAACAGAATTAAGAGATAAAAGACAGGTATAAGAAATTATAAAAGTATTATTTGGGAACTGATAAATGTCCATGAAATCTTCACCATTTATGTTCCTCTGCCATGGCTCCAGCCAGTCCCTCTCCATTTGGGGTCCCTGACTTCCCACAACAAGAAACAATAAGACGTTAAGGTGGAGAAGAGCAGGGTCAGGGAAGAGCTGTCTGTGGAAGCACCATTTTAGCTGACACCTAAAGGATGGTCTAATTTGGGGAGGTGCAGAGGAAAATCATTCCAGGCTGAAGCAGCAAGTGCAAAGGCCGTGTTGTGGAAAAAGGTTTGAAAGTCCAAGAAAACAAAAGGAGGCCATAGCGGCTGAAATAGAGTAGGCCAAGGGCAGGAGATAGGAGAGGGCTGGAGAGGTGGCAGGAACAGGCAGAAGACTCGGGGTCTCGATTTTATTCTATGTACCATGGGCAGGAAAGGCAGGGATGAGACTCAATGGACACCTTAAGATCACTGAAGTTGCCAGGTAGGAAATGGATTGCTGAGCATGGAGAGCAGGTGCAGAGTACCAGTTAAGACCAGTTAGGAGGCTGCTGTAGCCTAGCTGAGATAGCGGTGTCCTAGGCAAAGATAATGACAGTGAAGCTACAGAGACTGGACAAGTTGGATAAAGTTTAGAATCACAGGACTTGCTGACTGGAGAAGAGGGCAAAAGCAGAGTTAGCACAACACATGAGTTATGACCACCTTGAGCAGCTCAGCAGGGGGTGGTGCCATTTACAGAACAGAGATGGCATGGACAGAGCCCATGGAGAAGGAGGAGGAAAAAGAGAGTTTAGCTTTGGGTTTTTTTTTTTTAAGACAGGGTCTCTGGCTGTGTCACCCAGGCTGGAGTGCATTGGTGCAATCATAGCTCTTTGCAGCCTCAAACTCCTGGGCTCAAGTGATCCTCCTGCCTCAGCCTGCCATGTAGCAGGACTACAGATCCTACAGATGCACATCACCATGCCTAGCTTTTTTTTTTTTTTTTTTGTAGATAGGGAGCCTCACTGTGTTTTCCAGGCGGGCTTCCAACTCCTGGCCTCAAGTAATCCTCCCACCTCAGCCTCCCATAGCACTGGGATTACAGCCATCACCTACCACTCCAAGCCATGAGTTTGGCTTTGGATGTAACAAGGTTGAGGTGTTCATGAGTTGACAAGTGGAAAAAACAGGAAAGAAGTTGAGTGTTTAAGACTGCTGTTTGAAGGAGAAGTCTAGCCTCAAGACAAAAGTTCAGGACTCATTAGCTGAGAAATGGCACTGAAAATTATGTAAATGGATGAGCTCAGATAGCAAACAAGTCCAGAGAGAGCAGAAAGTCCAGAGAGAGCAGCACTGGGCTATGCATCTGGCCTAATGCCACCCCGCTCCTCCCAATCCCTGTGTTATGCAGGAGAGGGTTCAGCCTCTGGTGAGTTTCACCAAACCCCCACATCTCTTACTTCTGAAACCTTCTCTAAAATCCCCTCTTTTATACTTAGTGAAATGGGATTCTCTTTTTCCCATCCAGCTTAAGCAGAAACTTTTGACTATGAGAAGAATGAGGATGCATTTAGTATCTGTTCTGCATGGCTAATTCCATCAAAGATTTCTCATTATTCATGCCTGGCAGTCTCATTTTCTTCTTTTGCCTCTAAGAGCACAGTCGTAGCCTTAATTACTGACATTTTCACTCTTCTAATACCAGCGATTTACCCCATCTCAGTTCTCAGGAAGTTCTGTTCGCAGAATTATCTCCTGAGTCCTCACCTGGAGATATAAATTGTTCTCTGTGGCCATTTCTTCCTACTCTAATTCTTATCAAAAAACTCAGTGATCTCTGTGCATCAGTTATTAAACTCAAGCTCAACAGATCATGATTCTGGCTTGTCTGTCTCTCCTGCCTGTGGGTTAACAGGTATGCAACCTTTGCAGAGGAGACACCAAATTCTCAGGAGGCCAGAGTTTCCAAAGGTACTGGTCACTCTTGCTCTCTTTCTCCTGCTCAAAATTCAGCACTAGAGAGTGTTACACCATTGCACCTGCAGAGGAGTTCATCTGACTCTAGGGACTACAGAGGAGAGAGATGGACAAACTAACAGGCATTCAGAAAACGACTACCACAATGGGGAAGAAAATGAAAGTCAAACCAAATAAGCAATGATCAAAAAAACAAGAAAAATCTAGAGGGCAGCTGCAGTGGCTCACAGGTGTAATCTCAGCACTTTGGGAGGCCGAGGCAGGTGGATCACTTGAGATCAGGAGTTCGAGACCAGCCAGGGCAACATAGTGAAACCACATCTCTACTAAAAATAAAAGAATTAGCCAGGTGTGGTGGCGGCCACCTGTAATCCCAGCATTTTGGGAGGCCGAGGTGGGTGGATCGCCTGATGTCAGGAGTTTGAGACCAGCCTGGCCAACATGATGAAACCCTATTTCTATTAAAAAATACAAAAATTAGCCAGGTGTGGTGGCAGGTGCCTGTAATCCCAGCTACTTGGGAGGCTGAGGCAGGAGAATTGCTTGAACCCAGGAGGCAGAGGTTGTGGCGAGCAAAGAATGCACCACTGCACTCCAGCCTGGGCAACAGTGAGACTTTGTCTCAAAAAAAAAAAAACAACCTAGAGATGTCCATCCAGGCTGAACAGAATATTCCAGAGCAGACGTTGGGACACTATGGCCCATGGGCCAAATCTGACCTGCTTGCACATGTGTTTGTCAATAAAGTTTTATTGAAACACAGCCATGCACATTTGCTACATATTGTCTATGGCTGCTGGATTTGGCTGTTCTCTCATGCTATAAAGAAATACCTGAGATTGGGTAATATATAAAGAAAAGAGGTTTAATTGGCTCGCAGTTTTGTAGGCTATACAGGGAGCATGACACTGACATCTGCTGAGCTTCTGTGGAGGCCTCAGGAAACTTACAATGATGGCAGAAGGTGAAGCGGGAGCAAGAGAGTAAGGAGGGAGGTGCGACACACTCGTAAACAACCCGATCTTGCAAGAACTCACTCACTATTGCAAGGACAGGACCAAAAGGACGATGCAAAATCATTCATGAGAAATCCACCCCCATGATCCAATCTCTTCCCACCAGGCCCCACCTCTAACACTGGGGACAGCTTTTATCTTGGCTTTTTCACTGGCAGCCCCTTCCTCAAGGACTTAACTTGTGCAAGCTGACTCTTAGCACATCTAAGAATGCAATTAACTGATAAGATACTGTGGGGCGAGCAATATCCGCAGTTCCCAGGAATTTGTCCGATTGATAATGCCTAAAGCCCCACGTCTATCACTTTGTAATAGTCTTAAAGCCCTTAGACCTAGAACTGTTTACTTTCCTGTAACAATTTATCCTTTTAACTTTTTTGTCTACTTTACTCCTGTAAAATTCTTTTAACTAGACCCGTTTCCCCTTTCTAAACTGAAGTATAAAAGAAAATCTAGCCCCTTCTTCGGGGCCAAGAGAACTTTAAGAGTTAGCCATTTCTTGGCCACCAGCTAAATAAGCAGACTCTTAATTCATGCGAAAGTGTGGCATTTTCTCTAACTCATTCAAGTACAACATTGGGAGGCCCCAGCGAGAAACGCCATAGGCGAGAGCCGGGCTCCCCCGGAAGGACGGCCGGCTTGTGGGGGGTGCCACCTAAAAAAAAATCTTCAGGTCCTCGAAAGGTGACCATCTTCCAGAGGAGAGCGGATCGACTACCCTGTGGGTGCCCATAAGAATTCCACCTCTGAGTCCTCGACTTCTGACCCCGAGGTCAGGTAGGTCAGATTTGACTTCAGTTCTAGTAAGAGGGAAGCGGCCCTGATGAGGGTGTCCCTCTTTCGACTCTGCCTGTTTCTCTAGGACGCTAGAAGGTAGAGCCCTGGTTTTCTGTCAGGCACCTCTGTGTCTCTTTCTAGGAGGGAAGTGGCCCTGACAGGGGCCCTCCCTTGACTCAGTCCACATCCCAGGATGCTGGAGGACTGAGTCCTGGTTTCTGGCAGACCGGTCATTCTCTCTCTCTCCTTTTCTATCTCTCATCTTTCTCTTGTTCGAGTTTCTTGAAGAATCTCCAAGAAAGAAAAAAAAAACTGTTATATACTCTGTGTGAATAATGAATGAGTGAGGGAGGACAAGGGCTCGCGCTTGTCCTCCAGTTTGTAGCTCCACGGCGAAAGCTACGGAGTTCAAGTAGGTCCTCACCTCACCTGCGGTTCCGTGGCGACCTCATAAGGCTTAAGGCAGCATCAGGCATAGCTCGATCTGAGCCGGAAGTTTATTCCTGCCTGCCAATGCTAAGAGGAGCCCAAGTCCCCTCAGGGGGAGCGGCCAGGCAGGCATCTGACTGATCCCATCACAGGAAACCCTCCCCTTGTCTGTCTGAAAAAAAAAAAAAGGAAGAAACTGTCCTAATCATCCACACGGTAGTCGATCCGCTCTCCTCTGGAAGACGGTCACCTTTCGGGGACCTGCAATTTTTTTTCAGATGGCACCCCCCCACAAGCCGGCCGTCCTTCTGGGGAAGCCCGGAGCGAGCCCAGCTCTTGCCTCGTGGCGTTTCTCACTCGGGCCTCCAAATGTTGTACTTGAGCGAGTTAGAGAAAATGCCACACTTTGACATGAATTAAGTCTGTTTATTTAGCTGGCGGCCAAGAGATGGCCTTGAGGAAGGGGCTGCCAGTGAAAAAGCCAAGACAAAGTCTGTCTAGCTCTCTTAGCTAAAAGAAAGTCAATTCAGGTAGAAACAAGGCTAAGTGATTAAAAGAAAAGGAAAGTCTAAGAACAAAGTTAATAAAAACAAGGTTAGGCATTACAGATGGGGTCATCCTTATATTCAGCACAGTGTTTGTCCTGAAACTTCAATGGAGTGCTCCTAGTTTGATAACTTGGACCATGCCAAATAAATTGAATTTCTCCTTCTTAACAACAGATGTTTGAATACAGCCCCGTGTTCCTCTCTGCTCCTTCCAGCCTTCCTCCTCTCCTCTCCCTTCCTTTCCTTTTCAAGAGCAGGGTTTGCAAGCTTTTACTTGAAAGCATCAGATAGTAAATATTTTAGACTTCGTGGGCCATACAGTCTCTTGTAGTAGATACTGAGCTCTGTCACCCATAGAATGAAAGCAGCTGACAGGTTGAATATGTGTCCGCTCCCAAATCTCATGTTGCAATGTAATCCCAAGTGTTAGAGGTGGGGCCTGATGGGAAGAGATTGGATCACGGGGGTGGATTTCTCATGAATGATTTATCGTCATCCTTTTGGTCCTGTCTTTGCAATAGTGAGTGCGTTCTTGCAATATCTGGTTGTTTACGAGTGTGTAGCACCTCCCTCCTTACTCTCTTGCTCCCACTTCAGCTTCTGCCATCATTGTAAGTTTCCTGAGGCCTCTACAGAAGCTCAGCAGATGTCAGTGTCATGCTCCCTGTACAGCCTACAAAACTTGAGTATGTTTTTCTTCTCATTCTTTCTTACCTTCCCTCCAGCCCACACAACCCACATTCAGTGACCAAGTCACGTGGGTTTTACCTCCTAAATCTTTCTCATATCCTTCACTGCTCAGCCACTCTCCTGACACCATCATAAACCAAGCCACCATCACCTCCAGGTGTTTGACTGCAAATGCCTCCAGACTGGCCTCTGCTTTTCCCTGGCCCTGTGACAATCTGCACTCCTCACAGGGACCAAAGCAATCACTTCAGAAGGTGCATCCAAACAGATCACTCAACTTTCCGTGGCTCCCACTGCTGTGTGGGTTAACAATGATAAAAGCTCGGCCGGGCGCGGTGGCTCACGCCTGTAATCCCAGCACTTTGGGAGGCCGAGGCAGTCGGATCACGACGTTAGCAGATTCAGACTATTCTCGCTAACACGGTGAAACCCCGTCTCTACTAAAAATACAAAAAAATTAGCCAGGCGTGGTGGCGGGCGCCTGTAGTCCAGCTACTCCGGAGGCTGAGGCAGGAGACGGGCGTGAACTCGGGAGGTGGAGCTTGCAGTGAGTCGAGATCGCGCCACTGCACTCCAGCCTGGGTGACAGAGTGAGACTCCATCTCAAAAAAAAAAAAAAAAAAAAATGATAAAAGGTCACCTCTACTGAGCACACACTATCTCATTCCATCCCTACATCAGCCCTTGATCTCACCAGTGGGGAAGCTGGGACACAGAGTAGTTAGGTGGGATGCCCAAGGTGGGACCACTCGTGTAAGTTTCCACACCCTAATGTGAGACCCTCCATGACCTAGCCCCTCTCTTTCTCCAGCCTCATTTCCTGATTCTCTTGCTTGCCCTGCAGGCTTCAGCCACATAAACTTCTTGAAAGTGCCTTAAATCTGGCTGAGCGCAGTGCCTCTCGCCTGTAATCCCAGCACTTTGGGAAGCTGAGGCGGCTGGATCACCTGAGATCAGGAGTTCGAGACCAGCCTGGTCAACATGGTGGAACCCCATCTCTACTAAATATCCCAAAATTAGCCACGTGTGGTGGACGGCACCTGTAATCCTAGCTACTCGGGAGACTGAGGCAGGAAAATCGCTTGAACTCGGGAGGCAGAGGTTGCAGTGAGCCAGGATCGCACCACTCCACCCAAGCCTGGGCGTCAAGACTGAAAGTCCGTCTCAAAAACAAAAGTCCCTTAAATCTGCTCTATGCCTATCAACCTCAGGGACTTCACTATGCTGTTCCTCACCCTGAAATGCTGTTCCTCATTTCTCTACATAGTGAACTCATCCCACCCCCTAGGCCTCTCCTTAAGTGTCATCTCTTCAAGGAAGATTTTACTTTTTTAATATTACTATTATAATTCAGGTACCGTATGCTTTGCCAATTTAAAGTGAACAAATCAATAGTTTCAGTGCATTCACAGAGCTCGGCGACCACCATCATTATCAATTTTAAAACATTTTCATCACTCCAAAAGAAACCCTGTATCCATGAGCAGGTTCCTGCCATTTCCTCCTCCCACTAAGTCCTGACAATCTACTTTGAGATAGAGTCTCTATCACAGGCTGGAGTGCAGTGGCACAATCTCGGCTCACTGCAACCTCTGCCTCCCAGGTTCAAGCAATTCTCCTGCCTCCAGAGTAGCTGGGATTACAGGGATATGCCACCACGCCCATCTAATTTTGTATTTTTAGTAGAGACAGGGTTTCTGTCTTCATAGATTTGCGTGTTCTGGACATTTCATATAAATGAAATCTTCTAATATGTGACCTTTTGTGACTGGTTTCTTCTACTTAGCATAATATTCTCATAGTTCATCCGTGTTGTAGCACGTGTCAGTACTTCATTCCTTTTGATGACTGAATAATATTCCATTGCATGGTCAAACCATGTTCTATTTCTCCACTCATCAGTAGACAAGCATTTGTGTTGTTTTCACTTTGGCGCTATTATGAATAATGTTGCTATGAGCATTTGTGTACAAGTTTCTGCACGGACATATACTTTCATTTCTTTCATAAACTGGAGTGGAAGTGCTGGGTCATAGAACTCTGTGTTTAAGCTTTTGAAGAAGTGCCAGACTGTGTAAGAAAGAAAGCCTTTCCTCACTCCCTCTCTCCATTTATACGTTCTCTTTATGCCCTTTGCTTCTCTTTCAGAGCAATTCATGTTGACCTGGGTCACCCTCAACTTAAGGCTCATAACTCCCCTAGATCCTCAGGGTCCACACTAAATGTAATGAAATATGATGGAAGCCACATATTTACTTTTGCATTTTGTAGTAACCACATTTTAAAAAGTAAAACAAAAGAAGTGAAGGTAATTGGAATAATATCACAGATTTAAACAAATCTATCCGAAATACCAGGTCTACAAGTATAAAATATTTTAACATTAACAAAATACTTTGCTTTCTTTTTATATTAAGTCTTCACAATCTAATGTGTATTTGACACTTCTAGCACATCTCAGAATGATGGCAGCACCCCATATGGGGGGCCCTCCCATGATGCCAATGATGGGCCCTCCTCCTCCTGGGATGATGCCAGTGAGACCTGCTCCTGGAATGAGGCCACCCATGGAAGGCCACATGCCCATGATGCCTGGGTGCCCAATGATGAGACCTCCTGCCCGTCTCATGATGGTGCCCAGTCAGCCCAGAATGACTCAACCAGACAGATAAGGATAGAGGGGAGGCCTCATTACATCAGTGTTGTTTTGTTGTTATTATTGTTGTGTTTTCTTTGTTTGTAATGTTTTGTTTTGTTTTTGAGACACAGTCTTCCTCTGTCGCCCAGGCTGGAGTGCAGTGGCACGATCTCAGCTCACTGAAACCTCCACCTCCCGCGTTCAAGCGATTCCCCTGCCTCAGCCTCCTGAGTAGCTGGGACTACAGGCATGCGCACCATGCCCGACTGATTTTTTTTATTTTAGTAGAGACAGGGTTTCACCATGTTGGCCAGGATGGTCTCAATCTCCTGACCTCGTGACCCGCTCGCCTCAGCCTCCCAAAGTGCTGGGATTACAGGTGTGAGCCACTGCACCCGGCCTATATGAGTTTTATATTTACCTGCTCCCTTCACCAGGAGATCATGCTGCTGTGATGCCGGGTTTTCTTAACAGCATAAGGAAGACTTGCCCCGTTGCCCTATCAAAGAGAATAGTTTTGGAGGGGAGAAGTGGGACCAAAAAAGATGCAGTTTTCATTTGTATTGGGAAATGTGAAAATAAAATTGTCAACTCTTTTAGTTAAAAACAACAACAACAAAAAAAAGGAAACGAGATGTGGGGCTGCCACACGCAATATCGTGCATTACAAGGATCTTCTACTCTGGAGGAAAATATCTTTGCTGATGCCAGACCAACCTAACACAAAGACCTTTTGTTTTTTTAATGTGACTGTGTTTTATTTTAGAATGTGTAATTCACTTTAGAAGTGCAAAGTACCTGTCTGGGGAAGACTATTTAATTTCCTGCATTTATTTAGAATATTGGCTAATGTTATTCTGAAGGGAAATATCTCTAACAAGTGAGTGCCCCCCACATAGACACAGCTCATGAGCTCACGGGGCAAAGGAATTGAACAGCAGCCTCCTAATAGCCGGCCTTCTTTGTGGTATGGAAATAATTATCAGCATGTAAAAGACTATATATATATTAAACAATTCTGACCCCCTGCAAAATTCAAATCTACAATTGATTTGCTTCCTGGGCTCCTGAAAACAACTTTGTCAAAACTGTTCAGAAATAAAATCAGGTAATCGTTGCCCCTTGGGGTCGCAGGATAAAGCAAATCAGCCATGACCAATGGGGAGTCGGCCGTGCACAGTTACATGCAGACCTGCAGGACATCGAGTCCCTGCTATGGTCCCTTCCCAGTCAGGCCCCCATTGCCTGGGCTGCAGCCAGAAGCATTCAGGCACAAGTGCATTCAACAAATACTTATTTAATTGCATTGGTGGTTAGAGGGTTGCGGTTGATTAAGGTACATTAATGGATCCGTGTCCTCCCTGTATCCAAGACTCTGTCATTTGTCTCTGCAGTTCCTCCCACTGAAGAATCAGAGTATATTTCTCCAGCCCCTAATGTTGGGTTTAGTCATGTGTCTAGCTTTGGCCACTGGAATATTAATCTGCATGACCAAAAACTTGGAAAGTGTGCATTCATTTGTGCTCGCTCACTCCTGCTATCACCATGAGAACAAGCCCAGGCCAGCCTGCTGCTTCCAGCAGAAGATAAGAGACACCAAGAGCAAAGTAGAGCTTCCCAGACATGCTTATGCTAGATTAACCAATCCTCAGCTGACCCATAGATCCATGAAAATAAATAACTGTTGTATTAAGCCACTGAGATTTGGAGTGACTTGTTATGCAGCATTTTGTGACAATAACTAACTGATACAAGGGTCACCATACTTTATCTCTGTAGATTTTAACCAATTTTTAATAGCTAGATGGAGATCTTCTAGTTGCCTTTATTTATAATGAATAAGACTGTAGAGCTAGTTTGCCCTGACACTACCAGTTACCTACCCAGAAATTCAGAAATACTTTCTTCTCCAACCCACCCCAACCAACCATTTTTTTTTTTTTTTGAAACGGAGTCTTATTCTTTGCCTAGGCTAGAGTACAAGTGGCACAGTCAGAGCTCACTGTAACCTCAAAATCCTGGGCTCCCCTGATCTTCCCCTTCAACCTCCTACGTAGCTAAGACTCCTGACATGTGCCACCATGCCTGGCTAATTTTTTTATTCTTTGCAAAGACAGGATCTCACTATATTGCCCAAGTTGGTTTCAAACTCCTGGCCTCAAGCAGTCCTCCTGCCTCACCCTCCCAAAGTGCTAGGATTATAGGCATGAGCCACCACACCCAGCCTCTTCTTTTTAAATAGAAACCCTATTTTATTCTGAAAGCGGGTTGCTTTCTTTTTTTTTTTTTTTTTTTTTTAGAAAAAATTGGCCCAGCCCCAGGGAATAAATTGTGACTTGTCTAAACAGGGTTGGCAAACTATAGACCAAGGGCCAAATCTGGCCCTCTGACTGTTTGTATAAATTAAGTTTTACTGGAATAAAACCAGGTCCATTCATTTATGCCTTGTCTACATATGTTTTAAACTACGATGGCACCACTGCGTCACTGCAACAGAGGTTATTCAGACCAAAAGCCTAAAATATTACCGTTTGCTTCTTTATGGAAAAAGTTAGCCATTCCCTAGTCTAAGGTTTAGATTCTGAGCTTATCATTTTAGCCTACCCCCACATACCAGTGAGTGGCTCAAAACAAGTCTATGATTCCATTGTGACTGTTCTACTGAGGGAAATCCCCCTTCTTCTCATGCAGAGCTGATGAGGGAAAGTTGTATTAATAGGACATATGCTCAGGTTTTCTGAAAAATACTATTATCTAGAAATGCATAGGAATATGCTGGTGCCTGAATGTACCATCTGGGGGCCTGGAGACTGACTCACACTGCCTCCAGAGCTGGCGCTCACACTTACTACTGAGAGGCCTGAGGAAACACCTGCCTACCCACCACCAGAACCTGCACACGTCACCTGGAGAACTAGAGATCAGCCTGCCACACACACAACCCAGGAGCCCAGTGGCGCACCCGCCCACCTGGCCCAGTGCTGCCACTGCCAGCAACCAAAGAAGCCACCTGGAGGCCCAGGGATTGGCCCATGCAGACAGGCTATCATCAGTGCCCACATACACTGCACATGGTCACTAGTATTGACACACCTGTTCTACCACCACTACCACTGATGCTGAAGGACAAGACTTCCAGGCATCCCCATCCTCAGCAAAGCCTCACCACAGCCTCCAATAACAACTGCAGTCTGGCTGGGCGCAGTGGCTCACACCTGTAATCCCAGCACTTTGAGAGGCTGAGGCAGGTAGATAACGAGGTCAGGAGTTCAAGACCAGCCTGGCCAACGTGGTGAAACCCCATCTCTACTAAAAATACAAAAATTAGCTGGGCGTGGTAGCAGGTGCCTGTAGTCCCAGCTACTCAGGAGGCTGAGGCAGGAGAATCGCTTGAACCTGGGAGGCAGAAGTTGCAGTGAGCTTAGATTGTGTCACTGTACTCCAGCCTGGTGACAGAGCTAGACTCCATCTCAATCACAAACACACAAACAAAAAAAACTGCTGTCTAAGCCACTGAATAACTCACAGACACCACTCATGCCAATTACAGCTGAAGAAATCATATGCAGCCTATACCACTGTACCCACCCAGAATCAAAGCCAAAGTGTGATATCCAATGAACGCTGTAGATACAGCTATAAGAAAAGGTCTTTCCCATATAAAAGCCAACCCAGAAAATTGGAAGAAGTGACTGCTATGTCAGAGGCACAAGTAGTCACATAAGGACGCAAGAAATATGAAAAAGGAAACATAAAATCTCCAAAGAAGCACAATAATTCTCCAGCAACAGATTTCAATGAAAAGAAAATCTATGAAATGCCTGAAAAAAAATCAGAATAATGATATTAAAGAAACTCAGGGAGATATAAGAGAGCACAGATAATGAATACAAAAAAATCAGGAAAACAATTCATGATCTGAATGAGAAATTCAACAGGGATAGACAGCATAACAAAGAACCAAACACAAATCCTGGAAGAGATGAAATCATTGAAAGAAATACAAAAGACAACTGACAGCTTTAACAATAGACTAGATCAAGCAAAACAAAGAATTTCTGAACCTGAAGACTAGTCTTTTAAAATAATCCAGTCAGACAAAAAGAAAGAAAAAAGAATGAAGCAAGGCTACATGACATATGGGACACATATGTGACCAAAAACTGAAATTCTGGGAGTTCTGGATGGAGATGAGATGGGTAAAAGCATAGAAAACCTATTTAATAAAATAATAACTGAACACTTCCTGAAAGCTTCCAAATAAAGGAATCTCAAAGATTACCAAATAAACACTACTCAAAAAGGTCTTCTCCAAGGACTTTATGGTAAAATTGTCAAAAGACAAAGAGAAAATGCTAAAAACAGCAAGAGAAAAGCATCAAGTCACTTATAAGAGAATCTCCATCAGGCTAACGGGGAATTTCTCAGCAGAAACCTTACAGGCTAGGAGAAAAGGGGATGTATACTACAAGTTAAAAAAAAAAAAAATGTAAGGCAAAATTGCTAAAACCAGCAAAGCTATCCTTCACAAATGAAGAAGACTGGCACAGTGGCTCACATCTGCAATTCCAGAGACTCAGAAGGCTGAGGAAGGAGGATCATTTGAGCCCAGGAGTTCAAGGCTGCAGTGAGCTATGATCATGCCACTGTACTCCAGCCTGGGTGACAGAGTGAGACTCCAGTGCTTAAAAAAGAGAAAAAATATTTCCCAGATAAGCAAAAGACTGTTTGTTTGTGTCTTGTTTGTTGTGGTCCTACAAAAAATGCTTAAGGGAGTCCTACACTGGGAAGCAAAAGAACAATATCTACCATCATGAAAATACATGAAAGTATAAAACTCATGGTAGCGCAGACACACAAAGGAGAAAGGATTCAAACGTCACCACTAAAGAAAACCACCAAACTGCAACAATAAATAATGAGAGAAAAAAGGAACAAAGGTGTATTAGTCTGTTTTCACACTGCTGATAAAGACATACCTGACTGAGACTGGGCAGTTTACAAAATAAAGAGGTTTAATGGACTTACATTTCCACGTAGCTGAGGAAGCCTCACAATCATGTTAGAAGGCAAGAAAAAGCAAGTCATGTCTCAGCTGGATGGAAGCAGAGAAAGAGAGAGCTTCTGCAGGGAAACTACCCTTTTTAAAACCATCAGACCTTGTGAGACGTATTCAGTGTCACGAGAACAGCATGGGAAAGACCTACCCCCATGACTCAATTACTTCCCACCGGGTCCCTCCCACAACATGTGGGAATTCAATATGAGATTTGGGTGGGCACACAACCAAAGCATATCATTCTGCCCCTGGCCCTTGCCTAATCTCATTTCAAAACAAATTATGCCTTCCCAACAGTCCTCCAAAGTCTTAACTAAGTTCAGCATTAACTCAAAAGTCCACAGTCCAAAGTCTCATGTGAGACAAGGCAAATCCCTTCCGCCTATGAACATGTAAAATCAAAAACAAGTTAGTTACTTCCTAGATACAATGGGGGTATAGGCATTGGGTAAATACAGTCATTCCAAGTGGGACAAAATTGCCAAAACAAAGGGGCTACAGGCCCCATGCAAGCCCAAAATCCAGTGGGGCACTGACATCTCAAAGCTCCAAAATGATCTCCTTTGACTCCATGTCTCACATGCAGGTCATGCTGATGTAAGAGGTGGGCTCCCATGGCTTTGGGAGAAAAAAGGCCACAACTCCACTCCCGTGGCTTTGTGGGTATAAACCCCCTCCTGGCTCCTTTCATGGGTTGGCATTGAGTGTCTGCAGCTTTTCCAGGCACACAGTGCAAGCTGTCAGTGAATCCACCATTCTGGGGTCTGGAGGATTGTGGCCGTCTTCTCAAAGCTCCACTAGGTGGTACTGCAGTAGGGGCTCTAGGTGGGGGCTCTGACCCCACATTTCCCTTCTGCACTACCCTAGTACAGGTTCTCCATGAGTGCCCTGCCCCTGCAGCCAACTCCTGCCTGGACAACTAGGCATTTCCATACACCTTCTGAAGTCTAGGCAGCAGTTCCCAAACCACGATTTTTGACTTCTGTGCACCCACAGGCTCAACACTATTTGGAAGCTGCTAAGGTTTGGGGCTTGCACCCTCTGACGCCACAGCCCACATTGTACCTTGGCTCCTTTTAGCTGCAGCTGGAGTGGCTAAGACTCAGGCACCCGAGTCTGCTCACAGCAGGGGTCCCTGGGTCCAGTCCACAAAACCATCTTTTCTTCCTAGGCCTCTGGGCCTTTCATGGGACGGGCTGCCATGAAGCTCTGTGACATGCCCTTGAGACATTTTCCCCATTGTCTTGGAGATTCACATTTGACTCCTCGTTACTTCAACAAACTTCTGCAGCCAGATTGAATTTTTCTTGAGAAAATGGGATTTTCTTTTCTATTGCATTGTCAGGCTGCAAATCTTCCAAACTTTTATGCTCTGCTTCCCTTATAAAACTGAAGGCCTTTAACGGCACCCAAGTCATCTCTTGAATGCTTTGCTGCTTAGAAATTTCTTCTACCAGATACCCTAAATCATCTCTCTCAAGTTCAAAGTTCCACAAATCTCTACAGCAGGGGCAAAATGCCACCAGTCTCTTTGCTAAAACATAACAGGAGTCACTTTTGTGCCAGTTCCCGGCAAGTTTCTCATTTCCATCTGAGACCACCTCAGCCTAGACTTTATTGTCCATATAACCATTAGCATTTTGGGCAAGTCTCTAGGAAATCTCTTCCAACTTTTCCCATATTTTCCTGTCTCCTTCTGAGCCCTCCAACCTCTGCCTGTTTCCCAGTTCCAAAGTCACTTCCACATATTCAGGTATCTTTTAGGAACACCCCACTTCTGGTACCAATTTACTGTATTAGTCCATTCTCACACAGCTGATAAAGACACATATAAGACTGGGAAATTTACAAAAGAAAGAGGTTTAATGGACTTACAGTTCTTTGTTGCTGGGAAGGCTTCAAAATCATTGTGGAAGTGAAGGAGAGACAAGTCACATCTTACAGGGATGGCAGCAGGCAAAGAGAGAGCTTGAGCAGGGAAACTCCTCCTTTAAAACCATCAGATCTCAGGAGACTTACTCACTATCAAAAGAATAGCATGGAAAATACCTGCCCCCATGATTCAACTACTTCCCACTGGGTCCCTCCCACAACACATGGGAATTCAAGATGAGATCTGAGTGGGGACACAGCCAAACCAAATCAAAAGGATATACAAAATAACCAGAAAACAATGAACAAAATGACCCGAATAAGTCCTCACCTATCAATAATAACTTCGAATATGTGTTAAATTACCTACCTAAAGGTACAGACAGGCTTAATGGATAAAAAATGACCCAACAACATCTACAAGAAACTCACTTCACTTGTAAAGACACACACAGACTGAAAGTGAAGGGATTGAAAAAAATATACCACACAAACAGAAATCAAAAGTAATCAGGAGTAGCTAAACTTGCATCAGATAAAACAGACTTTAAGTCAAAAACTGTAAAAAGGACAAAGAAGGTCATTATATGGTAATAAAGGGAAAAATTAAGCAGCAAAATATAACAATTCTAAATGTGCATGCAACCAACACAAGTGCATCCAGACACACATAGCAAATATTATTAAATCTACAGGGAGAGATAGAGTCCAATACAATGATAGTTGAGAATTTCAATATCCTACTCTCAGCATTGGACAGTTCATCTAGACATAAAATCAACAAACAAACATTAGATTTAAGCTGCACTTTAGACCAAATGGACCTAACAGATATTTTCAGAATATTTCATCCAGCAGCAGCAGAATACACAATCATCTCATCAACACATGGAACATTCTCCAGGATAGACCATATGTTAGGACACAAAACAAGGCTCAACAAAATTTTAAACATTAAAATCATATCAACTATCTTCTCAGACCACAATGGAATAAAACTTGAAATCAATAACAAGAAGAAATTTGGAAAGTGTACAAATACATGAACAATAAATGTGCTATTGAATGATCATTGGGTCAATGAAGAAATTAAGATGGAAATCAAAAAAATTTTTTAAACAGAAAATGGAAACACATCATGCAAAACCTATGGGATACAGAAAAAAGCAGTACTAGGAGGTAAGTTCATAGCAATAAATGCCTACACTAAAAAAGTAGAAAGATCTCAAATAAACAACCTAACGATGCACCTCAAGGAACTCCAAAAGCAAGAACAAACCAAACACACAATTAGTAGAAAGAAAAAAAAAATAACAGCAGAACCAAATGCAACAGAGACAAAAAAGAAATGCAAAGAATCAACAAGATAAAAGTTGTTTTTTTGAAAAGTTAAACAAAATTGATAAACCACTAGTGAGGCTAACCAAAAAAAAAGAAAGGAGACCCAAATAAATACAATCAGAAATGAAAAAGGAGACATTACAACTGTTACCAAAGAAATAAAAAGGATCATTAGAGGCTATTACGAACAACCATACCCTAACAAATTGGAAAGCTTAGAGGAAAGGGATAAATTCCCAGACATACACAGCCTACCAAGATTGAACTAGGAAGAAAGAGAGAACCTGAACTGACTCAAAATGAATAGCAGGTTTGAATCAGTAACAAAAAGTCTCTCCAAAGAGAAAAGCCCTAGACCAGGCTTTTATACTGATTTCTACCCAGTTTATAAAGAAAAACAAACACCAATACTTCTCAAACTATTCCCAAAAATTGAAGAGGAGGGAATTCTTCCTAACTCATTGTATAAGGCCAGCATTACCCTGATATCCAATCAAGACAAGGACACAACAGAAAGAGAAAACTACAGGCCAATATTCCTAATGAACACAGATGCAAAAATTCTCAGCATAATACTACCAAGCCAAATCTAATGATGAATGAAAAAGATAATATACCATGATCAAGTGGGATTTATCCCAGGAATGCAAAGATGGCTCAACATACACAAAATCAGTGCATGTGATACATCACATCAACAAGATGAAAGGCAAAAACTATCTGATCATCTCAGCAGATGCAGAAAAATCACTTGGTAAAACTTACCATTCCTTCATGATGAAAACTCTCAACAAATTAGGCATAGAAGGAACACTTCAACATAAGAAAAGGCATATATGACTAATCTACAGCTAATATCCTACTCACTGGGAAAAACTGAAAAGCTTTTCCTCCAAGAACTGGAACAAGACAAGGATGCCCACTTTCACCATTCTTATTCAACACAATATGGGACATCCAAGCCAGAGTGATCAGACAAGATAAAGAAATAAAAGGCATCCAAACTAGACAAGAGGAAGTCAAATTGTCTCACTTTGCAGATGACATAATCTTATACTTGTAAACAGAAAAACCTAAAGACTCCACCAAAAACTCTTGAAATTGATAAATTAGGCTGGACATGGTAGCTCATGCCTGTTATCCCAGCACTTTGGGAGGCCAAGGTGGGCGGATCACCTGAGCTTGGGAGTTTGAGGCCAGCCTGGCCAACATGGTGAAATCCTGTCTCTATTAAAAATACAATTAACCAGGCATGGTGGTAGGTGCCTGTAATCCCAGTTACTTGGGAGGCTGAAGCAGGAGTATCGCTTGAAACCCAGAGGCGGAGGTTGTAGTGAGTGAAGGTTGCATCACTGCACTCCAGCCTGGGCAACAGAGAAAGACTCTATCTCAAAAAATAAAAAACAAAAAATTTTTAAAAAAACAGATGTATAAGTAAAGCTTCAGGACACAAAATCAACATACAAAAATCAGTAATGTTTCTATATACCAGTAAAAAACTAGCGAAAAAAGAAACCAAGGAAGAATTTCTATTTACAATAGCTACAAAAATAAAATACCTAGGAATAAACTTAACCAAGGATGGGGAAAAAGAAAAAAAAAGACCTCTGCAATGAAAACCACAAAACACTGATAAATTGAGAAGACACAAACAAATGGAAAAGCATCTCATGCTCATGGGTTGGAATTACTAATACTGTTAAAATGACCATACTACCCTAAGCAATCTAGAGATTCAGTATAATCCCTATCAATTATATTCTTCACAGAAACAGGAAAAAAAAAAAAACCCTGAAATTCATATGGAACCACAGAAGTCCCCAGATAGCCAAAGCAAAACTGAGCAAAAAGAACAAAGCTAGAAGTCTCACACTACCTGACGTAAAAGTATACTGCAAAGCAGCTGGGCGTGGTGGCTCACGCCTGTAATCCCAGCACTTGGGGAGGCCAACGAGGGTGGATCATGAGGTCAGGAGATTGAGACCATCCTGGCTAACACGGTGAAACCCCGTCTCTACTAAAAAAAAAAAACAAAAAAATTAGCCGAGGCTGAGACAGGAGAATGGCGTGAACCCGGAAGGCGGAGCTTGCAGTGAGCCGAGATTGCATCACTGCACTCCAGCCTGAGTGACAAGGAAAGACTCCGTCTCAAAAAAACAAACAAACAAACAAAATATATATATATATATACACATACTGCAAAGCTATAGTAACCAAAACAGCGTGTATTGGTATTAAAACACACACAAAAACAAAGGAAACAGACTAAAGAACCCAGAAATGAATCCACATATTTACAGCTGATTTTCAAGAAAGGTGTCAAGAACGTACATTGAATAAAAGACACCCTCTTCATTAAATGGTGCCAGGAAAACTAGATATCCAAACACAGAAGAATAAAACTAGACCTTTATCTCTCATCACTTACAAAAATAAACTCAAAATCAATTAAAGACTTAAATGTAACAGCCACAACTATAAAACTACTGGAAATAAACACAGGAGAAACGCTTCAGAACAAAGATTGTATGGCTAACACTTAAAAAGTACAAGCAACAAAAGCAGACAAATGGGATTATATTAAATTAAATACCTTCTGCATATCATAGAAAACAATCAACAGAGTGAAAAGACACCACCCCTCCCTTACACCATATACAAAAATTAACTCAAGATGGCCTACAGACTTAAATGTAAAACCCATAACTATAAAAACCCTGGAAGACAACCTAGGCAATACCATCCGGTACATAGTGATGGGCAGAGAGTTCATGGTGAAGATGCCAAACGCAATTGCCACAAAAGCAAAAATTGACAAATGGGATCTAATTAAATGAAAGAGCTTCTGCACAGCAAAAGAAACTATCAAAAAATAAACAGACATTCCTCAAAAGAGGATATACAAATCACCAAGTTTATGAAAAAATATTCAACATCACTAATCATCACGGAAATGCGAATCAAAACCACAGTGAGATATCATCTCACACTTGTTAGAATGGCTATTATTAAAGAGACAAAGCACAACAAATGCTGGCAAGAATGTGAAGAGAAGAAAATTATCGTATATTGTTGGTGGGAATGTAAATTAGTACAGCCACTATGAAAAAAAGTACAGAGATTTCTCAAAAAACTAAGAACAGATCTACCATATGATCCAGCAATCCCACTCCTGGGTATATACCCAAAAAAAAGGATATCAGTGTATCAACGGGATATCTGTACCCCCATATTTACTGCAGCACTATTTACAGTAGCCAAGATATGGAATCAATCTAAGTGTCAATCAATGGATGAATGGATAAAGAAAATGGGAATATACGCACAAGAGAATAGTACTCAGCCATAAAGAAGAATGAAATCCTGTCATTTTCAGCTAAATGGATGGAATTAAAGGTCATAAAGTTAGGTGAACTAGGCCATGCACAGAAAGAAAACTATTTCATGTTCTCACTTATATGAGCAGTTTATGCTCCTGGAAATCAAAGTGGGGGCCATGTTTCAGGTCAGTAGGATCAGGGATAGAGACTGCAATTATGGACTTGTGTGCCCTGGAGCTATATAAAATTGATATCATGGAGATAAAGAATAGAATGATAGTTACCAGAGGCTGGGATTAGGAGGGGTTTGAAAAGAAGTTGATTAATGGGTATAAAAATATATAATAGAAGGAATAAGATCTAGTGTTCATTATCACAGAAAGTGACTACAACAATTTGTTGTGTATATATATTTTTCATTTCAATAGTTTTTAGGGAACAGGTGGTATTTTGTTACATGGATAAATTCCTTAGTGGTGATCTCTGAAATTTTGGCATACCCATCAGCAAAGCAGTTTACCCAATGCATAGTCTTTTATCTCTCAACCCCTCCCACCTTCCCCCTGAGCCCCCAAAGTCCACTGTTTCATTCTTGTGCCTTCGCATCATCATAGCTTACCTCCCACTTAAGAGTGAGAACATGCAATGTTTGGTTTTCCATTCCTGAGTTACATTATTTAGAATAATGGTCTCCAACTCCATCCAGGTTGCTATGAAAGCCATTATTTCATTCCTTTTTAAGGCTAAGTAGTATTCTATGGTATATATATGTGTATATTTGTGTATGTGTATATTTGTGTATATGGTATATATATGTGTGTGTGTGTGTGTATACATATATATATATACATTTTCTTTATCCACTAATTGATTGATGGGCATTTGGGCTGGTTCTATAGTTTTGCAACTGTGAATTTTGCTGCTGTAAACATGTGTGCAAAAGTATCTTTTTCATATAATGACTTCTTTTCCTCTGGGTAGATACCTAGCAGTGGGATTGCTGGATCAAATGGTAGATCTACTTATAGTTCTTTAAGGAATCTCCATACTGCTTTCCATAGTGGCGGTACTAGCTTACATTCCCACCATCAGTGTAAAAGCGTTTTCTTTCACCATGTCCGTGTCAACACCAATTTTTGCTTTTTTTGTTTTTTTTTTTTTTGAGACGGAGTCTTGCTCTGTCTCCCAGGCTGGAGTACAATGGTGCCATATCAGTTCACTGCAACCTCTGCCTCCCGGGTTCAAGCAATTCTCCTGCCTCAGCCTCCTGAGTAGCTGGGATTACAGGCAACTGCCACCATGCCCGGCTAATTTTTGTATTTTCAGTAGAGACTGGGTTTCACCATGTTGGTCAGGCTGGTCTCAAACTCCTGACCTCCTGATCAGCCCACCTCGGCCTCCCAAAGTGTTGGGACTACAGGCGTGAGCCACCGCACCCGGCCCTATTTTTGTTTATTTTACATGTAGTATTGCATTGTGATTTTGATTTGCATTTCCCTGGTAATTAGTGATGTTGAGCATTTTTTCATATGTTTGTTGGCCATTTGTATATCTTCTTTTGAGAATTGTCTATTCATGTCCTTGGCACACTTTTTGATGGGATTATTTTTTCTTGCTGATTAGAGTTCCCTGTAGATTCTGGACATTAGTCCTTTGTCAGATGCAGTTTGCGAAAATTTTCTCCCACTCTGTGGGTGATCTGTTCACTCTGCTGATTATTTCCTATGCTGTGCAGGAGGCTTTTAGTTTAATTGAGTCCCATCTATTTATCTTTGTTTCTGTTGCATTTACTTTTGGGTTCTTGGTCATGAACTGTTTGCCTAAGCCAATGTGTAGAAGCGTTTTCCAATGTTATCTTCTAGAATGTTTATGGTTTCAGACCTTAGATTTAAGTCTTTGATCCATCTTATGTTGATTTCTGTATAAGGTGAGAGATGAGGATTCAGTTTTATTCTTTTACATGTGGCTTGCCAATTATCCCAGCACTATTTGTTGTATAGGGTGTACTTTCCCTACTTTGTTTTTGTTTACTTTGTCGAAGATCAGCTGGCTGTTAACTATTTGGCTTTATTTCTAGCTTCTCTACTCTGTCCCATTGGTCATGTGCCTATTTTTATACTAGCACCATGCTGTTTTGGTGACTATAGTCTTGTAATATAGTTTGAAGTTGGGTAATGTGATGCCTCTAGATTGGTTCTTTTTGCTTAGTTTTGCTTTGGCTGTGCAGACTCTTTTTTAGTTCCAACGGAATTTTGGCATTTTTTTTTTCCAGTTCTATAAAGAAAGATGATGGTATATTGATAGGAATTACATTGAATTTGTAGACTGCTTTTGGCAGTATGGTCATTTTCACAATATTGAGTCTACCCATCCATGAGCATGGAATGTGTTTCCATTTGTTTTGTCATCTATGATTTCTTTCAACAGTGTTTTGTAGTTTTCCTTGTAGGAGTCTTTCACCTCCTTGGTTAGGTATATTCCTAAGTATTTTATTTTTACAGCTATTATAAAAGGGTTTGATTTGATTCTCAGCCTGGTAGATGTTGGTGTATAGCACTGCTACTGATGTGTGTACATAGATTTTGTATCCTGATAAATGGATTTATTGTATATTTCTAAATAGCAATAAGATTTGAAATATTCCCAACACAAAGAAATGATCAATGTTTGAGGTGATTAATATCCTAAAGACCCTGATTTGATCATTACACATTGCATGCATGTACCGGAACCTCACATGGAACCCAAAAATCTGTACAATTATTCTCTATCAAAAATATTTTTTTAAGAAACATGCAGGAATACACTGTACCTCTTCCTTGCTGTGTCTGGATATTGTCACATGAGGACTTGACATGCGGATTGTGGCAGCCTCTGTGACCAAGAGCAGAAGGCAATAGCACCATAGAAACCTCAAATGAAAAACCTAACATCTCATGCTACTAATTTAGCCAACCTTGGCATCAGCTATCTCCGGTCTTAATACATGAGGTGATAAGCCCCCACTGTTCAAGTTGGGTGGCCATCAATTGCTGCAGAATAGAAGTTAATGAGGCTTCCTCCTCCTGGATCCCCTACTAGACCATGACATACCCATTCAGTCACAGGCAGAAAGGGAGGCCGAGGGTAAGGAGACCTGGCTGGCTGTGCCAGACGCAGATCTTACCTGTCCTGCTTAGAACACTCAAAGCTCAATTGGTTAAACAAAAAAAGGAAACAGACAGTAAGGAGTATAACACTTCCCAGATGCAACTTAATCTAACACTCTATACTTTAAATTTTCTAAACATACATAGAAATGAGACCACTACTTCTGCAGAACATTTTACTGGTGAAAAGAACAGCCCACATGAGTGAAAATTGATTTGGTGGAAAGACAACAAAACAAAACATGGGAAATAGGTAAAGTGATAACATGGGGGAGAGGTTTTGTTCGTGTTTCACCAGAAGAAAATCAGCTTCCTGTTTGGATACCCACTAGACATTTGAAGTTCTACAATGAACCTATCAGAGATGCAAATGAAAGTGCCTCCGCAGAGACAGAAAACACGCAATCGAGCATCATCGACTCGCAGGGTGAACAAAATGGTGATATCAGAAGAAGAGATGAAGTTACCATCCACCAAGAAAATGGCACATGTGGAGAGCCAGGACGAGGAATAGAAAGAAAAAGAGACAGAGATCAGAGACAGACACAAAAAGTGAGACTGGGGAGAGAGATAGTGTAAAAGAGAGAGAGAGAGACCATAAGAGAAGGGAGACAAAGAGATAAAAGGTGCGAGTGAGCAGGTGAGGAGAAAGACTGAAAACTATGAGAAACAGCAACTAAGACACAAAGGAGGTGGGAGACTGCCCGGGTACCGAAGTACCCACACCGTCCTCTTGCCCCCGTCACTTGGGTTAAAACCACCGGAAATTCCATTATTGTAAATTTTGTATTAATCCTTGTCTGTCTGTCTTTTCTATTATTAGTCTACAGGTGTATCCAGCAGCTCCAGAGAGACAGCGACCAGCGAGAAGGGGCCATGATGATGGTGGTGGTTTTGTCAAAACGAAAAGGGGGATATGTAGGGAAAAGAAAGAGAGATCAGACTCTTACTGTGTCTACATAGAAAGGGAAGACATAAGAGACTCCATTTTGAAAAAAACCTGTACTTTAAACAATTGCTTTGCTGAGATGTTGTTAATCTGTAGCTTTGCCCCAGCCACTTTGCCCCCACCACTTTGACCAAACCTGGAGCTCAAAATACATGTGTTGTATGAAATCAAGGTTTAAGGCATGTAGGGCTGTGCAGGACGTGCCTTGTTAACAAAATGTTTGAAAGCAATATACTTGGTAAAAGTCATCGCCATTCTCTAGTCTGAATAAACCAGGGGCACAATGCACTGTGGAAAGCCGCAGGGAGCCCTGCCCTTGAAAGCTGGGTATTGTCCAAGATTTCTCCCCATGTGATAGTCTGAAAAGTGGCCTCGTGGGATGAGAAAGACCTGATGGTCCCCCAGCCCGACACCCATAAAGGGTCTGTGCTGAGGTGGATTAGTCAAAGTGGAAAGCCTCTTGCAGTTGAGATAGAGGAAGGCCACTGTCTCCTGCCTGCCCCTGGGAACTGAATGTCTCGGTATAAAACCCGATTGTACATTTGTTCAGTTCTGAGATGGGAGAAATACCGCCCTATGGTGAGAAGTGAGACATGTTTGCAGCAATGCTGCCTTGTTATTCTTTACTCCACTGAGATGTCTGGGTGCAGAGAAACATAAATCTGGCTTACGTGCACGTCCAGTCATAGTACCTTCCCTTCAACTTCATTATGACATAGATTCTATTGCTCACATGTTTGTTGCTGACCTTCTCCTTATTATCACCCTGCCCTCCTACTACATTCCTTTTTGCTGAAATAATGAAGATAATAATCAATAAAAACTGAGGGAACTCAGAGACCTGTGCCAGTGCAGGTCCTTAGTATGTTGAGCGCCGGTCCCCTGGGCTCACTGTTGTTTCTCTATACTTTGTGTCTTATTTCTTTTTTGTCTCTCATCCCACCTGACTAGAAATACCCACAGGTGTGGAGGGGCAGGCCACCCCTTCATTATGAGATTACAGGCATGAATAACCCCACCTGGCCACCAAACTCACTCTTGAGAGGCCAGAAGTGGTGCTTGAACTTTCTTCCTCTGTGGGTTAAAAAGGGAAAATTAGGGAGAACACAAGGCATGAGAGATGCAGCGATGGATATGTCTATATGGAGCTTCTGTCTGCATCCAGTAGAAAATGCATTTCTAGGCACCAGGTTTAAGAGCGAAAACCTGGAGTCTTGTCTGTTAGCATTCTCCTTCCTCACAAACCAGAGAGGGAATACATTTTGCTCCAGCACATCCGGATGTAGGAAATGTCACATTCCTATTTCTGTAACTTCAGTTAAATCTGCTCTGAGTCCCTGGATGCCTGGCAGGTGGAGAATTCAATCTTGTCATTACCATCATTGCTTTCCCTTCTCCATGGGCTTATGTAAGAATTCTGGGCTTACACACTGTTGGAAAGCCAGGTAGGAACTCCTTCCCCCGAACTCTCCATTCTTCCAGCTGCTCATGATCCATCAGCCTTTTTTGGGCCATCTGCTATAAAAAGACCCTCCTCACAGCATCATTCCACTGAACCACAGGCTCAGCCCCAGGGACCCTCACTAGAACAGGTCTCCACTATGCATAGGAACTCACAAAAACCTTCTCTTCATCTTGGCTTCCTCTGATATACAGCCACTCCCCCCTTCTCACCTTAAACACAGATGGCAGCTCTTTCCCATCGTTCCAAACCTCGGGGATTGTCCAGCCAAATTCTCTTCAGACACCAAGGCTTCACCCGCCCTCTACAGGGAGGTGCTGCAAGGGCATCTGAGATCTTTGGAAGCCCAATTCTGGCCTCTCTTTGGGGTGGGCTGAGAGTGGGAACTAGACTCTCTTTTCCAAGTGCCATGTTTATCTTGTTCATCATTATATTATCTCCAATGCCTGACACATAGTAGGTGCTATTAGTGTCTGTATAATGGCACTCTTGAGGTTGAAGCTATTAGCAGAAACCTACCAAGCAAAAGGATGTAAAACCGACCACCAAAAAAAAAATGAAAACAATCATGGCTTTGAGCTCTAAACACACAAGGCACCAGCCCAAGTTTGGGCAATTTTAATACAACAGCCATTTTGCCTCCAAACAAACTGGCACTGGAAACCTTCCTCTGCCTCTTAAAGAGAACCAGTTACTCTTTCTCTAAGTGGGCAGCATTTCTCCCCAGTGACAGTACCCAGCCAACTGCCACCAGCAAAGGACTGCATCCAGGAGCCAAGAGCTTGATAGTTTAAAGAATATATTTTATAGGGAAAAACAAAGTAACATACACATAAATCTGGAACTACCACCACTTTCCAGAGGCCGAATCCCATTTGTGGAGCCTCTTGCATGTCAAGCACCTTGCAGTCAGCTCAACTACATACTTTTGGGATTCGTTGCAGAGAAGAGTGAAGGTTATCTGCAAAATAAAGGAACTAGGGCTCAGAATTCCCAGAGCAATCCATGACAGAGGAGGTGAGTAGAAAAGGGAAGGGTGAAGTCAAAGAGCGAAGTCAATGAGTTGGCCAACACCAAGCAAGGATCATGGGACCCTCTCCACGGCCCCAATCTCAAATGAAGTCAATAAAACCCATCAATGCTTGGTGTAAGTGTTGTATGCTCCTGGAAATGAAAGCAGGTGCCACATTTCAGGTCAGCAGGGTCGGGGGTAGAGCCAACGGTCATGGACTTGTGGGCCCTGGAGGATGGGATGATTCTGAGACATCGAATCCCTACACTGATCTCAGTAGAAATCTCAGGTAGGGCTTCAACATTTGTGGACCAAGGACTCTGTGAGCCTGAGAGCATAAGCCTTGGTGCATGTCCCGGCTCCATCAATCCCAACTGGGGCTTTGAACAAGTTACTTATTTTTTTAACTAACTTTATTTTAATTGACAAATCATAATTGTACACATTTATGTGATGTTTTGATATGTGTATACAATGTGGGATGATTAGATCAAACTAATTAACATGTCCATCCCCTAATTTATTGACAATTTTTATGATGAGACACTTGAAATGTAGCCTTTTAGTTATTTTGAAAGATACGTTATTATTGACTATAGTCACGCTGCTGTGTTATAGATTTCAAAGCATATAATCCAGCAACCCAACTTCTGGGTATAGACAAAAAAAAATCGAAATCAATATGTCGAAGGGATCCCTACATTCCTATGTTCACTGCAGCACTATTCACAATACCCAAGATATAGAATCAACCTACGTGTCCGTCAGTGGATGAAAGGATAAAGCAAATGTACTATATACACACAACGGAATACTATTAACCCTTAAAAAAGAAAGCAAGCCTGTCATTTTCAACAACATAGATGAACTTGAAAGACATTGTGTTAAGTGAAATAAGCCAGGCACAGAAAGACTAATACTGCATGATTTTACTTATATGTGGAATCTAAAGAAGTTGAACTCACAGAAATAGAGAGTAAGACAGTGTTTATCAGGGGCTGGGGTGGAGGAAAGGTAGCGGATAGGAGACACTGCTCAAAGGGTACAAATTTTCCAATAGGAAGAATAAGTTTTGAACAAGCTAAACTCCTCTCAAAGCTCAGTTTCTCATCTGTAGAGCGGGGACACATCATTAACCTTCTAAGGATGTTGCTGTGAGAGTAAGAGATGATGTTCAGCACAATACCTAACGCACAGTCAGGTCTCCTTAAGCTTGAACCTGCGTCGCCATGACCTCTACATCACAGGACAGAAAGGCTCACAGCCAGTGTCTCAGTTCCCAATGAAAAGTGGATCCCAGACCAGGCTGAACAGCAGGATCCCTAGGGGATACCCCACCCTACTGAGTCAGAATCACCAGAGGTATAGCCTGGATATGTATGTATGTGCGCATGTGTGTATGTATGTATGCATGTATGCATGTATGTATGTATGTATGTATGTATGAGAGACAGGGTCTTGCTCTCCAGTCCAGGCTGGAGTGCAGTATCACAATCATAGTTCACTGCAGCCTCAAATTACTCCTGGCCTCAAGCTATCCTCCCATCTCAGCCTTCAGAGTAGCTGAGAATACAGGCGCATGCCACCAAGCCCCGATACTTTTTTTTTTCCTGTTTCTTTTTGGAGAGAGTTTCACTCTGTTGCCCAGGCTGGAGTGCAATGGTGCAATCTTGGCTCACTGCAACCTCTGTCTCCTGGGTTCAAGTGATTCTCGTGCCTCAGCCTCCTGAGTAGCTAGGATTACAGGCATGCACCACCACACCAGGCTAATTTTGCTTTTTTCATTGTTGTTTCTTGTTTGTTTTTCACAAATAGGACTTCTTATTTGCCACTGTTTTAAGTCTGAACTTAAAACAGATTCTTGGACTGGTGGTTCCTATCCATCAGCTCATTCAACTTTAGCATGTGTCTTGTCCCTAGTGGGTTTTCCAGAACTACTACCTTCACCACGAAGCTCCATGCCTATCAAACCCAGGGTTCTCCAGCATTTTTACTTTTCTAATGAAGATATCATGGAGAGGATAAATTGGCAAGCCTTTTCTACATCTTTTCCAATGTTGTCTGGAATCAGTTTATTAACCACTTCTTTCAAGTCATTTGTCTGCACCTCTCAGGTCATGATTTCCATCATCTTCTTCTGGATTTGGCAGACTGTTGGTGCTAAGCATAAGAGGTCTTCAGTATCAGATTGTCGTGTTTTTTAGTAAAACCAACACAAAACAAAAGAAAGAAGTAACCATCGGTAGTCTTGACATCAACATGAGCTTCAATCATTGTTGAACATTTTTCAACCATGGAACATATTTTGTCACAGGTAAGACCCATGCCATAGAAGTTAGTCAGGCAGCTTTTGTCCTGAACATCTTCAGTAATCAGCTTGAATTTTCTAAATGCAACTTCATCATTCTGCAAATCAGCAAGACTCATTTCAAACACAAGACCCTTGAGACCATCAGATGCAATTTGGGTTCCTTGAGTCCTGGTGACCAAGTCTTTCCAATATTTCTTATATTGAACATAGCAGGTGCTTTCACATCATACTGATCTTTCATAGAGAATGGACCAACTACTTTCTTCTTCACTCCCTTTTTGCCACCTTTCATAAGGCACTTGTTCTTAACAACCGCCATGGTGCTGCTCAGAGTAGCAAAAGGCTAAATTTTATATTTTTGGTAGAGAAGGGGTTTCACCATGTTGGCCAAGCTGGTCTTGAACTGATGTCAGGTGATCTGCCCGCCTCAGCCTCCCAAGGTGCTGGGATTACAGGTGTGAGCCACTGCACCCAGCTGATATTTATTTTTTCTTTTTTGTACAGACAGGGTCTTGCCATGTTGCCAAGGTTGGCCTGGAACTCCTGGCCTCAAGTAATCCTCCCACCGCAGCCTCCCAAAGCGCTGGGATTTCAGGTGTGAGCCACCATGCCCAGCCTGGAATCTATTTCTAAAGCCAATCAAGTGTTGAATAAAATTGCATCTTGGGCTGTTTTTTCTTTGCATTTTTTTACATTTCAATGGTTAATATATTCAGAGATACACGCAAACATTACCAGTCAATTTTAGAACATTTCATGACCTCAAAAAGAAACCTCATACCCTTTAGCTATCACCCCCTATCCTCCCATGCCCCTACCAGCCCTAAGCAACCACTAATCGACTTCCTATTTCTATAGATTTCCATCTGAATGAAATCATGTAGAATGTGATCTTTCATCTGTTTTGAAGGTTCATCCACGCTGTAGCGTATGTACTTTCCTCCTTTTTGTGATCAAATAATATTCCACCATGTGGGTAGACAACAATCGGTGTATCTCTTCATCTGGTGATGGGCATTTGGATTAATTCCCTCTGTGGGTTATTAGGAGTGATGCTACTGTAATTATTCATGTACAAAATTTTGTGTGGACCTGTGCTTTCCTTTTTGAATATGAAAATATGGCACATCTCCAAAGAAGACATACAAGTGGCCAATAAGCACATGAAAAGATGCTCAATGAAATTCATCATCAGGGAAACAGATATCAAAACCACAATGTGATACCACTCCATACCCATAAGGATGGCTAGAATTGAAGATAGAGAAAATTGGCGTGGAGTGGTGGCTCATGCCTGCAATCCCAGCACTTTGGGAGACCGAGGCAGGTGGATCACCTGAGGCCATGAGTTTGAAACCAGCCTGGCCAACATGGTGAAACCCTGTCTCTACTAAAAAAATACAAAAATTAGCCAAGCATGGTGGCAGGTGACTATAATACCAGCTACTCGGGAGGCTGAGGCAGGAGAGTAACTTGAATCTGGGAGGCAGAGGTTGCAGTGAGTTGAGATTGTGCCACTGCACTCGAGCCTGGGTGACAGAGAAAGACTTAGTCTCAAAAAAAAAATACAGAAAATAACAAGTGTTGGTGAGGATGCAGAGAAACTAGAACTTTCATACACTGCTGGTAGGAATTAAAATGGTGTAGCCACTGTGAGAAACAGTTTAACAACTTCCCAAACAATTCTACATAGAGTTACCAAATGACCCAGTAATTGTACTCCTAGGTATAGGCCCAACTTGGGCTCTTTTAATCTATGGAAAATGAACTATGGGTACTTGGCAAGAACAAAGAGGGAGAGAGGCAGAAATGGTGCCATGAGGGCACATTGATTGGTCTCTAGTACACAGGGCTCCTACTGCAAATGGTCTCTAAATGACTTCAGCAGTTGCTCATAAAAAAAAAAAATCACCCTCTGCTCCAATCGTGGAGGAAGAAGTATGGATTGGACCTGGTGAGCCACGGTAAGACTGACGGCTAAACTTTATGAATGATGAGGGGATTTGCACGTATAATCTTGACTGTACTAGATTGTTTATTTTATCCACTGTCTTTGAAAACCTAACTCTTGGCTAAGAACTGACTTTCCTGTACTTGTTGTTGACTCTAAGTAAATTTCCAATTCCACATAGTCCAAAGATGATGTGCTGAGAAATCTCTCAAAGGAAAAATGCTAAGAATACAGGCAGAGTTATGTGGCATATTTTGCAGAATTAACACAAATTGTACTTGTAGGTACGAAGCACAAAACATTTTCATGAGTAAAGGAAAAAGTGCTCTTCATTCTAGTAGAGGCTGCAGGATGAAGCCGATCAAGGTCCTTGCCCAGCCAGACCTTGGGCTCTTACCAAATTTGTGTCAGAGTCAACTCTGATGGAGTCTGTATCTCAGTCATCTTTTTTTTTTGACATGGAATCTCGTTCTGTCTCCCAGGCTGGAATGCAGCGGGGTGATCTCAGCTCACTGCAACATCTGCCTCCTGGGTTCAAGTGATTATCCTGCCTCAGCTTCCCAAGTAGCTGGGGCTACATGTGCGTGCCACCATGCCTGGCTAATTTTTGTATTTTTATTAGAGACGTTTCATCATGTTGGCCAGGCTGTGCTCAAACTCCTGACCTCAAGTGATCTGCCTGCCTTGGCCTCCCAAAGTGCTGGGATTACAGGCATGAGCCACCATGCCCGACCTCAGTCATCTTTTATCCTCCACGCCTGGCAAGTTCTAGACACACTGTGGTTCCATACAAATTTGTTGAATAAATAGGAGACAGATAGAAAGTGGGAACTCTGCAAGTAGAGAAGATTCCAGAAATTGTGCATATTTCCCAGAGACTGTGGCCAAATTCCTCAGTCCTGCCAGAGTTTCTCTATCTAAACTCAAACTTTAAGTGTGGCCCCAGACACAGTGGCTCACAACTGTAATCCCAACACTTTAGGAGGCTGAGGTGGGCAGATCACTTGAGGCCAGGAGTTTGAGACCAGCCTGGCCAACATGTTGAAACCCTGTCTCTACTAAAAATACAAAAATTAGACAGGCATGGTGGTGTGCAACTGTAGTCCCAGCTACTCGGGGGGCTGAGGCACAAGCATTGCTTGAACCCAGGAGGTGGAGGTTGCAGTGAGTCACGATTATGCCACTGTACTCTAGCCTGGGCAATAAAGCAAGACTGTCTCGAAAGAAAAAAATACCCTTATGTGTGGGGCTTGTTACAGAATTAATGTTTATATGGACAATATGTACATGGGTGTATGTTAAGAGCATGAGTCATCCACAAGATTTTAGCAAAGTCCATTTACAAAGCTCAATGTTTTCGGCTTCCACTTGCCTTGCTGCCTCTGTCCTCAGAAGGAGGCTTCATCCTTCCATGTAACCAGCAAATCCTTTATGCAGAGATGTACACAACACACTCCTATCCTTGGCTATGACACCTTGAAAAGTTCCACTTGGTGGCCCCTGGTGCTCATTTCAGAGTAGTTCAAATTAAGGTGATCAGCTTTCATGCCAATCACTCTACAAATCACTCCTATTATGACCAATTTTTCTAAATGCTTTATTGAATTATTACTTAAAGAAATGTGCACATAGAAGAGGTCAACACAGTACTTTTCTTACAAACTGAACATACTGGCCAGGCGCAGTGGCTCATGCCTATCATCCCAGCACTTTGGGAGGCCGAGGTGAGCAGACTGCTTGGGCCCAGGAGCTCGAGACCAGCCTGGGCAACATAGTGAGACCCCCCTCTCTACAAAAAATAAATAAATACAAAAATTAGGCAACAGTGATGGCACCTGCCTGTAGTTCCAGCTACTCAGGAAGGCTGAGGTGGGAAGACTGCTTGAGCCCAGGAGGCAAAGGCTACAGTGAGCCAAGACGGTGCCACTGTGCTCCAGCCTGGGTGACAGAGCAAGATCCTGCCAAAAAAAAAAAAAAAAAAATTGAACGTCTCCATATTACCGACACCCAATTCAAGAAACAGAACATTACAGCCCCTTCCAGGATGTTCCTGGGGTCTCTTCCATCTCTACTAACGCCTGACTAAAAACAGCCTCTACCTATTTCACCAGACATTGTACTTTATGAAAGCAGCAGTTCTCAGATGGGGCTATTTTGCTCCCTGGGGACATTAGGCAATATCTGGAGACACTGGGGGTTGTCTGTACTTGGAGGAAGTTGTGTTACTGCATCCAGTGACTCCAGGGATCCAGGCATGCCGCTCAACATCCTAAAATGCACAGGGAACCCCCACACATACAACAGAGAAATTGCTGAGCCGAAATGTCAGCAGCCTCACAGCTGACACCCTGACATACACAGAATCACACAGTATCTGCTCTTTCGTGCTCAGGATCTCTGTCATTCTAATCATTTCAGAGGAAACAGAAATGTCATTTGGAGGTAGGTAGAGTCCAAAACAAAGAAGATCCAGAGTTTTGTTTTTAATCAGCCTGGTGCCTTTAGAGCTAGGATTTAGTTTCCGTTCTTTCTGTCTCATTTTCAAGTGACTTTTCTTCAACTGGCATCTTCTGGGCTCAAGACCTGGAGATCCCCACAAACCTGAGATTCACATGGGAATTTTCTACACACCCACACAGGTATACATTGCCATTTACATGCAGACATCAATCCACAGATACACACATCCGGAGACCAAGACAGAAAGCAAACTCCACCATAAAAGCACGGTTCCCCGAATAGGAGAAATGCACCATTCACTCCAGGGAGGTACCTATTTGTTTAATTCAGCCTCTGATAGGCTGTTGCCAAGCCCAGCTCTGAAAGTCTTCCCCTCTAGGAAAGAGAGATGGATTTTTTCTTTACTGAAGAATATGGATCTAAAAAAAACAAACACTTCTGCATCTCAAAGCAGGCTCTACCTCCTGAGCTACACATATTGATCAGCATTTTATTGTCAATTTTCTTTTATTTGAACTGGAGAAAAATATAACCTAATTGTGTTCTTACTGACAGTTTGGAATCGGTCACACTAAATCCAATTCTCTGGGTTCTCATGATTAAGGTGTTTAATTTGGGGGACAACAAAGCAAAAGCATTGGTCGTGTTTTAATATAATTAGTACAGGATATATCTAAGGGGTTCAAGTATCACTGTAGCAAGAAGCTCATTCTGCAGTAAAAGGGGGATTCTGCCACTAGGATTGAGTGAGGGTGGTTCATGGCTGCACCGTTTCATCAATGTCTCTTCAAGAGTCCATGGAATGTGGAATGGGAAATACTGAAATAGTCCAAGTCTTGGCTAAGCTTCTATTAAGGGGTGTTAGGAGCTGATAAAATAACCTGGTCTTTATAGGCATCCCACACTGTAGTTCTCTAAGCTACAGATTCTCAGATTTTTCTATTTTATAAACCAGTAAAAATATTTTATTAATTTGAGAACCAACATAAGGTTGCTACTTTTTTTTCTTTTTGGTAAGAAGGAACTTTTTTAAACTACCAGTTTTACACACACACACACAAACACACACACACACACACATACACACAGAAATTCCACCATGATTGGTCAGAATAGGTGAGGTTTTGCTGCAATAACAAACAACTCCTAAATCTTGGTAACTTCAAACATCAGAAGTTGTTTTTCTCACTCATGCTTCATCTGCAGGGAGGTGTGGGGTGCTCTGTTTCCCATCAAACTTGCCCTAAGACTAAGGCTAATGGGGGCTGCAATACCTCAAGTATCACCAAGCAGGGAACAGAGGGAGAAGAATGCTAGACAGTCTTGTACTAGGAATTAAATACTCCAGGCTAGAAGTCTAACACTGCACTTCTGCCCCCAGCCTCTTGGCCAGTACTAGCCACATCCCCTCCCCCACCACAGGGCAATGCATGAAGACAGGAGAATTGGATACATTACAAAGTTCTACCCCATGGCATTTCATAAAAGAGAAAAAAAATGCAAATACAAAAATGTTTTAATAGAACAGAATATATACATTTTTAGAATAAAGAACAATCCTCCAAAAAGGACAGCTGGTGGTCTTTCACCAGTGGGTACATTTCTGTGACACAGTCTCTGTTTTTCCATTTTATCCTTGACCTATGAACATTTTATACAGATGGTCCAAAGAACACCATTTGGGGACCACTGCTCTAATCAGGTGATGAAAACGGCCCCAAGAACAGAGCACAGTCTTTTTAGCAAAGACCCAGCAGGGCCAGGGTGACCATGTTCTCACCATCAATGTGCACACATCCACCTGCAGCATCCTCACATCCCAACATCAAACAGTGGCTCTTTATAGCTTGATTCTAATGCCCTTTGATCTTCATCATCATTGTAAAGCTGTCTGGCCCCTAGATCTAACATCGCCACTCTAGCTACATCCTGCAACTGTTCACCTCTCCTGCCTCCTCATCCCTCTAAACTTCTCTTCACAACCTCATGTTTCCTTCTTGCTTTACCTTCCTGCTCAGCCTGGACCTTACAGTCACCTTCTTGTAATGTGCTCCTAAACGCGTTCTTCCCTGCCTTCAACCACACCCACCTGGAAAATCTCCATACCCCATTGATGACTTGCCTCGCAACTGCCCAAGGGCTGCTGAATGATACTGGGAAGAATCACAACATGGATCTGGTAGTTCCACTAAATAATCTCACCATCCAACTCTAGGGTAGACTTCACTTCTGTTCAGCAATATTTTTAAGCGTGACAAATAAATTCCAAACCATATTTGCTATAATAATTAACTTTAAACCTCTTCCATATCTCAAAGCCCCCCAAACCCATCCCTAGGGGTTTCAGAGCCCAGAGTTGAGTTCTCTCAACTCACTTCCATCTCACCCCTAGATCACTGTATCTTGACCCTCTTCCTCTGCCTTTCCCATCTTATAAGGAGAAGCATCATTCTCCTTTCCCAAGCTACCTTCTCCACTTGTGCCTCATTTGAGACCTCCCTTTATCACCCATTCCCTTGGAACTCCCATGACTCACCACCTTCACTTGTCATTTCACTCATAAATATTTCGCACCATGTATGTGCCAGGCGATTAACATATAATCATGCTTAAGTCTCCACATGCTAACAGGAAAAACCTTGATTATCCCTGCTATGCCCTCAAGTCATTACCCTCCCCTCTCCTTTCCTGTGTTCCCAAACTTTGCTGATCTTCATCAATCCCTCTGATGCAGATGGCTCTGAAGTCTGCATCCTAATTAGGTTGGTGCAAAAGTAATTGTGGATTTTGCCATTAAAAGTAATGGCAAAAACAGCAATTATTTTTGTACCAGACTAGTATCTTTTCTCCTTCTACACAACTTTGTCCCTGAGCCATCTCATCACCTATAACTACCTCCTCCATGCAGTTGATTCCCAGGTCTGTATTATTCTACTGAAAGTCCATTCCCCAACTTTCTCGGCTGGAATAACAGAAGCCCAATTAGAATTCATGCTACCAGTTTCCCACCACCACCACCACCACCGTCGCCCTGCCATTGTTAGCAAAACCATCTCTTGAGTGGAGCTCAAAGATTTTTAATCTCCCACTCCCCAGAAAGATAAATTCAGACTCAGCCTAGAAGTAAAGATCCTCCAGATATGGCCTCAACTACCCTCCAACCCATGTCCCCAGTGTATCCTTTTGATGCCCCCTTCAGTGGAGTTAAAACGGAGTGAATGTTTTTCTTTTCACATACTCCTGGTGTTCTTCCACAGATACAATTTTCACCTCTTGACTATTTTCAAGGATTCTCCATGCTACACACAGAGAAATCCAAACTCCCCATCAGGACCCCAGTCTTCCCAAACCCTCTTTGCACTTTTCTGACTCCATGCTTTTCCTTGGGTCATCTTCTTCTCTAATATAACCTTGTGTATTATTCTAGGTTCTCCAGAGAAAGAACAGAGAGATAGAGGTAGAGCTATACACATAGACAGAGACAGACTGATTTGTTTTAAGGGATGGCTCACATGGTTATGGAGGCTAAGGAGTCCTGGAGTCTGCAGCCAGCAAGCTGGAGACCCAGGACAGCCAATGACAGAGTTCCAACTCGAGTCCATATCTAAAGTCAGGAGAATATTGATGTCCCAACTCAAATATAATCAGGTAAAAAGAGCAAATTCTCTGTGACTCTACCTTTTTGTTTTGTTCAGGCCTTCAGTGGATTGGATGAGGCTTACCCACATTGGGGAGGACAATCTGCTTTATTCAGTCTACCAATTAAATGTTATCCTCATCCAGAATACCTCAGAGACACACCCAGAATAATGTGTAGCCAAATATCTGGGCACCCCACAACCCAGTCAAATTGATACATAACACTAACCATCATGTCTTGCTTCTACTCTCTCCACATTACTGCATGTCCAAATCCTTCCCTTATTTCAAGACTTAGGTCAAATGTTACCTCTTAACTAAGCCTTCCCTGCTAACCCCAAATATTAATAGAATTGGTTTCTCCCTTCTCTGATGTCTCAAAATATGTTGTGTTTCTCTTTTACTGTATTTATTATAAACCCTCTTATAAATCAAGACAGTGATTCCCAGACAAATTATCAAAAGAGTATAAAAGAAGTCTTCTTTGAGTTTGAAATATCTCATGGAATATAGTACATGGCCTCTTCATGAAGAAACTACTGGGAGAGAAGAAGACAAGCTGGAAGAGACCAGGGAAAGGGGGTTAGTACAAAGCACAATGAGGCTGTGCTCATACAGTGGCTCACACCTGTAATCCCAGCACTTTGGGAGGCCAAGGCCAGCGGATCACGAGGTCAGGAGATCGAGACCATCCTGGCTAACACGGTGAAACCCCGTCTCTACTAAAAATACAAAAAAGTTAGCCAGGCACAGAGGCAGGCACCTGTAGTCCCAGCTACTCGGGAGGCTGAGGAAGGAGAATGGTGTGAACCCGGGAGGCAGAGCTTGCAGTGAGCCGAGATTGCACCACTGCACTCAAGCCTGGGTGACAGAGCAAGACTCCATCTCAAAAATAAATAAATAAATAAATAAAGCACAATGAAATGTCAGTGGATGGGTGCCTATAATTTCTAAGGGAAATAGAGTATAATCCAAGAATTTTATAGCCAGCTAAATTATTGCCCAATCAAAATAGGCAATAGACACTATCACAAGTTCAAGAACTTAAAGAATACAGTATTTCTGAGCTCTTTAAAAAAAAAAGTCTTCATAATAAAATTTAGTCAGCCAAGAAATTAAAAAATAAGCAACTTGTGAATTGAATGACCATGACAAAAGGCTAATGATGAGAGGTGAATCCATTTAAAAATAGGACTATGATTGCAGAACAGAAAGAGAAGGTGGTCAACCTTAACAACATAAAACAACCTAGAAATAACTAGTTTCCAGAGGTAAAGGGAGGGACTGTAGGAAGTAGAAGTGTTAATGCCCTTTATTAAGTTAATTAATCAGGTCTAAAATTGAAACGTGGTTTTAAATATATAACTTCTTGTTTATTTTCCTCCCTAACTACCTGAGGATCAACCACCATCATGAATGGCACAGTAACTA
Organism: Homo sapiens; assembly: GCF_000001405.40. Lineage (NCBI taxonomy): Eukaryota > Metazoa > Chordata > Mammalia > Primates > Hominidae > Homo > Homo sapiens. The sequence goes on along the minus strand of NC_000008.11, from coordinate 7,113,709 downwards.
TCTGGACCAGGAAGTTCATGACCAATCGACCACTCCAGAGGAAACAAATGGTCACCAATGTCCTTCACCCCGGAAAGACAACAAAATGTACAAGACCACAATATGTGTCATCTTCATATTAATAGTTGGACTCAGAACCCATGTTGGTGGTGGTTAAACAATGGGCTTTGGCATGCTATCTGGTTCTTTGAATTATGCAAAGAAAAATGAACTCAAACATAGACTTGCAAGACACAGCTGGCATGAGAAGAAGATGACCTCAAGAAAACAGCAACAGGAATGCAAGGGCAGAAAGAAGTCAAGAGACTGCAAAGGCCAATGTCAGTGCTGGCAAAAAGCAAAAGGAGTAAAGATTTTGCAATGACTTTATTTGCAGTGACTGTACAAATTTTTCATGAGATGATTAATAAACTGTAAAGACTTCTACATATATATAAAACATCTTAATAGTTTTCATCATCTTTGATTTCTTTGACGTTCTAGAAACTGATTTTTAGTGAGGAAAAACTACATTTATCTGAGTTGACCAGTTCCTTCAGTTTCACTTCCATTTCTTTTTCTTCTGATAAATTTACACAGCATTCAATTTGCTACTTCTTTTTAAAATCTGATTTTGTGCTATCAGAAGTGTCTGTTCATGTCTCTAGCCATCTTTGTGCATAGCAAGGAATGTTGTTCACTTAATATTAGGAGGTTTATTTCTTGGGGTCGTGAGATTTGGGGTGATTTCTCTCCCTTTTTGTACTTTTCTGTATTAATTTTTTGAGACAATGTCACCAATGTCCTTCATATTAATATTTGGACTCAGAAACCATTTTGGTGGTGGTTAAACAATTGTCACCTACATTGGAGTGCAGTGGTACGATCTCAGCTCACCAAACCTTCGCCTCCCAGGCTTAAGCAATTCTCCTGCCTCAGCCTCCCCTGTAGCTGGGATTACAGGCGCGCACCACTACCGCCTGGCTAATTTTTATATTTTTAGTAGAGGTGGGGTTTCACCTTGTTGGCCAGGCTGGTCTTGAACTCCTGATCTCAAATGATCCACCCGCCTTGGCCTCCCAAAGAGCTAGGATTACAGGCGTGAGCCACCGTTCCCAGCCTTTTCTGTATTAAATTTTTAAAAACATAACATTTAAAATAATCATTATTCTTTTTGAATCTACTTTGTATTATAGGTATCCAAATACTCACCTATTCTCTCTTACGTGATGACAAACTTGTTGAAATGTCATTTCATTTTGTGGCTCCAGCCCCAGGGATTCTGATTCTGATTCTAAAGGGTCTGCATACAGAGCGAGCAAGCCGCCTGGATGATTCTCTTGCAGGTGTTTTAAGAGCAGGAGCTTGAGACACCCTGATGCAAAAGAACGAACCCTCAAGGAAGTTAGCTGTACATGCATTTTCCTTCCTAGCACAGGAAACGACAGAAAGATTATCCAATCAGTAGCACTCATAGTACCTGATTATATGTGTATGAGGAATTCAGAAATGGTTTGATCAAGGCTGAAGACCTAAAAAGAGGCTCTGCTCTTGGACACCAAGTCCCCATCTCATGCGTGGTTGAGTTAGTAGAAACTGAGGATGATGCTTCTTCCTCCAGCATTGGTATCCCATGGTTTTTGTTCAGTAGATGAAGTATCTCCATCCCCCAATATCCCCAAGCTCTATCCCAGTTTCCTCACATACACTTTTTTTTTTTTTTTTTTTTGAGACAGAGTCATGCTCTGTCACCCAGGCTGGAGTTCAGTGCAGTGGTGCAACCTCAGCTCACTGCAACCTCCACCTCCCAGGTTCAAGCGATTCTCCTGCCTCAGCCTCCTGAGTAGCTGGGATTACAGGCATGCGCCATCATGCCTGGCTAATTTTTGTATTTTTAGTACAGACAGGGTTTCACCACGTTGGCCAGGCTGGTCTCAAACTCCTGGCCTCAAGTGATCTGACCACCTCAGCCTTCCAAGTGCTAAGATTACAGATGTGAGCCACCGTGCCCAGCCTCCTCACTGACACTTTTACAGAAGACCTGATCATACCCACTCCGCAGAAGTCAGAATGGCCCCCACGTGGTGTTAAAAGGGAGTGAAAACTTGAGTTCAATCAACTGAGGGTGACACAGAAACAATTCCCCCAAAATGCTTTTGGCAGCTTTGCTGATCCATAACCTTGCTCCATTTCAGGGCAAGACTTCCACTTAAGCTGCACTGGCTTCCACTAGAGTAAGTCACATTAACTCATGGTAAACACAACTGAAGGGCAAAAAGATTCTTTTTAAAATGATTTTTGTCTCTCACTTACCAGCACACGCTGGCCTCCCTAGAGCCTGACTCCACTCAGCACCTGTTCCACTGAGCACCCACTGAAAGCTCAGCTCATGAGCTGAGATGACCCAGACATCAAGGAATTTACAATACAGGGGAAAAACAGATCTGAATACAAGGGGTGACAATACAAGACGGAGTCAAAGAGCCCAACTTGAAGTTTCAGCAGAATAGCACCAAAGACTAGTTCCCAACCCAGCTCCCAGAGCCAGAGCCAGAGCCAGAGACAGGCTGGCTGCATGAGATCACCTGGGAGCTTTTGCAAACATAGGTCCTAGCTGAGCCCCTAATCATCAGACTGGGAGTCACTGGGAGTGAGCTCCAGGAATTGGTGTATTTAATAAGCACCCACACACACATGATTCTGATGTTCCTAAGGGTTGTAGAAACATGGAACTATGGAAAACACTAAAAAAAAAAGGCACTAAAAGAAACCTATAAATATTCACTACCATCCCAGGCATCATGAGGGTGCTCCACGTGCACTATTTACAATACTTAGAATAACCTGCAAGGGAGGCATTCATTCATGATGGGCTTTATCGGGATCAGAGCCAGCCCTGGGAATGCTTGAACCTGCGATGAAGGTCACCCCCTTCTCCCCACAGCAGGGGGCTAATATTAAGGAGCAGGGGCCAGATGGGAAATGGAGTGTCCTTTTATTATGAGACCACGGTGAGAGACCTTTTTTTTTTCCAGAGTCTCATTCTTGCCACACAGGCTGGCATGCAGTGGTGCAATCTCAGCTCACTGCAACTTCCGCCTCCCGGGTTCAAGCGATTCTTCTGCCTCAGCCTCCTGAGTAGCTGCGACTATAGGCACCCGCCACCACGCCTGGCTAATTTTTGTATTTTTAATAGAGACAGGGTTTCACCATGTTGGTCAGGATGGTCTTGATCTCTTGACCTCATGATCCACCTATCTTGGCTTCCCAAAGTGCTGGGATTACAGGTGTGAGCCACCACGCCTCGCCTGAGACTTTCAAGTAAAGCCACAATGGACCACAGAGCTTAGACATCAGGGCTAACATGGAATCTCTGTCATTAAATCTTGAGATCTTATTATCTTTGCTCAAAGAAAAAAATAATCACAATTGACATTTTGAGGACAAGACATCTGAATGTAAACTTGATCTTAGAGGATATTAAGGAATTATTGGTAATTTGATTAGGTATGACAATGATCATATAAAAAATGCCCTCATGTTTTTAGAGGGAAAGTAAATTACGTAGGGGTGAATATCAGGATGCAATTACATAACTACTGTGAACTATTTTTTAAATACTTCAGAAAAACAAATAGAGTAAATATTGCAAATGTTAATAGTTTTTAAACCTATGTGATGGGTATATGATAGCTCATTCAACTGGTCTCTCTACTTTTATGTATATTGACAATTTTTCATAATAATAATAATAATAAACCTTGGCCAGGCAGAGAAGCTCATGCCTGTAATCTCAGCACTTTGGGAGGCCAAGGTGGATGGAGGACTGCTTGAGCCCAGGAGTTTGAGACCAGCCTAGGCAACATGGTGAATCCTCATCTCTACAAAAAAATAGACAAATCAGTCAGGCATGGTGGTGTGCACCTGCAGTCCCAGCTACTCAGGAGGCTGAGGAGGGAGGATCACCTGAGCCCAGAAGGTCAAGGCTGCAGTGAGCAAGGTCATGACACTGCACTCCAGCCTGGGCGACAGACCCTGTCTCAAACAAACAAACAAGCAAACCAAAACCCTCTTGATCCCATTTCCCAAAAAAATGATTTTTTTGAGAGCTTACCATCTCCTGGCTTGGTGCAGAGTACAGGAAATCAAGACAAAGTACAGCACACAAGGAATAAGGAGGGAGGGAAGCGTGGGGGAGGCTGACACCGTGGACTCTCCCAGCTCAGTCGACCCATGCGCCTTGCTTTATGGAAGAAAGGAATGGAAGATGAGTCATGCCTTCAGCACACAGTGATCTTCCTCACTAGTAAATGTGCCTCCAGAAGTGTCCAAGAACTCAGTGCCAGAGCCAGGCTGTCTGCATGAGAATCGCCTGCGAGCTTTTGCAAACATAGGTCCCTACTGGGCCCAAATGTATTCGTCTCTTGGAGAGGAGGAGAGAGGCAGAACAAGGAAAAGGATGGGAAGAAACCAGCCTTGTGCACAGGAGGATGCTGGGATTCCTCCTGCACATTTAGCGCAATGCAGCCTATTTTACAAGGTCACAGAAGCTCAGAGAGGTAAACCTGCCCAGGTTCTCATAGCTTTTAACTGGCAAAACCCGCCCAAATCTCTGTCTCTAGAGATGTTTCCACTTGCTTCAACTCTGGAGCTGTCTTAGTTGTAAAGACGACAGATTCCACTCATCACTCACTTTTGTTTGCAGATATTGCCTAAGGTCCCTTGTGAATATTTAGGTCAGGGCTGTTTTTTTGAGCATTTTGTTTGTTTGTTTGTTTCTTGTTTTTTTTACAAAGCAATCTTGTGGTAAGAACCCAAAGTGGCTCCCCCATTTAAGACCCTGTAAACAGAGAGATGAGAGTCTGGATTCCTGATCTGGTTTCCACCCTTCCTTAGATTTCCCTGTGTGTAAAATCCAACAACAATATTTGACAAATTGCCTCCCCTAGGGGAGAGATGGAGGAAGTGTTAACTTTGCTTTTTTTTTTTTTTTTTTTTTTTTTTTCTGTTTTCAGACAGAGCCTCGCTCTGTCGCCCAGGCTGGAGTGTAGTGGTGCCATCTCGGCTCACTGCAACCTCTGCCTCCTGAGTTCAAATGATTCTTGTGCCTCAGCCTTCCGAGTAGCTGGGACTACAGGTAGACGCCACAACACCTGGCTAATTTTTGTATTTTTAGTAGAGATGGGGTTTCACATATTGGCCAGGCTGGTATCGAACTCCTGGCCTCAAGTGATCCACCCCCCACAGCCACTCAAAGTGCTAGGATTACAGGCATGAGCCACCATGCCCAGCCACTTTGCTATTTTTTTTTAATACACACCTTCGAGGTCCAGTATGATTTCACAGATTAGGAAACATCACAGGCAAAGAAGAACACTTTGCATTCAAATAGCAGAATGTTTTCATTTTCAAGGAGCTCTCACCTGCCATCTAATCTTGTCTTCCTAGCAGTCCTGGGAGAGAAGCAGATGTGGTTTTCAATCCCACTTTCCAGAAGAGGAGACTGAGGCAGAGGCTTTGCAGATACACAGAGGACATGTGAGGACAGGTGAAGGTCATGATCATTGTCAGCCCACTGCCCCAGCTGGACATTCCCAGATCTGGTGGACTTCCAGCCAGAGGAGACAGAAGGACTGGATCACTCAACTCTGCCATGGGTGCCAGGACCCAATTTTTCCCTGGCTAACTCGGTCACCTCCTGTCTGGGATCTCCAACTACTACCCATCCCACAAGTCTCAGCTAAAACAGCAATTCAACGGGGAACTTTTTTCTGACGCTCCAAGATTGGGCCACGCCCTCTCCATGGCTCTCTGCCCTTCCCCTACTGCAGAACTTAGCACCTGTATGTCACTACTGGTTCAAACATTGTGTCTTTCATATGCTCTCCACGTTATCTGCAGCATCTGCCAAGAATAATAATGAATGGCAAAACCTAATCTCTATTGAGTGTCGATGATGCACTTTTAATGTGTCATCTTATTTAATCCTCACTATATCTGCAAGAGTAGAAGCTATTAATAGCCAATTTTCAGATAAGAAAATCAAAGCACAGTTTCTATAACTTACCCAAGCAGCTAGCTAGGAGGCAGCTCAATTTGAGCCCAGGGAATCAGATTCCAGAAACCATGTTCTCAATTACTAGAACAGATACCTCCCCAGAATCTAGTAGGTGGTTAATGAGTCTTTGTGGAATAAATGAACAGAAGGACAAGCAGTGGATGGATACGTAGGTGGGTAGGTGGATAGATGGGTGGATGGAAAGATGGGTGGGTGGGCAGATGGATGAATGAATGGATGGTTGACTCGGTGAAGGGATGGCTGAGTGGGTGGAGAAATGGATGAGTGGGTGAGGGGGTGGAGGGATAGATAAATGGATGGACCGGTGGGTGGATAGATGGGTAGATGAGTGAATAGGTGGATAGAGTCATGGGTGAGTGGATGGATAGATGGGTTGGTGGGTGGGTAGGTGGATGATAGCTGCGTGCATAAGAGAGTGGGTTGGATGGATAGATGGGTGGGTGGGTGGACAGATAGGTAGGTGTGTGGATGGATGTATGCGTGTCTGGATGGATGGATGGATGGATGGATGGATGGATGGATGGATGGATGCATGGATGGATGCATGGATGGATGCATGGATGGATGGAATGGTGGATGGATGGATGGACAGATGAACAAATGGACTTGAGCATTTATTCAGGGTCCTCCAAAGAATTGAGTGATTTCCTAGGGTGTGTCATCACCTGCAGGTGTGTGGGCAAGGCGGCTTGCCTCTGTAATACTCATGATTATGGGTAGTGCTCAGCCTTAGTCGCCACTCTCAGAACACTTTATTGACTAGGAAAGTCAAAACTGGCACTGACAACTAATGCAAATTACAGCTATAACTAACAGAAGATGTTGAGTGATGACAGCTGAGCAACCAATAATCAATAACTTGGCTGTGTCATGTTGCTGCCATGCTGGACAGGTTGAGTCACGGGTTCCTTGATCCCTCCATCCCATTGAGGTTGCTTATCAAGACTTCCCCAACCATGGGGACAGGGATCTTATCAAATGCTTGCAGTTCACCCCAAAAGGCTCACCCTCTTCGTTCCACCTGCACATGACCTTCAGCTCAAAGACATTTCCAGTCCTCCAGGTCAGCCCTTCTTCCAGCCTTTGAATTAACCCTGATGACTGTCTGCCCATTAAGTGTCTTCACCATTCATCACACAGCCTTTTCCAAGGCTTTCCTTCAGTCCAGCCCTCACTAAACGCTGGAACTGTTGTTGACAAAATCCAGAACAAGTTGGCTGGGAGATACAGGTGGGAAGCAGGCTGTAGTAATGGGGAAAAATTCTAAGCAATCTCGAACACAGAAAAGAAACTGAACAGGTAAGAGAGAGGCAGTCAAGAGAAGAAGTGTTAATTTTGCATAACTGAAGCTGTGGAAGATCAGGGGGCATGGCAGACCACAAGATAAATATGATATAGACTCCTTTTTAAAAAAGTATAAACACCCACCCTTTCTTACTGACAACTGTGCTTCAAATATTGCTAAGGTCTTTACTAAAGGCGAGTCAGAAAAACGGGGTATTTTATGCAATACAGTAAGAAGGCCCATAGGCAAGCATGTTCCTGACACCACCTTCTAGGATAACCCCTGGGATTCTGGTTACACCTGTCCTAAAGTTGTCTCTCACTCCTGCTGTTGGAGAACTACCATGACAGAAGAACCATAGTGAAGTGGTTAAGAGTGTGCACCCAGCGACCAGCCAGATGGCTTCAAACCATCACTATCTAATACCGAGCAAGTTACATAATGTCCCTGAGCCTCAACTTTCTCATCTGTAAAATGGCTATGCCATCATTCATTAATCAAATTCTAGGTGAGCATATACTAAACACCAGAGACACAAATGAGAATCAGGAACAGGCATGGCCCTGGCCCTCATGGTGACCACAGTCTTGAAGGGGAAGGATGACACGCACAGAAATAGGAAGCCATAGCTGAGCTCATGACATCTGGTGTCATGAAAGCAGTTAACAGGGGGTTGCTGTGACTGAGTCAGTGTGGCGGCCAGGTGTCCCTGAGGATGTAGTGACTCCACTGTCAGATGAGACCATGACCAGGTGAACAGGTAGGGAGAGGGAAAATCGTTCCAGGCAGAAAAAGCAGGATGTGCAAAGGCCCCGTGGCAGGAAAAGAGCAAAGGAAGTGCAAGAGCCTGAAAGAGGCCAGAAAGAACAAGTGAACATGTGGATAATCACAGCACGCACCTCATAGAGGACTTGCAAGAAACTGAGACACTGTCTGTAACAGATTCAGCAATGACTAAATAGAAACTATCTCCTAAAAGCACAGGATGAAACTCCTTGGTGGTATTTCCCATGTGAGGCTGCCATGGACTCAGAGGCCAAGTTCAACCTGCCTGTAGACAACCTCCAAGCCAGCTGGACACACATACAGCCTCAGGCTCAGGATACCCAGGACAGAGTCCTGGATGCTTGAAGTCACGATAAGTATCCAGAATGACACAGAATTCCGGCCAGGCATGGTGGCTCACATCTGTAATCCCAGCACTTTGGGAGGCCGAGGTAGATCACCTGAGGTCAGGAGTTCGAGACCAGCCTGGCCAACATGGTGAAACTCCCTCTCTACTAAAAATACAAAAAAATTAGCCAGGTATGGTTGTGGGTGCCTGTAGTCCCAGCTACTCAGAAGGCTGAGACAGGAGAATCGCTTGAACCCGGGAGGCAGAGACTGCAGTGAACCGAGATTGCACTATTGCACTCCAGCCTGGGCAGCAAAAGTGAAACTCCGTCTCAAAAAGAAAGAAAAAAAAAAATAATGACACAGAATTTGCTAAAGGGGGAGAAAGGGCTTTCTTCCAAAGCCCTTTCAGATGAAAATTAAGCAGCTCTTTGCAAGCAGCTCTTTGCAAGCACCTCAGAGGAGAACCCCTCACCCTGATGAATCAGGCACACAGGCTGATACAAGACAATTGGCTGCGTGCATGTGAACAAGCCTATGGTGGAAATGCAGTGCTTTATTTGTTTGTGGTGGTTTAATCACCAGCAGGGAGAAGCTTCTAAAGCAGCATTCAGAGGTGGCTGTTGCCTAGGTTTTCTGGAAGGGGGAGGCGGTGAGGATGAGGGCTTCCATTTCATCTGTAGGCCCCTTGCAGAAAGAGCTGGGGAAAGCTTTGCAGCCATCTGCACACTGTTTGCCATCTTGTCTGGCTGGGCAGCTGAGCTCCAGATGGGGGCGGATGGGATAGCTCTTGCCACCGTATTTGGAGAGAGATGGCAGGGAAGTCAGCCCCCATGAAGAAGACAGGAGCACACAGGTGCTGGGCAGTGCTGCCTAGGCCCCTGGGCTGAAGTGTCCAACCCCAGAGCCTCTAGGTGCCACTAAAGCAGCCCAAGAGGACCTTCTCTGTCCATCTCCATCCTGGCACCTACAGACACTTGGAGAGAGTCCTTCACATGGGAACTCACAAATGCACACTGATAACCCCCACACGGAACTCTCATACGTAGCAAGTGAAAAGACAGGATGCCAGTTTAACTTGAATTTCAGATAAACAACAAATCATTTTTTAGGGTAAGCAGGTCCCAAATATTGCATGGGATATATTTGCACAAAAAAAAAAAAAAAAAAAAAAAAAAAAGGTTAATGAGAAATTCAGGTTTAATTGGACCTCCTGTATGTTACCTGGCAAGCCTAACCCTGCATAAACACAACCTCGACCTTGAAACTCACAGAAAAGCCACGGCCGTGCTCACACACGTGCACAAACCCATATGCCTTACAGAGTCAAGGGCTGTGATGAGGGTCCCCACCCTTGCACATTTCCCTGTCCTCTGTCTGGGCTCAGAGTAAACAGAGGGTCACCTGGCATCCAGGTCTAAGCTGGACTTGGAGGTGTCCTAATGAAGCAGGATGCTGACATGCACTTCCCCAGCTAAGCCGGGGCTGCAGCCAGGCCTAGCTTCCAGTCTCGGGCCTAGAACACACAGCACAGCCCCAGACCTTGGCAAGAAGGCTTCATCTCAAGGGCCACTGGTGCAGGACCTATTAGAAGCCCCACTTCTTTCCTCTGTTTCTGCTGCCATTGCCCCAGTCTCTGACCCTGACACTCAATCACTCTATAAACACAGCAGGTACTAGAGGTGGCTCTGGGCTCGGCACTAAAGACAATGCCCCTGGTAAAGCCACAGTCTAGCAATGACAGTCAACCACGTATCAGCAACAGCCCTGCCCCACACGTGCTGACTGCGCACAAGGCCGGCGCTGTGAACGTGCTCTCAACAGTGATCTCACTGAACCCTCATGGCAGCTCTAGGATGCAGACAGTAGCATCACATTATTCCCATTTTACTTTTGAGGAAACTGAGGCCTGAAGGCGGCAAATGCAGGCCTCGAGAATTGCAGTAACATTGCCAGGAATGTTTGAGAAAGCAAACTTCTCCAGAGTGAGGCAGTCTGCCACAGCTCAGAAGCCTGAATACCTGTTAGCAGGGGCTGGGGGGACTGTGGGGTGAGGGCAGACAAGCACGTAGGGGCTGGAACCCCCAGGACACCAGGATGCAGACTGGTGTGAGTAAAAGAAAGAGAGGCGGTCGTGCCATCATCTGCAGAAGATGATGTCTACAGAGGACAGTACCATGTGAGCCCTTGGGGAGCCGGATGACTGGATGGAATTTTGCACAGGATGCAAATTAAGCACAGATCCCCCTCTGACCTAGACAGCCCACCTCCAGGAACATCTCACAGAAATGCAGGCACAGAGCACCAAGTGATGTGTGTAAGGAAATTCATCAGAACACCGTCTGTGATTGGGAAAAGGCGGAAACCATCCAAAGACGTATCGGTGCAGGGCTGGTTAAATGAAGCAAGGTGCATCCACACGTCAGAATAACTGCTGGGAGAAGAAGGTGGTACCCAGGTTCCAACGTGAGACAATGTCAAAGACATGCTGCCTGAAAAGCAGGCTTTCCAAAGAATAAATACGGCATTATTCCATTTTTACTTTTTAAAAAAGTTACAATAAACACTTATATGCAAATACATGTGCTTGTGTGCACAGAGGAAAAAGGTGTGGACAGGAACAGAAAACCAAACTCTGCGGGTTCTCACTCATAAGTGGGAGTTAAACAATGAGAACACATGGACACAGGGAGGGGAACATCACACACCGGGGCCCGTCGGGGGTGGGGGACAAGGGGAGGGAGAGCGTTAGGACAAATACCTAATGCATGCAGGGCTTAAAACCTAGATGACGGGTTGATAGGTGCAGCAAACCACCATGACACATGTATATCTATGTAACAAACCTGCACATTCTGCAAAACATAGAATAAAAAATAAAAGGAAATCAAAGAAAAAGGTGTGGAGAGGTATACCCCAACCCTTCCCAGTGTTACCTCTGAGAAGCAGGACCAAGAAAAGCAAATCAAGAGGATGTTCAGTTTTTTGTTTTTTATATATATATATATATATATATATATTTGGAAACATAGACTCGCTCTATTGCCCAGTCTGGAGTCCAGGGACACAATCTCGGCTCACTGCAACCTCCTCCTCACTGCAACCTCCTCCTCACCGCAACTTCCTCCTCACTGCAACCTGCTCCTCACTGCAACTTGCTCCTTCTGGGTTCCAGTGATTCTCTTGCCTCAGCCTCCCAAATAACTAGGATTACAGGTGCGCACCATCAAGCCCGGCTAACTTTTGTATTTTTTGTAGAGACAGCGTTTCACTATTTTGGCCAAGCTGGTCTCAAACTCCTGGCCCACCCGCCTTGGCCTCCAAAAGTGCTGAGATAACAGGTGTGAGCCACCATGCCTGGCCTGCATTGCTTGAATTCTCAGACCACATGGACCCTCTCATCTGGTCCAATTGCAAGAGTCCAAGGCAGGAAAGGCAGAAGGCAGGGGCTTACCCCTCCATCAGGACAACATAGAACAGAGTCAAAAAAGAAAAACATGAATGGATCAGTCAAAGGGCCATGCACATGCCCTCCCAGGCACCTACACCTTGCAACTTAAGCCAACAAGCTTTCAAGCCACAGAGTCTTCCTTCCTAGAGACTAGCAAGGACACTAGCCCTGGCCAGGCCCCTTTAGGAGGATGGTCTGAGGGATAAGGTCGGGTGCACAGTCAGGGGTAGCAGGAGGAAAGGGGGACACGAAGCCAAGGAAACCAGGGCACCCCATGCTTCCTGAAGGCCACCAGAACAGGGCACCACACAGAGCCCCTGTGTACCTCTTTTTACAACAGCCTGAACACAAGGAAAAGGAAAACAAGGAAAATACACAAAGCCCAGCCTCACCTGGAACAGGTTAAATAAAGGTGTGCGACTTTGTCTTCATGTCCTTTGGAATTGGAAATCCAAGCTTCCTCTTCTGTGCCTTTAAGGTCCTTGTTGCTGCCCCACAGCTCCCTTCTCTGCCCTCCTCCTTTTGTCCTTTTTTTTTTTTTTTTTTTGAGATGGAATCTTGCTCTGTTGCCCAGGCTGGAGTACAGTGGCATAATCTCAGCTCACTGCAACCTCCGCCTTCCGGGTTCAAGCAATTCTCGTGGCTCAGCTTCCCGAGTAGCTGGTATAATAGGTGTCACCATGTCTGGCTAATTATTGTATTTTTAGGAGAGACAGGTTTTCACCATGTAGGCCAGGCTAGTCTCAAACTCCTGGCCTCAGGTGATCCGCCCACCTCGGCCTCCCGAAGTGCTGGGATTACAGGTGTGAGCCACCATGCCTGGCCCTCTTGTTCTAACTCTGCCATCTCTTTGCAGTCTCCCCTGAGCAGCTTTTCCTTGGTCCGCACTGCCCCCCTCCAGAGCTGCACTCTCAAACCACCCCCAATGCCCTCTGGCCCTGGCTCCTGCCCTGGGGCTCTGATCCTCAGCTGGTGAGGTCTAGAGGGTCAGAGGGAGCCAGACTCCCTAGAGAAGCTAAGGCAGGAGCCCTGTGCTGGGATGTGGGTAATCTGCCCCCCTCCAGCTGGGGCCAAATAGAAGGGGGAAAGGCTGACCCCAGAATACAGGGCCCTCAGAGGCCCTGGGGATCTGTGCTGGCAGTCAGGAGGACTGTCACCTCAGTGCAGTTGCCTGCAAGTAGGGCTGTGCAGGAAGCTGCAAGTTGCTCAGAGAACAAAAAAAGGAAATTAAATGCACCATCTGGTTATTAGCAAAAGCTTTTGAGGCAGACACTTAAATATGCATGCCTAGACATTGTAAAACTTGGGGGAAATGTTAATTTCAATAACGCCACTTCTTGTGCTTGCAGAAACCATTCTTTTATCTCCCTTCCTAGTCATTTGGGGACTCCATCCCTCAGAGTGGCAGCGCCAAGACAGCCGGCCTCACTGGGTTTTGTAAGCTGTGCAAGGTGAGATCCCAAGCCCTTGCCTGGAGACCCATCCTAGGAAAACGTTAGAACAGGGCAACAAGTTGCCATTTCCTCCCTCCTTTCTCTTCCCCATACAAAAATCAGAAAGCACACTAGCCCAGTGCCCAGCCACAGTGATGAGGAAACCCCACTCAAAATCCTGGGTTGTGCCCCTGATACCAAAGATCTGCAAAATTGGGACTCATCTGCTGCAACCCTAGCCCAGACTTGTGTACATTTCAGGGGTGGCTGGACTCATGGCCGCCTGGGACGTCAGGGTGGTACAAAGTCCTCTTAATCTAAGACTGTCGGGGTACAAAGATAAGCATTTTTTTTCCTTTTTCTTGAGAGCCAGATGGTAAATAGTTCAGCTTTGCAGGCCATAGGTCTCTGTCCCAACTATTCAACTCTCCATTGTAGCAGGAAAGCAGCCACAGACAATATGCACTGAAATGGGTGTGGCTGTGTTCCAATAAAACTTTATATGTATGAACAGGCAGGGAGCTGGTTCTGGCCTGTGGGCTACAGCCTGCCTCCTCTGCTACAGCGTGATCTCCAAGGACCGATCCGTCTTGTAGACCAGCAGCTGGCACACAGGAGCTGCTCAGATACTTGAAGGAGGAATGGAGAAGGCAAACAGCCCCCAGTATGCAGACGTGAGGGTCTCCCAGCGGCACCATCCTTTGCCATCTCATGCCGAGGGACAAAGCCAGAGCAGGGCTCTCCACCAAGGCGGGGTTCTCCTCCAAGGAAATGTGATAACAGGACAGAAAGCATCGTGGAAGGATAGGGGCTTTGGAGTCCCACAAACCACAGTTTGCAAGACCAGGAGCATCCTGCACTTCCTTGCACACATCCTGGGTGGGTGCTGGAGCATCTAGACTTAGAGTGAATCTTCTCCCCCTCCTCCCCCAACTGGCCTCCATTAAACTTCCAGCAACAATGTGGTGTATATACACAATGGAATACTATTCAGCCTTCAAAAAGAAGGAAATCCTGCCATTTGAGACAACATGGATGAGCCTGGAGGATATTATGTTAAGTGAAATAAGCCAGGCACAGAACAACAAATACCACATTATCTCACTTACATGTGGAATCTAAAAAAGTTGAACTCAGCCAGGCATGGTGGCTCATGCCTGTAATCCCAGCACTTTGGAGGTTGAGGCCGGCAGATTGCTTGAGCACAGGAGTTCGAGACCAGCCTGCATAACATAGCAATAGCCCATCTCTACAAAAAATACAAAAATTATTGGAGCATGGTAGTGCATGCCTGTACTCCCAGATACTCAGGAGGCTGAGGTGGGAGGATTGATTGAACTTGGGACGTCAAGGCTGCAGTGAGCCAAGATCACACCCCTGCACTACAGCCTGGGCAATAGAAGGAGACTGTCTCAAAAAAAAGAAAGAAAAAGAAAAAAAAAAAGTTGAATTCATAGAAGCGGAGTAGAATGATGGTTGCCAGAGTGGGGAAGTGGGCAGATGCCAAAGGACACAGAATGTCATTTTTAGAGAAGAATAAATTCAGGAGATCCGTGGGACAACATGGTACCTATAGTTAATAACAACATATCATACACTTGGGAATCACTAAGAGAGTAGATTTTTTAAGTGTTCTCACCACAAAAAAATAAGTCTGGGAGGTGATATGTTATTTACCTTGATTTAGCCATTTCATAATGTATACATACTTCAATCACATCATGTTGTATACCCTTTTGTACATAATTGTTGCCAATTCAATAAATTCAACAACTCCAAAAAACAAGACATTCTCTTTACAAAAATAATTATTAAAAATAAAATTCAGAATTCTATTGTATTTATTTATTTTTGAAACAGAGTCTCGCTCTGTCACCCAGGCTGGCTGAAGTGTAGTGGTGCGATCTCGGCTGACTGCAACCTCTGTCTCCCAGGTTCAAATGATTCTCCTGCCTCAGCTTCCCAAGTAGCTGGGATTACAGGTGTGTGCCATCATGCCTGGCTAATTTCTGTATTTTAAGTAGAGACAGTTTCGCCATGTTGACCAGGCTGCTCTCGAACTACTGATCTTGGGTGATCCGCCAGCCTCGGCCTCCCAAAGTGCTGGGATTACAACTGTAAGCCACTGTGCCCGGCCAGAATATAAAAGATGGTTTAATTCAACTAAAACATTAAAACATAGATTATATCTATAAGTGTTAATTGTTCTAATATGTTTTGGTCAAAATAGTCTCCTTACCTATCCACAATTAAATGGTTAATTGAGATTTGATTGGATTTTGATGAAGTTTTCAAATCATGATTGACTTTTCCAATGTATAGTAAAATGTGCTTGAAAATATTTCATAACAATTAATATTTAAAAATGGTCAGGCATGGTGGCTCATGTCTGTAGTCCCAGCACTTTGGGAGGCCAAGGTGGGCCGATCACTTGAAATCAGGAGTTTGAGACCAGCCTGGCTAAACCTCATCTCTACTAAAAATACAAAAGTTACTCAGGCATGGTGGTGCACACCTGCATTCCCAGCTACTTGGGAGGCTGAGGCAGGAGAATCGCTTGAACCTGGGAGGTGGGCTCCCCAGGCTTAAAGCAAAACCCCCATCTTGTCTGTCTCCATGCTCATCCCAGGCAATTGCGGTCATTTCCACAGCCTCAACCACTATCTACCTGGGATGCCTCCCAAGCCCGAGTATCCAGCCCAAATCTGCCTTTCTAGCCCCAGACCCATCTGTCCTGGCACACATTGCCCCCTGGGTCCCAAGCAACCTCAGCCAATGAGTCCAACGTCAACTTCCTGTCCTTGCCTGACACTGCCAGCCCTGAGATCAGACCTGACCATTCACCTCCAGTACCTGATAGGTCTGCCAGTCCTTTGGAACATATCCCACGAACATTCCCCAAACCAGGCACCGGACTCCACACATCAGTACCGTCATGTGAGTCACCAGCATCCCTGGCAGGGACCCCTGTCCCAGCCTCCAACTCATCTCCCTCCTGTCCCTTGAGTTCTGTGTCACAATCCAGAGGCCACGAGAAGAAAAATGACAACCATAATGAAATTAAAAGAATTGAGAAGACATCTCCCTATGGTCCAAAGTCTTTCCAACTGAGAAACACATATCAAGATCCAGCCTGCCAGCCCTGTGGTTAAATGTTCCTGAAATAATTAAAGCCCAGGGCAACACAGCCCCCATTCCAAAGTACTCCCAGCATAGTAAGACTTGCTTCTCTGGATGGGCTCGAAATGTCCAGTGTGTACCCTGCCCCTCTCTGTCGTAGCTAACAGGAATGGCTTCATGTCTTCTTCCTGCTCAAAGGACCATCCACCAACCTGTGCAGGCAGCACTTTTGGCCAGGGGAGGATGCGAGAACTTCCCACCATTTCCCACTTACACACTGCATTCCTCAGGAGCCTACCCCACAAATTACAAGAGCGCCACAGCAGACACAACACGTTCCAGCAGGTGGCCATGTCTTCATGTCAGCTTGAAAGATCGTCACCAGGGAAATATCTATATCTCGGCAGAGAGAGCTTCAGCCTGTGTAGTCCAGCTGTGCTCAAATGGAAATCCAGAAACCCAGATGTTGGTCCAAACACCCTGTCTCAGGGAGCTGGCTCTGCAGGTCCCCAGCGTGGGAGTGAACTGGGTGGGCCACCTGCCCTGCCTGTCCACATCCCTGCTTCCTGGAATCCTGGACCCTGAGAACCAGGGGTACATGGTGGGGAACAGGCAAGTCTTGTGCAGAAAGCCAAGATGCCACCCAAATCCACTCTGCAGTCTAGGTGGGTGATATTCTGCTCTGCACCACACCAGTACATGAGGGGATGGAGGATGGAGTCTAGACAACCCAAATGTAGAAACATATTGCCCAAGTATTTTGTGCTTTGTCTGTGTTACAATGCTATGCCCAGCCCAGGGTGGTGGCTCACACATGTGATCTCAGCACCTTGGGAGGCCGAGCTGGGTGGATCACCTTAGGTCAGGAGATTGAGACCAGCCTGGCCAACATGGTGAAACTCCATCTCTACTAAAAATACAAAAATTAGCCAGGTGTGGTGGTGGGCAACTGTACTCCCAGCTACTTGGGAGGCTGAGGCACGAGAATCACTTGAGCCCAGGAGGTGGAGGTTGCAGTGAGCGGAGATCATGCCACTGCACTCCAGGCTGGGCAACAGAGTAAGACTCCATCTTAAAAAAAAAATAAAGATAAATAAATGCTATGCCCAGCATTTTCAATGTACTGTCTTATTATCTCAGTAAATCCCATGTAACCTTCCTATGAAAGTGTATCTCATTTATCTCCATTTTATAGATGAGAAAACTGAGGCCCCTGGAGTTGTATTAATTTTCCAAGACTGCGTTGCTGATAAAGAGTACAGCAGGGACCCAAGCTTGACACTCTCACCCTCAAACATTTCCACAAGTGTAGACCAATGGCTGTCAACTGGAGTGGTTTGGCTCACATACAACTCCCTTGCTCCACGGCATTTGAAACCGTCTGGAGACATCTGGGGTAGCCATAACTGGGAGGGTAGAATGGTACCTAGAGGATGGAGACCACAGATGCTGCTAACCATCTTACAATACACAGGACAGCCCCCCCCCACCACCACCACCATGAATGATCTGACCCCAAATGTTGTGACTGTGCCAAAGCTGAGAAACCCAGGTTTCTCCTCAGCAGGAAGGGAAATCCCTGCAACGTGGATGCACCTCTGCAGGAAGCCCTCTGCAGGAGCCCCAAGCTGAGAATAACCTTCCTGATCTGGTTTCAACCCTGGATGCTTTCAACTGGTGCGTCCATCAAGGATTTCAGGGACTCCAGTGAGTTATTACCCTTGAATGCTCGGTTCTGCCTGACAACCCAGAAGTCTCTGACAAGATGCCTGGTCTTGGGGAAGGCTCAGCAAGTGGTTGAGGTTGATAACCAAATATCTAGGAGAGACTTTTCTCTCCCTCCAGGAGGAGCTGTGGGTCAGACACACCCTGGGATCATTCACAAGTTGTCAATAAAGGCTTGGGGAGGGCCAGGTTTTCTAGGCCTTCTCAATGGGGTCGGTGTTTGTGGATACACAAGAAGCCTGTGAAACTTCTGATATTGGCAGGAAATCAATGCCCCCCACCCTCCACCCCCCCACATCCCCACTATAAACACATGCCCTGCAGCAGGACTTGCAACACAGGGGCTCCTGGGGTCCCGATTTATCTACTAAAACATCCTCTAGACACCATCGAATAAAGCAACCCCTTGCCACCCAACCACAAGATCACACCCTGGGAGCCACTCCAAGGGACACCAAGTCACATTAAAACCTCAGCCATCCTGAGCACCAGGCCTGGTGATGAGAAAGAACATTTTACCCTTAAAAGCATCTGAATGCCCATGCTGCTTCTTACAGAGAAAAGTCCAAAATAATCTGCTATTAAGGAACGAGGATGGTTTTGACATTTTTACCAAGCTAGTGGTCTACGCAGACAAAATCTCATAAAAGGGCACTCTGTTCTTCTTGATCCACTCAGACGTGGCCTGTGAGTGAAGAAACGGGCTCTCCTCCTCAAAGAAATCACTGCTGATCCTCGTACCAGCCTGACACTGCTTCATGGGTTCTTCAGAAAGAGTATTCCCATAGAAACTAAAAAGGAAGAGGAATGTGTCTGGCGGGCATTGTGGGCAGCAGTGGGCTTTGGGCCAAATTTTAAGTTTGAAAATCAAGATTCCCTCTTTTCGAGGGGCCGCTGGACTGAGCAGATACAGACACCGTGAAAAGAGGGTACCATGTTCAGATTCAGGAAACAAGGATGGTTTCTATTCAGTTCCTCCATCATGCTTCAGGTCATGCGATTCCCATTACCCTCTGTGGACCAAACAATTCAGTGGGGTTTCTGTCTTTTAAATATTTCATTATCAACATATCATCCTTTTAGCCTCCAGAAAGCATTTTAACATGAAGATTCTGGCTTAAGACTCTTGTGGGTCTGTCTGTCTCTCTCTCTCTCTCTCTGTCTTTTCCTTGAAACAGGATCTCACTTTGTCACCCAGGCTGGAGTGCAGTGGCATGATCACAGCTCACTGCAGCCCGACCTTCCAGGCTCTAGCAATCCTCCCACCTCCACCTCCAAAGTCCTTGGGACTACAGGCACACACCACCATACTTGGCTTTTGTTTTGTTTTGTTTTTGTTTTTGTTTTTTTGGTAGATATGAGGCTTCACCACGTTGCCCAGGCTCGTCTTAAACTGCTGGGCTCAAGCGATCCCCCCTTCACCCTCTCAAAGTGCTGGGATTATTGGCTTGAGCCACCACGCCAGGCCAAGGACCTTGTCTCTTGTGATGCACCCCAGAACAAAACATCACTGCAAAAACACACTAAGGCATGAGTTTCAGTCCTAAGTCCCATTTATCCGCCATACACTATGTGCCAGGCACAACGCTAAGTGCTTCTATGGACGAGTTTCCCTTAATCTCAGCAGTAACAACCGCAGGCACTGGGGTCTCTAGACAGATCCATTTGCCACTGAAGACAGTAAGGCTCATAGAGGGTAAGTGGCTTGTGCCATGTCAGCCAGCGAAGGAGGGGCAGAACCAGGATCCAAACCCCAGCCGCCTGGCTCCAGACTCCTGTTCCCAAGGTCCCACTACGCTTGGTCACCCTACTGCATTATGGTATCCTGGTCTTTGGCAGAGTCCACGTAAAAGAAGGAGGTAGAGGGAGTGACAGGGACTTTACGCAATAAAGTTTCGTGGTGTTACACTGCCACCGTAATTGTGTTCCCGACCAGTACCTCTCCCTTCTCATCCTTTCCGTGATCGGCCCTGGAAAACCTTCCAGAGAACTGTCCTCCTTCTCCCGGGATCTCAGAGAAAATTCACCTGAGTTCAGTGTCCAGGTGACCCAAGCTCTGAATGCGGTAACGTGCACAGGGAGATGAGGATGTCACCATGAGCAAGCCTCCCAGACAGCATCCAGGAGCAACCCCAAGACTGGGCAGGGGGGCTCTGATGCAGCCCACGGCGAGGAGGGCTGCCCGTGCTGCCTAAATGGGTTCAGAATGCAGGCCGCCCTCTCTCCCATGTGGGGCTCATTAACCACGAATCCAATTATTAAGACAAGCTCAGTTAAGTAAATGGTCAAACATAAAAACATGTGGAAGGAACAAAGAGGTCAACCCCATTATCCATCAAAAACCATCAAGGGGGCAGCACTCACTGAGGGGTACAGCTCTCCAGCAGGCCTTCATCTGCCCTCCAAACTCACGTGCCTCCCCAGTGGAAGGCCAGCAAAGCCACACAGGAAGAGTTGGGGTAGGAAAGCAGAAAGTGAACCCCAGGAGGCCAGGCTGGCCACGGAGCCCCATCCCACACACACAGGCCCGGTGACTCAGGGGCCCACGTGTGCAGGACACCGGGAGCTCATAGGGACAGCGCCCCGGGGGATGCAAGGAACTTTGCCTCTCTGTCCCTCTCTGTAGGGATGGAAAGAGAACAATTTCTGGGATGGAAGCCATCTGCCTCCTCTCAACTCTGGCTGCCCAACTAGAAAGGGAAAAAAAAACAGGAAGATGCGGGACAGGTGAGGAGCTGGGTGAGCGCCACCAGCCCGCAGCCCAGCAGAGCAGGGCTTGGCCAAGCCTGGCGCCAGGGACTTCCCCCCTGCCCCCACCACATGCCCCTCGCCAGGTGAGAGGCACCGACAGACTCCCAGACAGATGTCCCAGACAGGATGCCCAGCGCAACACCCGCCACTTCCCCTGCTGGGGGCCCCCAGGACACGGGGCTGCCCCTCCCCTTTTGGCCAGCCACAGAGTCCAGCGGGTATCCCAGCCAGGGACCTCGTGGGAGAATCAGGAAGTCGAAGCCACACAGCCGAGAAGGGGCAGCTGGCGTCTCGGAGGCCGTCACGAGCTGTCACTCCGCGCCCGCCGGACTTGCCGCTCAATTACCAACTTCAACCCGGGACCGGCCACGGAGCCTCCCGCCGCCTCTACCCCGCGTCCCCGGCACCTCCGCGCCCCCGGCAGCCCCGGACCCCCGCGCCCGCGTCACTTACTCCTCTGCCGTCGCCACCTGTCTAGGTGCCGGTCTCCTCCCTGCCCGGCCGCAGCGCGTCCTCCCCGTCCTCGCAGTCCTCGGGCTGTGCGCTTCCCCCCTCCAGCAACAGCCGTAGCCTCTTCTCTTCGGGAGGGACGTCGTCCTCCTCCCTCCTGGGCCGGCCATCCCTGCCTCGGGGCTTGCCAGTGGCTTCGGAGCTGCCGGAAGGGCTGGCCATGGCTCCAGGGGCTCTGCCTGCACTTGGGAAGAAGAAGCACCCGGCGCGAGCGGCCTCTCGGCGGAGCTGGGGCGTCTGAGCGCGGGCTCGTTGGGTCCGCGCGGCGCGGAGCTGGGCATCCGGCTGGCGCGGGCTCCTCCGCGGGCCGCTCCTGGCTCTCTGGCGCCCTCTGCTGGCCTCTCCCGCGCAGCGCGGACACGCCGGGCCCGGGACTGCGCCGCTCTCACCTGTCCTGGCCCAGGCGGTCGCTGTCCCTTGCCCGTGGCCAGGCCCGCTCTGGCCAGGCCCTGCACCTCCTCCCCGCCCCAGCCAGGTTGCACCCCGATAGTCTCCCTGCCCAAGGAGGAGAGAAGACAAGGGACGCCCGGATAGGGTGGATATCGGCCACAGCCACCTTGTCTTTGCTCTTACCCTGTTTCTTCCATGATTTGGAGGGGGTGGGAAACCCGAGGCTGCTCAAAACTCGTGGAGAATTCCGCCTGCAGGATGACATGAATGCACCTTCGCATTGCCTACCAACAGATCTTTTTTGAGCATCACTGTGGACCAGGCGTGGTGATGGGGGAGGGGATATTGCGGTGAACATGACAGGCATTGCCTTCATCCAGTGGGGCTCAGCGCTGGGTGAGAAGGCATTGAGAATGGACATTGTCAATTCGGCCAAAGGAGGCCAAGGAGAAGTGCTGGGGGCATGGGAACTGAAAAAGACAGGAGGCTCAGCCGGTCTTGCAGCTGGGAGAGGGACAGCAGCAGCGGCTGTTCCAAAGGAAGCAACAGCTGAGAGAGGTCTCAGAGAGTTGTTCTCAGCCCAGTGGAGGGTGTTCAGGCAGAGGGAACAGCGTGTGCAAAAGCCCAGAGGCTGGGAAAGAAGCAGAAAGAGGACTGTGGGGCTGGAGCGTGGTGGGCAAGGGGCGACAGGCGTGGTGGGCGGACAGATTGCCTGGGACCCAGCCGTGCAGGGGCAGAGGAGATAGGGGATCCTTGCAGACCCTCAGCCAGGGCTCAGGCACAGAGACAGTGCAGGTGGGCAAAGGGAGGAGACGTGGAGAAATATTTTGGAGGCATGCCCTGATGAATGAGCCCAGGATGCACCCTTAGTGTCAGTGTGGAGCTCCTTCCTTGGCTGTGTGATGAGCTGAACCCGGGCGTATTTTCTGGACATCGAAGTGCTACACCCAGAGTCCAGGACAGGCTAAGTGAGCACCAGCAGCTCCTGGCCCATCTCAAAAGCAGGAGAGACAGGGGAGACTGGGGAGGCCAGGGAGGAAGGGGAAGCCAGGAAGTCAGGAGAGGCCAGGGATGCAGAGGAGGCCAGGGAGTAAGGGGAAGCCAGGAAGTCAGGAGAGGCCAGGGATGCAGAGGAGGCCAGGGAGGCAGCGGAGGCAGGACAGGCTGGGGAGGCTGTGTCCTTTCCATGATTCTGCCCAGGATCCTAGGCCCCTGTACTCCCTGAGCTTCCCCACCGCAAGCGCTGGAACCATGTTGCACAATGGTCTCCCCACTGAGCTCCTGATGGCAGCCCCTACACTGCTGTGCTCCCTATTTCAACCCTAACAGCTCTCACAGTGGGCAGCACATAGTAGGTGCTCAGGAAACACTGGTGGGAGAGCACGTGGGTCTGCTCAACTCTTTCCTCTCTCCTCCAGCTCTCCCCTGTCACGAAATAATTCTGATAACGACACATGGGCTTTGAGACCCTCTTCTATTACTTTCCAAATGCTAATCCATCTATACCTCACAGCAGCCCTGGGGGTGGGTGCAATGAGGATTCCCATTTTATAGAGGAGGAGACTGACATATAAAGAGGGTAAATGACATAGGCACACTACAAGGGCTGGGGCCAAGTGGTCACAGCACTCAATCCCCAAAGGCAAGGTGGATGCAGTTACCATAAAAGACAGCAGAGTCAAAGCTGCAACCAGAATAGCCTGACTCGCAGAGACCTATGGTGCCAGCTGATCGTGGCTTTCCTAGAAGTGAAAGAGATAAGAAGCCTGCCACATTTTTACTTGATCTGTGTTTGCAGAAGAGTTCTAGGTCAGGTGAGCAGAAGTGTAATCTGAATCATAAAAACAGAGTCACAGTCTCCCGTCAATTCCCAGACGTGAGCCAGTTCACAGACCCGGAGTCACTTGTCTGAATGGGAAGCCAGGTTCCCTCCAGAAAGGACTCTGCTACACTGCCAAAAATTAATACTGTCCATCTTTCTCCCAGCCTGCGCCCAAGGGAATACACAGCCTTTTACCAGGATGACTGAATAGGAGAAAAGGAACTAATGGGACCTGTGCAGGATCACTGGACACAGGCTCTGAACTGGCACTAGGGTGAGACTAGGGTCTACTAG
Organism: Homo sapiens; assembly: GCF_000001405.40. NCBI lineage: Eukaryota > Metazoa > Chordata > Mammalia > Primates > Hominidae > Homo > Homo sapiens. The sequence continues at coordinate 7,089,757 of NC_000008.11, read as the reverse complement.
TCAGAATAGGCATTTTGGAGGTCAGGTGAATGTTGGTGCAAGTTCATGTCATGGTAGATCCATTGGGTCCCCAAATCCAACCTCTGGTTATATACAAAGTGGCCATGTTGAGATTTAAATTCAGGGTATCCAACTTAGAGGCTGGGCTCTTACTCATGAAACATTCTGACACTACTAACCAATTTAAAAATGCAAACACCTCCTGGGGCTAGCCAGAGTACTCCAAACAGTCATGTAAATTGGTTCTGTCAAGGATTTCCTCCTACACACCCCCCCCACCCCAACCCGAGAGCCAGTTGCAAGGAGAGACTAGGGAAGGGCATTGGGTAACTTTGTTGCTAAAAGTCTTCTGGATAAAGAAGAGCTTTATCCAGGAAAAAGAAGCAAAATAGAGTTCAGCAGAAGTTGAGAAAAGAAGCAAATAGAGTTCAGCAGAAGAGGTAAGAAAGTAAGTTTATGTTTGACCAGGCATGGTGGCTCACGCCTGTAATCATAGCACTTTGGGAAGCCAAGGCAGGCAGATCACGAGGTCAAGAGATCACACCATCCTGACCAACATGGTGAAGCCCCGTCTGTACTAAAAATTCAAAAATTAGCTGGCCATGATGGCACAGGCCTGTAGTCCCAGCTACTCGGGAGCCTGAGGCAGGAGAATCACTTCAACGCAGGAGGCAGAGGTTGCAGTGGGCCGAGATCATGCCACTGCATTCCAACCCGGTGACAGAACAAGACTCCATCTCATAAAACAAAACAAAACAACCAAAAAAGTAAGCTTATTTTTAAGCCTGAACAAGTGTAGTGGTTTAGGGGTTCTGCAAACACGGCCCCAATCAGGCTACAGTATGTAGTGGCAGCAATATTTACACCCAGTCACTCCTGGCCGGCTGAGCCACTTTTCAAAACACCCTTGCACGGCTGCGCAGAGCGACTGGCTCCACTGGCAGCCAGCAGAGCCATAACTCACACTGTCACCACTGCCCTCAAACCCCTTCGGTAAGCACGTTTTTTGAGACGGAGTCTTGCTCTGTCATCCAGGCTGGAGTGCAGTGGCACAATCTCGGCTCACTGCAAGCCCCGCCTCCTGGGTTCATGCCATTCTCCTGCCTCAGCCTCCCAAGGAGCTGGGACTACAGGTGCCCGCCACCATGCCCGGCTAATTTTTTGTATTTTTAGTAGAGATGGGGTTTCACCGTGTTAGCCAGGATGGTCTCAATCTCCTGACCTTGTGATCTGCCTGCCTCGGCCTCCCAAAGTGCTGGGATTACAGGCGTGAGCCACCGCGCCCGGCCTGGTAAGCACTTTTAATCAATGCAACGGGAATAAACATTTGCAGCAGAGCGGCAATGTGCAGGGAGGAACATGCTTCCACTCAGGCTCAGAAAGCAAAACCTCCTGGCTGTTTATGTCTCTGCAAGAGCTCACAGCAAAAGCCCTCTGTGTGGCTGCCAGCCTCACACACTCCCCCCAAGGGATGAGTTTCTCTTTCCATGTTAATCTATGTTCTGTCGTGCCATCTGTCAACCACCACACCATTCTCAGTTGACATTTCAAAGCATCTTTGCCCTGTGAATGGTCACCAGCCCTGCCCTGCAAGCCCCCAGCTGACATTGAACTGAAATGAGAGAGAAAACAGGCTTCGGGGTGGATTTCAGTTCAGCATCTTGGAGTCTCTGTGTGGACATGAAATCTGTCTCCCCAGCTGTGGGCTGCATCTTTGTTTGTCATCTGGCTTGGTTCTTGGGGACTTGGAAACTCGTAGGCACCTTTGCAATTTGTCAAGAAGCTGCACGGCCCTTCCAACAAAAGCAAGGAATAGGAACAGAAGCCCAAGGCTTCAGATCAAGGTGCAACTTAAAACAGCCTCAGTGTAAAAGCAAACAAGAGTCAGAGGGATGCCTAAGGCAGAGTCTAGTTCCCAGGGCAGCTATAAGGCAAAGAGAAAGAGAGAGAGGACAGAGACAGAAAGAAGAGAGAGATGGGAGGAGACATGAGGCACCCAGTCCTCTGGATCAAAATCCCTACAAGAGGGGCCTCCTAAAAATGCAGGAGGCTGAGGTGGGTGCACACAGAAGTTCAAGACTAGCCTGGGCAACATAGCAAGACCGTGTCTTTACAAAAAATACAAAAATTAGCCGGGTGTGGTGGTGTATGTCTGTGGTCCCAGTTACCCAGGAGGCTGAGGTGGGAGGATGGCTTGAGCCCAGGAGGTAGAGCTGCAGCGAGCTGAGATAGCACCACTGCACTCCAGCCTGGGCAACAGAGTGAGACTTCATCTCAAAAAAAATTTAAAAAATTTTTAAAAGGATCACCCTGGCTACTTGAATGGGTAATTAGAAGGTAAGAGCAGAAGCAAGGAGACCAGCAGGGACATTCTGCAGGTGGGAGTCCACAGTGGCTCAGACCAGGCTGACGCTGAAGACTGGCTGAATTCTGTATATATTTTGATGATGAAGCAACTCACCGACTCTTGAAGAGTGGGCTCTAGGAGACTGCATTTTTAACAAGCTCTCAGAGAATGCTAATGCAGGCTGCAGTTGCAGAACTGGTTTAGGTGAAGCTTCTGTTTCATCCTTGGGGAAGTACCTACTGACTTTTCTCTAAGCCACCTCAAAAGAGGTGCTAGACAAGATGTGCTCCAATGTCTGAACATGTGTGCACAGCTCTAGAGCCAACCTCAGGACACTGAGTCAAAGGTTAGGAGTACAACAGTGAACAACCACTGTCCTCTTTTCAATGAGCTTTGCATTTAATGAGAGAAATAAAAAGCAAAAAAAAAAAATCATTTTCAACTCAGAATGGTAAGAGTTATGGTGACAGTATGCCTGGGGCAATGGGAGCACATAGAAGGGGCACCCAATCGGCCAGGTGCAGTTGTTCATGTCTGTAATCCCAGCACTTTGGGAGGCCAAGGTGGGTGGATCACTTGAGGCCAGGAGTTCGAAAACAACCTGGCCAACATAGTGAAATCCTGTCTTTACTAAAAATACAAAAAAATTAGCCAGATGTGGTGGTGGTCACCTGCAATTCCAGATACTCAGAAGGCTGAGGTGGGAGAATTGCTTGAACCCGGGAGGCGGAGATTGCAGTGAGCCAAGATCGCGTCACTGCATTCCAGCCTGGGTGGCCAGAGCGAGAGTCCGTCAAAAAAAAAAAAAAAAAAAAGCCCGGAGGTGGGTGGGCATGCAATCTCTATCAGGTGGTGAGAAATCCTTCTCCACCACAGGACTCCTCAGTTGAAGACTAGAAAATGGTAGGAACTAGCCAGGTCGATAGGAGAGGTGTGGAAGATCATTCTCAGCAGAGGGAAGAGCATGTGCAAAAATCGAGACGTGAGAGGGTGAGGAGCTGAGAGATGTTCATATAATTGTAAAAAGTGACTAATGTAGAGGTAAGTTGGAGCCAAATCTTAAAGGCTCTTTGTCGTGTTTATCCTGTAGACAAAGGGAGACAGTAGATGTTTTTAGGCAGGGGAGTCATGATCCACTTTGTGCTAGAAGAAGAGCAGTCTGGCTGAAGGAGAGTGGGAGGTGAGTAGACCAGGTAGGAGGCTGCAATACACCAAGTGAGACAAGATGGTTGGCTGGACCAAGGCTGTGGCAGTGAGGATGGAGAGGAGACAGTAGACTAACTTGACTGAGAAAGAGGGAGGAATGAAGGAGGAGGCCCAGGTGTTTTGGAAGCTGGGTGGATGGTGGTGTGGATCTGATGTGGCGAGCCCAGGCCGAAGAGGAAATCAGGAGAGGCAAGGTAAGATGAGATCAATGCAAGACAGACAGCCAAGTGGAGATAAACAGTGGGCAGTTGCATTCATCAACCTGGAGTTATACAGAGAGCTCTGGAATGGAAATAAAGAGGAAAGGACTTTGGGAATAGGTGAATCCTCCCTGAATAACGTGTAGAGAAAGGAGAATAGAACACAGGGGACAGAAAAAGGGAAGAGATTTGTTATTAAAAGCAACCATCCATCAGACATCTTCCAATAAAACACTTGTTAGAGGTTTCCTCAGTGTGAGTTATACAGGACCAGAGCTAAAGACCATGTTCACAATAAAATCACTGCTGGGAAGGTCTTCACGAAAACATTTAATGCTGCTTTTAAAACAACAACAACGAAAAGTCTTTAGCTACTGCACAGAACCTGGAGCAATTTTTTGGCAAGAGTCTATCAAACACGAATCTGATCTGATTCAAGGAGTTGCCATACCAAGTGTTAAAATCCAATTCCAATGTCCATAAGAGCCTTTCTGCCAGGTACAAGACCCTAATCCAGTTGAAGTGATTTTCTATTGATTAATAGGCTGGGAATACATAGGTTGTTGGTTTTTGAGAGTTCCCTCCCTGTGCCTTCTTGCCAGCTGTAAAGGAGTCAAAAGGCTCCCAAATGTCAAAATAAAAACGACACTTGGTCACAGAGGAAACAGATTATAGGACTTTTTAACCATGAGGAGCTATTAATGTTACTGAATAAGCAAATCTGTTTGCATAACCAGATTTTTATAGGCTACTGGGAATAAAGGTTTTCCTAAGTGGGTGATTTGTACAATGATAGCCTTTGGGTCTCTGATGGAAAAGCTCTGAGGAGGAAATGTTCCTTTAATTACGTGGAAGGCCAAATATGATGTTATAGCCACACCGTTTTGCAGATTGCATATAATTTCACCATTACATAGCTTCAGTACTCTAATTCTGGAGAAAATGCAGTCACCAAGAAGGCACTTGAGGCACATTATGCTGGAGATAAAGATGTTTCAGCGAATTTAATTTAAACTACAACATTAAATTTATTTTGTTGAATAAAACATAATGCAATAATGAGTTTGTGTATGTCAACTCTATAGTGGAGGTAATAATAGCTAGAGAGAGCATGTCCCCTCTCCTCTTTTTCATGCTCATTAGACTAATAGGTAATGCTATAGAGAGAACATTTCTGTAATATGTGCTTCATCTCAGGCTAAGCCTGAAAAAGGTAAAGGAACTAATTTGGAAGCCATTCACAAAAGTGCTACCCCTTGATGTTATTTCATATTCTGAGATTTCTTATTCCCAGTGCCTACCAGGAATGGACTTTCTGGAGAAGCTCAGATTAATCACTCCTTATATACTTGGCACTGGGGGGTCTGTATGGAGCAAGTGAAGAAATCAGCAGAGTGAAGATAGACGGAGAACAACATGATGGGGGAAAGGCAAAGTTACTGCCATGTTGGTTTCAATTCTGCCACTCATGAGTGAGACCCATGACCTCCTCTCTCTAGGACTCTGTTGTTCTTATCTGTACAGTGGAGGAATAGAAGGGCCCTTTAAAGTATTAACATTTCCTGCCCTCTCTGTAAGACACTTTCATTCAAACTGATGGGAATCTTGACTACTTTGCCAAGAGGACATAATAATCATCAAGCTGAATGCACCAAACAACATTGCCTGAAACTATCTAAGCAAAAACTGAGACAGTTACACAGGACAGACAAACCTCCTATGAGAGTAAGAACTCTTCAGCATATGCTTAGTGTGTCAAAGACAATGCTGCGTTCACACCATTCCTCTTCCTGGACATGCAGAAAGACTACATTTCCCAGCCTCACTTGCAGTTAGTTTGGAACCATGTGACTGCATTTCCACAAATAGGAAAAGAAGAAATCACTTCTGGGCCAAGGTTACCAAAGGCAAGTGTGAGCTATGTTCCCTCTCTTCCTATCCATATGGCTACAAGTGAAAAACTCTGAGATGGCAGAATTAAAACATGGAAACCTCCAAGATCTCTGAATCACTGTTGGACAAGGGCCCCCAAGGAGAACCCCTGCCCTGCACCAGATTATGCTATGGGTGCCAACCAACTCAGAATTCAGGGTTTATTTGTCTCAGCAGCATTGTCCAGTGTTACATTGACTAACATCCTAAGGTTTGAGAGATCTAGCATATTGTTAATTGAAGCTAGATTTCAATTACACTGAGAACCTTATCTATTTAAAAATAAAAACTCCCCTAAAAAACAAATAATCCACATTCCTTTTAACCATATGTGGCACATTTGCAAAAAAAAAAAAAAAACTGGCCACATATTAGGCCCCTAAAGAAGTCTCAACAAAATCCACTATACGATTGACATTGTCCAGACCACAATTTCCTCACCATAATGCAACAAAATTAGAAGTCAACAGCAAGAAGATAGCTAAACACAAGCATACATTTGGAAAATTAAAAATATCCTTTCATGAGTTAAAGGAAAAATCACAATAGAAATTACTAAATATTTACAACTGAATGAAAACAAAACTTTATTTTTATATATATATATATATAGTGTGTGTGTGTGTGTGTGTGTGTGTGTGTGTGTGTGTGTGAATCTTCCAACTTTGTTCTTTTACAAGGTTATTTGGGAAATTCTGGGTCTCCTGCAATTCCTCATACAGTTTTATGCTGTTTGTCAATTTCCGTGGCTGGGGTGAACTTGTCGTAGTTCTCATAGACCAGGGTCTGCATGTCGCTGTCTATAGCCCGGATCTGCCGCACCATGTCCGTCTCACTGTCCATCAGCTGGGCCAGAGGGCACACTCTATGCAGCTTGTCTAGGTAAACTTCCGGGTCGAAGTGCGCCCTGTTCAGATCAGTGCGGTCCAGGAGGTCGGGCCCCGCGGGGAGTCCCGCTGCCTCCCCTTCCGAGAGGCCTTAGTAAAGCTTTACCATTCTGTGCGCCTTCCACCGACGCTCCGTGAGCCTCCCCCTCAGGCCCTTCTGGGGAGTCCCCAGGTCCAGACCCCGGGCTAGTGCCAGTGGCAGCTGCCGCCGCCATAGCTCCAACTGCAACCCATGGTCGTAACTTTTTATATTTTTAAGTTGCATACATCAAGCTACTTGGCTTTTGCTTTCATCACATCATTGAGGAAAGCGGTGGTTGCTTATGGTACCCCTGTTTTTACTGCAACCTGTAATGGATGAGAACCTCCCTGTTGCGGAGAGCAAAACACTGAACTAAATTGTGCTGTAACACAGCCCTGTCTTGGGGGATTGGGAGTGATCATGCAAACACTTGCAAATTTGCACAGTGACAGAGGCAACTATTTGGGCAGCTGTTCACTATATGAAAAGGCAATTGACCAAAAGTCAGTTACTGAGCTATCTCAACATTTTCATGTTATTTTAACTTTTGGCAGCAGGGTGCAATTAAAGGAGAGAAAGAAAACAAAGTGATAACTGTAAGATAATGTACACACATGTGTAAAAGAAAATGACAAGACAGGATGACTATTTATCTCTTGGTGAGCTCCTTGGGCTCTATGTCTCCTTCCTGAGAGAACCTCGTTTTCCTTTGTCCAGATTTGTTAGGGTGGATAATCCAGGCGCCTGCTTCCCCACGATGGAAGCCAAAGACGTCCCTGGAGCCGCCTCCCGCTGCATCCTTTCCTGCACTGCCCACATGGACACAACTCAGCCGATTAGACTTCCTCTCAGAACTTTAGTCTTGAGCAAAGGGATTCAAGGGTGAAGTGACTGAAGATCTGCCCTTCCAAAGTGGTACGTGAGCTAATGGCTAAAGTTTACCAAGCCCTTCCAAGCACTTTTTTTCTTAATTTTTATTTATTTATTTTTTTGAGACAGAGTCTTGCTCTGTCACCCAGGCTGGAGTGCAGTGGTGTGATCTCGGTTCACTGCAACCTCTGTCTCCCGGGTTCAAAGAAGTCTCCTGCCTCAGCCTCCCCAGTAGCTGGGATTACAGGCATACGCCACCATGCCTGGCTAATTTTTTTTTTTTTTTTTTTTTTTTGTATTTTTAGTAGAGACAGGGTTTCACCATGTTGGCCAGGCTGGTCCCGAACTCCTGACCTTGTGATTCGCCTGCCTCAGCCTCCCAAAGGGCTGGGATTACAGGCGTGAGCCACCGCGCCCAGCTTCAAAAAGTTTTAAGCAGAGCTCAGAGGTCTTAACCACAGGAACATCGGAGGAGAATTTTTGAAATGCTTTCCAGCTTCCTCAGTAGGAATGGAAGCCAAACTCCGAAATGATGTCCCCTTTGAGGAAGTTGAAGGAAAGCCAGGAACAGGGGCAACGGAGAGATGCATCTTGAATGATCCTGTGCCAATTCTTTCTGGAATCCTTGATGTGATCTCAGCTGTCCTTTCCATACTTGACACAGTGACTGCGGCACCCACTGGTCTAGCTGTGGTCTACAAGGAACCCCCAAAGGGAAGGGCACAGTGAGCAGGGGCAACCGCCTGAGTGACAAGGATTTGAGAGGGCAGGTTGGATGCAGGGAGAGGACTGGCCAAATGCCATGTGTCTGGACTTAGACTGCCTGGTTCAAATTGGACTTCACCCTTTTTGACTTCATGATCTGGTACGAGTTCTATGAAAATGCGTTGCTCCTTTTCTAGTCTGTAAAATTATCATGAAATGTGCACTAATAACTGGGAGACTATGCAGATGAAATGAAACAAGCTGCATAGAGCACAGAGCTCAGAGCTTGGCCTTTAGGAAGCCCTCAGTAAGGGTTCATGATGCCATGGTGTCTGTCATCATCCTCTTTATCCTCATCATCACCTTCATCATCTTTTTGTTGTTCTGAGGGAATAGTTTAGAGGGACTCATTCCCTGCTATCATGGGTGAGATGTCTGTGAAAAAGGCAACCAGTGGGGGAGGAAAGCAACATTTTGAATAAGATTTCTGAGACCCCACCACAAAGAAGAACAGAAACTCCACAGTCTGCTGAGCAGACAGTTTGCACATTGATCTCCTCCCATCTGTCCACCGCACTCTCCTGTTTGTCCTGATGAGGAGGAAAGAAAACAAGCCTCCTGACCGCCCCTCAGCACTCACTTTAAGGGGTGGCCTGCCCCTCCACACCTGTGGGTATTTCTAGTTGGGTGGGATGAGAGACTGATAAAAGAAATAAGACACAGAGACAAAGAATAGAGAAACAACAGTGGGCCCAGGGGACCGGTGCTCAGTGCACCAAGGACCTGCACTGGCACCAGCCTCTGAGTTCCCTCAGTTTTTATTGATTATTGTTTTTATTATTTTAGCAAAAAGGAATGTAGTAGGAGGGCAGGGTGATAATAAGGAGAAGGTCAGCAACAAACATGTGAGCAATAGAATCTATGTCATAATGAAGTTCAAGGGAAGGTACTATGACTGGACGTGTACGTAAGCCAGATTGATGTTTCTCTCCACCCAGACATCTCAGTGGAGTAAAGGCAGCATTGCTGCAAACATGTCTCACCTCCCACCATAGGGAGGTTTTTCTCCCATCTCAGAATTGAACAAACGTACAATCGGGTTTTATACCGAGACATTCAGTTCCCAGGGGCAGGCAGGAGACAGCGGCCTTCCTCTCTCTCAACTGCAAGAGGCTTTCCTCTTTGACTAATCCACCTCAGCACAGACCTTACGGGTGTCAGGAGGGGGACGGTCAGGTATTTCTCATCCCACGAGGCCACATTTCAGACTATCACATGGGGAGAAACCTTGGACAATATACCACTGTCAAGGGCAGAGGTCCCTGCCGCTTTCCACAGTGTATTGTGCCCCTGGTTTAATGAGACGAGAGAATGGCGATGACTTTTACCAAGTATAATGCTTGGAAACATTTTGTTCACAAGGCATGTCCTGCACAGCCCTAGATCCCTTAAACCTTGATTTCATACACCACATGTTTTTGTGAGCTTCAGGTTGGGTCAAAGTGGCTGGGGCAAAGCTACACATTAACAACATCTCAGCAAAGTGATTTTTAAAAGTATAGGTCTTTTTCAAAATGGAGTCTCTTATGTCTTTCCTTTCTACATAGACACAGTAACAGTCTGATCTCTCTTTCTTTTCCCTACACTCACTGAACTGCCCTTCCCCTCTGCTGGGCCATGACCACAGAGAACAGGTCCACTGTCCTCCCTGGGTGTTGCACGATTGAGGCTCAGACTCCGTCCTCAAGGCTGGCCAGAAGACAGGGTGAGACATGAGCCTCCTAATACAGGTGATGGGTGTGGAGCCCACAGGACTGGAACCTCACACTGCAGGGCTGGAGGCACAGACTGAATATTTACTATTCTGTGGCCTCGGGGGCTCAAGGCACAGAGCTCCTCATTAGCCAAAGTCGCTCAAGTTCCCCAACCTCTAAGAATTTCCTCATAATAATGCAAGAAGAAGAAGAGAAAAGTGAATGTGCATAGAAGCTTTGGGGCTCTTCCTCTAATCAGGAGAAAGCTGGTGTGTATTATTCGCTTCTTTCTTTTCTTTTTAAAGATCCAACTGTTTTAATTTTCATCTTTTATTATGGGAAAATATACCACGTATAAATATTAAAAATTATAAATATATATTAGTTCATATAGAATGGCCAGTATACACATTTACAATTTCCACTCTTTTTCAGTTTACAGTTTAATGACATTAAGTACATTCACATTGTTTAGCAACCATCACTGCCATCATCTCTGAAAGAGTCTTATCTTTCAAAATGGAAATTGCACCCATTCTCCAACCTCTCCACTCCTCTCTCTCACCCACCCCTGGGGGTCACCATTCTAGTTTGCAACTCTATGAGTTTAACTACTCTAGACACTTGATAGATAAGTGGAATCATACCGTGTTTAATTTTTTTTTTTTTGGAGACAGTCTTTCTCTGTCACCCAGGCTGGAGTGCGGTGGTGTGATCTCGGCTCACTGCAACCTCCACATCGCGGGTTCAAGGGACTCTTGTGTCTCAGTCTCCTGAGTAGCTGGGATTACAGGCGTGTGCCACCACACCCAGCTAATTTTTGTATTTTTAATAGAGACAAGCTTTCATCATATTGGCCAGGCTGGTCTTGAACTCCTGACCTTAAGTGATCCGCCTGCCTCAGCCTCCCGAAGTGCTGGGGTTACAGGTGTGAGCCACTGAGCCTGGTCGTGTTTATCCTTTTGGGATTTCTTTATTTCACTGACGACAATGTCTTCAAGTTTCATCCATGTTGCGGCCTGCATCAGAAGTGCCTGTCTGTTTTTTTTTATTTTGTTTTTTGTTTGTTTGTTAGTTTGACTTTGTTTTGTTTTGTGTTTACATGGAGTCTCACTCTGTCACACAGGCTGGAGTGCAGTGGCACAATCTGGGCTCACTGCAACCTCCGCCTCCCGGGTTCGAGCGATTCTTGTGCCTCAGCCTCCCGAGTAGCTGGGACTACAGGTACATGCCCCCACGCTCATCTAATTTTTTGCATTTTCTTTAGAGACAGGGTTTCACCAAGATGGCCAGGCTGGCCTTGAATTCCTGACCTCAGGTGATCCATCCACCTCGGTCTTCCAAGATGCTGGGATTCCAGGCGTGAGCCACCACGCCGGCCAGAAGTGCCTGCCTTTTGAAGGCTGAATAGTCTTCCACGGTATGAATGAACTGCAGTGTGCTTTTCCATTTTTCTGTCCATGAACCCTTGGGTTGCTTCCACATTTTGGCTGTTGTGAATAATGCTGCTATGAATATGGGTGTACACAAATCTGTGTTACACTCCTGGCTTCTAATTGTTTTTGGTAGGTACCCACAAATGCAACTGCGGGAACATCTGATCATTCTGCTTCTGATTTTTCCAGTACACATCATACTATTTTCCCCGTTCCTTCACGGTTTTACATTCCCTCCGATCATATTCGAGCATTCCTACTTCCCTCTAGTCTCACCAATGCCTGTTTGTTTATCATATCCATCCTGATGTGTGGTATCACATTCTTGGTTTGATTTGCGCTTCCCTATGATGAGTGATTTTGAACATCATTTTAGATGCTTATTGGCCATTGTGATATCTTCTTTAGGGACATGTCTACTCGAGTCTTCTGACCATTGTTGATGGGATGCTTTGAGTTTCTTGTTGCTTAGTTCTAGCCATTCTTTATATATGATGGATATCAGCCTCTTTTCAGATATATGATTTGCAAATATTTTTCCTAATCCATGGGTTATCTTTTCACTCAGTTTGCCGTGATTTTGCTGCACAAAAGTGTCTGTCATTTAGATGTAATCCAAGGAATCTAATTTTCTTTTGTTGCCTATGCTTTTGGTGTCATATCCCAGAGAGCATTGCCCAATCTGATGTCATGAAAGTGTGGCCAATGTTTTCTTTTAGGCATATGATACTTTTAGTGCTTGGGGTTAGGTCTTTGATCTGGTTTGTGTTAATTTTTGCACCTGGTGTGACTTAGAGTCCACCTTCATTCTTCTGCATGTGGAAATCAAGTTTCTCCGACACCATTTCTTGAAAAGGCTGCTTTTCCACCAATGAGCTTTCTTAGCACTCATGTTAAAAATCATTTGAACATATAGGTGAGAAGTTATTTCTGGGCTCAAAAACAAACAAACAACAACAGACAACAGATAAGGATACAGCATGTGCCGGGCACAGTCGCTGACGCCTGTAATCCCAGCACTTTGGGAGGTCGAGGCGGGTGGATCACCTGAGGTCAGGAGTTCAAGACCAGCCTGACCGACAGAGAGAAACCCTCATCTCTACTAGAAATACAACATTAGCTGGGCATGCTGGCACATGCCTCTAATCCCAGCTACTCGGGAGGTGGAGGCAGGAGAATCGCTTGAACCCAGGAGGCAGAGGTTGCGGTGAGCCAAGATTGCACCATTACTCTCCAGCCTGGGCAACAAGAGTGAAACTCCATCTCAAAACAAAAAACAAAAAAACAAAAAAACCAGCACGATATCAAGAGCAGAAAGAGAAGAGCTTAAAAACCAGCATAATGAGAAAGTTAGGAAGCTTCTTACCAAAGCATCTGGAAATATGCAAGAAATTCTTGTGAACTAAAATATTCATACTGTACTATCAAACACTAGAACTCATTTATTCCATCTTTCTGTATTTTGGGGCCCAATTATCCACTTGTCTTCATTCCCCATCCCACCCCTTTTCTTCCTAGCGTCTGCTAACCCCCTTTATACTCTCCACCTTCCTGAGATTCCTTCTGTGTGTAGGTGTGTGTGGGATGGAGTCTCTTTCTGTTGCCCAGGTTGGAGTATACAGGCACAATCCGGGCTCACTGCAACCTCCGCCTCCCGGGTTCAAGCGCTTCTTGGGCCTCAGCCTTCCGAGTAGCTGAGACTACAGGCACACGTCACCACACCCGGCTCATTGTTTGTGTTATTAGTAGAGATGGGGTCTCACCATGTTGGCAGGGTGGGTCTCAAACTCCTGGCCTCAAGTGATCCGTGCGACTCGGCCTCCCAAAACGCTGGGATTACAGGCCTGAACCACCACACCTGGGCAAGATTTTCTTTTTTGTTCCTACAAAGAAGTGAGGACATGTAATATTTGTCATTCTGTGCCTGGCTTATTTCACTTAACATAGAGACCTACAATCTCACCCATTTTTTCTGCAGTGAAGAGGATTTTCTTCCTTTTTAGGCTGAATAATACTTCATTGTGTGTGTATACCAGAGTTTCTTAATTGAAACAAGTTTCTAAAAAGCATATAGTTTTAAAATGTCTCAGAACGTGAAACTTTAGGGATACTGTGCCCATTTTATTCTTTTCTATTTCCCATCTTATGTATATGCGAGTGTATAATAAAACAGCAATCAATGTGTGTATAAATCTATAACTTCAACAGATGTCAAATAAAAATGTTAAGTGCTGGCTGGGCGCGGTCACTCATGCATGTAATCCCAGAACTTGGGGAGGCCGAAGCAGGCGGATCACCTGACGTCGGGAGTTCAAGACCAGCCTGACCAGCATGGAGAAAAAAGGTCTCTAGTAAAAATACAAAAAAATACAAAAAAAAAAAAGTTAGCCAGGCGTGGTAGCTCATGCCTGTAATACCAGCTACTCGGAAGGCTGAGCCAGGAGAATCGCTTGAATACAGGAGGCAGAGGTTGCAATGGGCCGAGATCGTGCCATTGCCCTCCAGCCTGGGCAACAAGAGTGAAACTCTGTCTCAAAAATAAATAAACAAATAAATAAAAAAGAAAAAGAAAAGAAAAAAAGAGAAAATGTTACTCCCATTATCGCAGGGGGTGTTCACCTCTGATGATACTGTTTTCTAATATCCAGGGAAGGAGAGTATGATATTACTCCCAATATCGCAGGGGGTGTACACCTTTTTGTGATATTGTGTCTAATATCCAGGGAAACAGAGGATGATATTACTCCCAATATTGCAGAGGGTGGACAACCCTGGGATATTGTTCCTAATATCCCAGCAGGGAGAGGATGATATTACTCCCCATATCGAAGGAAATGTACACCACCTCTGTGATATTGGTCCTGACATCCAGAGACGAAAAGAATGATATTACTCCCAACAGCGTAGGAAATGTATACCCGCACTGTGATATTTTTCCCAATATCCGGGGGGAGAGGATCGTATTACTTCCAATATCGCAGGGTGTGTACACCCCCTTTGTGATCCTGTGGCTAACATCCAGGTTTGGGGAGGACGACATTACTCCCAGTATCACAGGGGGAGTACACCCCCCCGTGACCTTGTTAGTCATTTCCTGGATGGAGAGGATGATATTACTCCCAATATCGCAGGGGTGTACACCCCACTGTGACGTTTTCTAAATATTCAGGGAGGGAGCGGATAATATGACTCCCATTATCGCAGAAGGTGTACATCCCTCCTGTGATACTGTTCATAGTATCCGGGGAAAAAGGGGATGATACTTTCAAAATAGCCGGGGTTTTCCACGACCCCCGCGCCGTGATGTTTTTCCTAATATCCAGGTGGGCAAAGAATCATATGACTCCAAATATCGCAGGTGGTGTACAACCCCCTTGTAATATTTTTCCTAATATCCAGGCAAGGAGGGAACGATATTACTACCAATGTCGCACGAGCTGTACAACCCACTGTGATTTCGTTTCTAAAGGAGAGGATGATATTACTTTCAATATAGCACGGTGTACACCCCCTACCCCGTGATATTGTTCCTAATATCCAGAGGGCCAGAGGATGATATATTACTCCTGATATCACAGGGGGTTTGACACCAATATCCCAGGGGGTGGACACCCCCCTGTGATGTTTTTCCTAATATCCTGGGGGAGAGAGGATGATATCACTCCCAATATCGCAGGGGATGTAAACCACCCCTGTGATATTACTCCTATTATCCAGGCGGAGAGAGGAAGATATTACTCCCAATATCGCAGCAGGTGCACAACCCCCGTGATTTGCTTTTTAACATCCAGGGGGCAGAGGATGATATTACTCCCCACGTTGCAGGGAGTGTACACACCCATGTGATACTCTTCCTACTATCCAGAGGGCGACAGGATGATATTACTCCCAGTATCGCAGGGGGTGCACACATCCCTGTGAAACTCTTCCTCACATCCAGAGGGAGAGAGGATGATATCACTCCCACTACTGCAGGGGGTATACACAGCCCTGTGATACTCTTCCTAATCTCCAGAGGGAGAGAGGATGATATTACTCCCAATACCGCAGGGGGTGTACAAAACCCTGTGATATTGTTCCTAAAATCCAGAGTGAAAGAGGATGATATGACTCTCAATATCGCAGAGGGTGTACACCCCTCCTGTAATATTGTTCTTCATACCCTGGGAGGGAGAGGATAAGATTACATTGAATATCTCAGGGAATGTACACCCTCCCCCTCTGATACCCTTCCTCATATCCAGGGGAAGAGAGGATAATTTGACACCCAATATCGCAGAGGCAGTACACCCCACCTGTGATATTGTTCCTAATACGCAAGGGGGGAAAGGATGATACTCCTCCCAATATCGCAGGGCTGTTCACATCCCCAGTTACATTTTTCCTAATATCTAGGGGAGAGACAATTAGATGACAGCAAGTGTCGCAGGGTCTGTACATCCCTTCCTGACATTGTTCCTAATATCCAGGGGGAAACAGGATGATATCAAATATCAAAGGGGGTGTACAAGCCCCCTCACGATATTGTTCTTAACATTCATGAGGGGAGACGACCGATATTACTCCAAATATCGAGGGGGTTTTTCACACCCCCTGTGATATAGTTGCTAATATCCACGGGGGGAGAAAATAATAGAACTTCCAATATTGCAGGTGGCGTATACCCCACCTGAAATATGGCACCGAATACCCAAAGAGGGAGAGGACGGTATTAATACCAATATCGAAGTGTGTGTACACGCCCCTTGTGATATGGTTTGTAATATCCAGGGGGCGGGAGGATGACATTAGTCACAACATCACAGAGGGTGTACACTACCCCTGTGATGTTGTCCCTAACTTCCAGAGGGGAGAGGATGATATCACTCCCAATATCTCAGAAATTGTACATCCCCTGTGATATTGTTCTTCATATCTAGGGAGGCACAGGATGACATTATATCGAATTTCACGACAGACGTATACACGCACTGTGGTATTGTTCCTAATATCCAAGAAGGGAGAGGATGATATTACTCCCAATAAAGCAGTGGGTGTACATCACCCCTGTGTTGCTGTCTCTAATATATGGGGGCGGTGGAGGAGGAGGGGAGAGGTTAACATACCCTCTAATTGGGCAGGTGGTTTGACGCCCCTTGTGTTATTGTTTTTAATAACCAGCGGAGAAGACAATAATGCTATTTTTGATAGTCCGATTAATCCGCTCCAACTTTCCAGAACTCTGAGGCCAGTAGGCAGCATGCAGTTTCCGTGTGATCCGCAATACCTTTGCCGTCTTCTGTACCAAGTCAGCCACAAATGCAGGCCCGTTATCTCAGCCGATCCATAAGGGCAGTCCAAATCTGGGAATAAGATCTCGAAGAAGCACACAGGTTACTTCATGAGCTTTCTCAGTTCGTGTCGGATAAGCCTCCACCCACCCAGAGTAGGTAGACCTAAGAACTGGTAAATACTTGTTACCTCCACACTTTGGCATCTCTGTGAAGTCTACCTGGATATCTTCAAAGGGGGCTGCTCCATAAGCTCATATGCCAGGCGGAACGGCTGGACCTTGACTCCCATCATGCTGTCGGCAGGTAACACACGGCTGGGTCACCGTTTTGGCAAGAGCTGACAAATGCAAGATGTAGAAATACCGGCCTAACAACTCTTCCAGTGAGTCCTGACCTAGATGGGTTTTTTCCTGCACAGCCAGTACAACTGCAGCTCCCAGTAGCTGTGGCACAGCTACTCTCCCATCTGGTAACTGAATCCATCCTTCCTCCATCACTTGTCCTTCCCTCTACCTGGAGAAAGTCCTTTTCTTCTTTAGAAGAAGTAGGTACAAGATCAGGTGCTTGAGGGAGCAGAGGGGCTGTGACTGATGCCCGGAAGGGGGCAGATGCTGATTTTTGAGCCTCTGAGTCAGCGCGGGAATTCCCCAAGCCCACCAAGTTGGAGGCTCGCTGGTGTCCTCTGCGATGCATAACTGCCACCTTGTGGGGTTTCCATACTGCTTCAAATCATTGCAAGATTTCTGGTTGATATTTTATGTCTTTTCCCCCAGAGTTCAATAGGCCCTTCTCTTTCTAGAATGCTCCATGCACTTGAAAGGTTAAAAAGGCATACCGAGAATCAGTGTAAATGTTGACAGTCTTACCTTCATGGAGTTCTAAGTCCCGAATGAAAGCAATGAGTTCAGCTTTCTGGGCTGAAGTGCCCTGGGGCAATGATCTGGTTTCAACAACAGTGTCCAGGGTTACCACTGCATACCCTGCACCTCTCTCTCCTTGTGGGTTGATGAAGCTACTCCCATCCATGTATAGTTCCCAGTCTACGGATGGCCGAAGGCTGGTCCCGGAGGTCAGGTCTGCTAGAATCAACTGAGTCCAACACTTCTACACAATCAGGCTCGACAGGGCTCTCTGATACCGGGAGCAAGGTGGCAGGGTTTAAGGTGTTCCAAACTTCAATGGTTATACGGGGATTTTCACAGAACAAACTTTGGTACTTGGTGAGTCCAGCATTGGTTAGCCAATGATGTCCTTTAGTATTCATGAAAGTCACCACAGCATGGGGGGCCTGTATGTTCAGGTTTTGCCCAGGAGTCAGCTTATTTGCTTCTTGTACTAGCAGGGCAGTTGCTGCCAAGGCCCTCAAACATGGGGGCCATCCTTTAGGAGCCCCGTCTAGTTGTTTAGAGAGGTAGGCCACTGGCCTCAGCCCCAGCCCCATAGTTTGGGTTAAAACTCCAACTGCCATCTTTTCTCTCTCCGACACATAAAATGGAAAAGGCTTTGTCAGAACGGGTAGCCCCAGGGCTGGGGCTGACATACATTTTTTCCTTTAACTCATGAAAGGCTTGCTGTTGTTGGGATCCCCATTCAAACGGTTCCCAGTCCCCGCCCCCTTGTGACCTCATACA
The DNA here is from genome assembly GCF_000001405.40 of Homo sapiens. NCBI lineage: Eukaryota > Metazoa > Chordata > Mammalia > Primates > Hominidae > Homo > Homo sapiens. The sequence goes on along the minus strand of NC_000008.11, from coordinate 7,071,494 downwards.
AAGTCTTGGCTAATACTGCAAAGTTTGAGACCCATAGTCTACAAACCCCACAGCTGCTAAGAATTCTCTCACCTGCCTTCTGCTCTTAGGCTCTGCTAGATTGCAAATGACCTGCTTTCTTTCTGATCCCAGGCTGTGTTCCCCGTGTCAGATAGTAAATCCTAAGGAACTTACCTGCTGTCAGCAGATCTGAGCTTTTCTCTTGGACACCTTATAGCCACAGTCCTCCAGGCGCCGGAGTAGGGCATCCGTTCCCTTGGAGCATCCGACTGCCATGGGGTGTCCCAGCAAAAAGTCATCAACGTACTGGAGCAAAATGTAGCCTAGGTCTCTGGTGGGAAACTTCTGGATGTCTTAAGCCAACGCCTCCCCGAAGATGGTGGGGGAGTTCTTGAACCCTTGGGGAAGCCTGGTCCAAGTGTACTGAGTAATGACTCCTGACTCCGGATCTTCCCACTGAAAGGCAAACAGCTTCTGGCTCTCAGGGGCTAATCTGATGCTAAAGAAAGCGTCTTTCAGGTCCAAGCAGGTGAAGCAGCTGTTCTCAGCTGGCAGCAACCCCAGCAATGTGTACGGGTTAAGTACTGCTGGATGTAAAGTCAGTGTAGCTTGATGAAGCAAGCGCAAATCCTGTACCGGCCTGTAGTCCTTGGTCTGTGGCTTGGGAACATGCAGAAGGGGAGTGTTCCGTGGAGACTGACAAGGAACTCTGATTCCAAAAGTTCTTAGGTGCTTGAGATGGACCTGGATCCCTTGAAGAGTTTCTCTGCGGGACCAGGTCCTGTTTTTCCGTCACAGGCTGGGCCCCAGGCTTCATTTCTATGAGTACAGGGGGTTGGTTGACTGCCAATCCTGAAGGGTTGTCTTCCGCCCATACTCTTGGCCACCGCTTAGCCAGAGCTGGTCTTATCTCTTGGCCCGGCTTAGTTCAGAAAAGTCTCCGTTCCTCCTCTTGGGGGACCATAAGAGTCATAATGACTCCCATTCTGAGCAACTTTAGCAGCAAAGAGCCATGCTCTATAAAAGAGATAGTGGCTCTCAGCTTGCTAAGGAAGTCCCTTCCCAACAAGAGCAAGGGACAGTCAGGCATGTACAGAAACTGATGAATCACTTTATGTCCTCCTACAGCACAAGCCCGGGGCAAGCAGAAAGCTTGCTTTGCTGAAACCCCCGTGGCTCTGATGATGTCAATAGTCTTTTTGGATAAGGGGGTGACCGGGGCGGTTACTAGCGATTGTTCAGCACCGGTATCTACAAGAAAATCAATGTCTCTATCCCAGACTGTCCTTCTGACCAGAGGCTCTTTGGGGACACTCGAGCCTGGTCTCCCTCAGTCCAATAACCCTTCTGCCAGGTTGAGCAGGGCCCCTTCCTCCTTGTCCCAGGCCTCCTGCTCTGAGTCACCTTGTTTTCTGTTGAGCTGAGGACATTTGTTCTTCCAATGTCCTATTTCTTTACAATAAGCACACTGGTTACACTGCAAACTCTGACAGCCAAGCAGAGTTTCTGTCCCAGGGCCCCCCTTCCCTTGCCTCTCTCGGGGGGCCCCTCTGATTGCTGCAGCTAACAAACAGGTCAGTGTTTCTCCAGGCCGGACGTTCATTCTCTTTGCGGTTTTCCTTACGGCTTACTGCATCCCTGTTTACAAACATCTGGTTAGCTATTCTAATCATTGTGATGTATTCATCCCTGCAAGCCCAGCCTGTTTCTGCAGTTTTCTTCTCATGTCTTCTGCGCTTTGACGGACTAAAGCCATGTTAATCATGCACTGATTTTCAGGGATCTGGGGATCAAAGGGAGTATACACACGATAGGCCTGACACAGTCTCGCACAGAATTGTGCTGGACTTTCTTGTTTTCCCTGAATGACCTCAGAGACCTTGTGAACGTTTGTGGCCTTCTGAGCTCCCCTCTGTAATCCTTCCAAGAGAGCTTCCCTGTCTCAGTTTAGACTTTGCATATCCCCTCTTTCATGTGGGTTCCACTGGGGGTCGGTTCCTGGTAACTGGGTCCTTATGTGCTCTCTGGGTTTTTGATAATCAGCTGGTGCATATTCCTCTAGCCACTTAGTTGCTGCTTGGAGGACTCTCCGCCTTTCATCTGTGTTAAAGAGGAACATGAGCAACGGGTGGTAATCAGCCCAGGTGGGGTTGTGGGTCTGGATAACAGTTTGGAGCAAATCAATCAGAGCTTGTGGCTTTTCGGTATAGGACGGGGTATTATTTTTCCAGTTGAGAAGGTCAGCAGAGGTGAAGGGCTGGTACCCAAAAACACGTCTCTCCACCACGTGACCATCCTCAACTATAGCAGTCTACCGCTGCTCTCTCAGGGGCATTTGGATCCCGGTTTTGGGTTGTAAATGAGCTGCCAAGGGAGGGGTTTCTCCCAAGTCCTTGTCTACTCTAGGTGGCCTAGGGATACGCTTGTCTTGCGGAGGCGCAAGCACTGTGGGCTCAAGAGTGGGGAGCCTCTTTCCCTGCTAAGGGGAGGGCACCACTGGGATCTCTGGTGCCATCTCCTGCAATGCATCTTCTGACGCTGGGTGGAATAGAGCTTCAGGAGTTGATTTCCCTGGGCGGGTGGAGCGGGATCCTTCCTTAGCTATCTGTCCCTTTGCTACTAGTATTTCCGCTGCCTGCCCTCTTAGCCACTGTGGGGAGTCTAGCACCAGCTGTCACCAAGTGTCTATACGAACTGGTCTAGGTGTCCTTTACCAGTTACCTTGTGCCACACCTTAGAAGCAAGGGACCTGTCCAGGCTTCCTTCTGATGGCCGACCCACTTCTAATGGTGGGCAATCTATTTTCCCCAAGGTTCAAAGTTCCCCTGGTGGTCTAGTGGTTGGGATTCGGTGCTTTTACCGCTGCTGCCCCCGTTTGATTCCCAATCAGGGCACTAAGAAATGAAGTAGGATGAGCCGTGGACGAAGTCCCTCAGACAGCAGATTCAAGAAGCAAGAGGTTTTTTTACTCGGCCGAGAGTATCGACAGACTCTTGTCTTAAGAACCCAGCTCCTCCAAGGAAGACAGAGTTCCTGGCCCGTTTAAGGGCTTACAACTCCAAGGGGTTCCACGTGAAAGGGCCGTGATGGATTCAGAGCACATGTGCTTAGGGTTAATCTAAGGGGGGGTTAATCTTTTCACCGCAGACCGGCTCATCAGTGCCACCGGCTGGTCTTGCCACTGACTTCATTCCTGTTGTTTTCCCACTTTTACTTCCTCCTCCTCTTCAGAGACAGGAGACAGTAGAGAAATTGTTTCTCTCCTCAGGGCCACAGGATGATATGACTCCCAATATCACAGGGGGTGTACACAGCCCTGTGATATTCTTCCTAATATCCAGAGCGAAAGAGGATGATATGACTCCCAATATCGCAGAGGGTGTACACCCCTCCTGTAATATTGTTCTTCATACCCTGGGAGGGAGAGCATAAGATTACATTGAATATCGCAGGGAATGTGCACCCTCCCCCTCTGATACACTTCCTAATATCCAGGGGAAGACAGGAGAGTTTTACTCCCAATATCGCAGAGGCAGTACACCCCCCCCCCACCCCCGTGATATTGTTCCTAATATCCAAGAAGGGAGAGGATGATCCTTCTCCCGATCAAGCAGTGGGTGTACATTACCCCTGTGTTATTGTCTCTAATATCCGGGGGCGGAGAGGATAACATGCCCTCAAATTTGGCAGGTGGTTTGACGCCCCTTGTGGTATTGTTTTTCATATCCACCGGGGAAGACAATACTACTACTCTCAATATCACAAGAAATGTACATCCCCCTGTGATATTGCTACTAATATCCAGGGGTAGAGAGAATGATGTTACTCCTAATATCGTCACAGTGTCCACTCCCCTCTTTGCTATTGTTCTTAATATATGGAAGGCAAGTATGATATGACTCTCAATATGGAAGGAGGAATACACACCCCTGTGATATTGTTCCCAGTATGCAGTGGAGGAGAGAACGCTATTACCCCCAGTATCGCAGGAAGTGTACACCCCTCTGTGATCTTGTTCATAAGGTTCAATTGAAAAGATGATCTTACTGGAAATATGGTAAATACACTGTGTGTCCTCAGTGACTGCTAACATGCAGGGAGGGATGGGGGTTGATATTACTCTGCGCATCAGCGGAGGGTGTCCACGCCCCTGTGATGTGGCTCCTAATATCCATGGGGAAGGGGGATAGATATTACTCCCCGCATCACTGGGGGTGTCCACCCCCCTGCGATGTGGCTCGTAATATCAGGGGTGGGGGGTGATTTTTCTCCCCGCATCGTAGGGGTCGCCCGCCCCCCTGCGATGTGTATCGTAATACCGAGGGAAGGAGAGGGGGATGACATTACTCCCCACATCGTGGCGGAGTCTATCACAGATCGGGATACTATCCACAACCTGGGATATGGGGAGTACACCGCCTGTGATATTGGGAGTAACATCATACTCTTCCCCCCTGAATATTAGGAACAATATCATGGACGGGGTGTTCACCCCCTGCCTTATTGTGAGTCATGTCATTTTCTCTACCCCTGGACATTAGGAACAATGTCACAGGGGTGGTGTACAACCCCTGCGAAATTGGGAGGTATATCTTCCTCTCCACCTTTGGATATTAGGGACAATATCACAGGGGAGGTCTACACCTTCCGGATTATTGGGATTAATAACGTCCTCTCCCCGCCTGGGTATTAGCAACAAGATCACAGATATTATGTGGAATGGGGCAAAATTACTTATCGCAATTAATAATATCAATTTTAATATCAATATTACTTATAGCAATTAATACTATCAATTTTAATATGAATATTACTTATCGCAATTAATATCATTATCGCAATTAATATCATTATCGCAATTAATAATTAATAATCACTAATATCCATTTTAATATCGATATTACTTGTCACAATTAATAATATCAATTTCAATATCAATATTACTTATCGCAATTAATATTATTATCGCAATTAATAATTAATAATAAATAATATCCATTTCAACATCAATATTACTTATCGCAATTAATAATTGATAATCAATAATATCGATTTTAATATCAATATTACTTATCGCAATTAATAACATCCATTATTAATTGATACTAATAATTATCGACATTAATAACTGAAAATATAATTTTTAACATCAATACCAATAATAATGATAATTAATATTAAATAGTTATACGAATGATAACAATAAATGATTAATATTAATGATTAATAATGCCTGATATTAATAACTGATATTGATCTTATACATTAGAAAACAGTAATATTAGCTCCTAATAATTAATATTAATATTTTGAACACTTTTTATCAGCAATTTGTTATTAATATTAATATTGGTAATTCATATTCATGTGACTAATAAATGAGGAATAATGAATATGAATATTACGCCTAATACCTCAGTGGGTGTACACCTACCTGTGATATTGCTCCTAATGTCCAGGGAGGGAGAGAGCATGATATTATGTTCAATATTGCAGTAGGTGTACACCCACCCAGTGATATTGATCCGAATATAATCTCCAGGGGGTGGAGTATGACGTCACTCCCAATAGAGCAGTGGGTGTACATCCACCCGGTGAAATTGCTCCTAATATTCACGGAAGAAGACAATGCTATGACTCCCAGTATCGCAGAAAGTGTACACCCCTTCTGTGATATTGTTCCTAATATCCGGAGGGGTAGAGGGTGATATTACTCGCAATATCGCAGGCTGTGTACACCCACCCTCTGATATGGTTCCTAGTAGCCAGGAAGGGAGAGGAAGATATGACTTCCCATACAGCAGGAGGTGTACACCCATTCTGGGATATTATTCCTAATATCCATGGAGAGGAGAGGCTGATTTTACTCCCAATATCGCAGGGGGTGTACATCCAGTCTGTGACACTGTTCTTAATATTCAAAGGCGGAGAAGTTGATATTACTCCCAATATCACAGAAAGTGTACAAACCCGTGTGATATTGTTCCTACTATCCAGAAGAAGAGAAGATATTTCCCCCCCATATCGCAGAAGGTGTACACCCACCCTGTGATATTTTTTCTCATGTGCAGGGTGGGAGAGGATAATATTCGTCTTCATAGCGCAGGGTGTGTACAGCCCCCCTGTGATATGGTCCTTCATATTCCAAGGCGGAGAGGATGATCTTACTGCCGATACCGCAGAAAGTGTACACCACCCCAGTGACATTGCTCCCCTGATCCAGGAGAGAAGAGGATGATGCTACTATCAATATCGCATGGGGTGGACACACCCCCAGTGATATAGTTCATAATTTCAACGTGGGAGAGGACGATACTACACCCAATGCCGCTGGGGGTAGAAAGACTCCTGTGATACTGTTCTTAATATCCAGGGGGAAGAGGATGCTATTACTACAAATAGTGAAGAGGATGTACACCGGTCTGTGATCTAGTTGGTCATTTCCAGAGGGAGAGAAGATATTATTGACAATAATGTCAACACGCTGTGTGACCACCGTGGCTCGTAATATGCAAGGGGGGAGAGGGGGGCGATATTACTCCCCGCATCGCGGGGGGCGCCCTCACCCCCCTGTGATGTGGCTGGTAATAGCCCGGGGGGGAGAGGGGGAGATATTACTCCCCGCATCGCGGGAGGCGCCCTCTGAGCAGCTTCAGCCTCAGAGACTAAACCAGATATATTAGAGTTTGGAGTCTGCACTTCAGGGTGTGTGTGCATGCGTGCACCTGTGCATATGTTTGTATGTTTATATTGTGCAGGTATGTGCACGCCTGTGTGGTGAGTGGAGTGTGTTGTGAGGTGGAAACTGGGGATGTATGTGTTATAGACGTGCATGTGCATGTCTCTGAGTCTCAGTGCCTGTGTGCAGGGAGTGGGGACTGTGTGATATAAATGACAGAAAACATGAAAGGAAGCACCAGATCTTGAATGGCCGACAGATGGCCAGTTATGATCTCTTTATTCTGCTCTATTAGAACCTGCTCTATTAGAACACAGTCCTCCTCTGGGCTGCTCTGATCTGATTTCCCGTACCCCCAAACCGAGCACTGTGCCCAATATGCTCCTCCATCTTCCTGCAGGTCACCAGGTGAGAGGCACCTGCAGTTGCAGACCTGCATGTTGCCACTGAGTATCACTCTCGGTCCTGTATCCTCAGCAACACCTGTTACAGGCTCAGCTGTCCTTGTGCTTTGTTAATTGAGACCCAAATCAGGACAAGATTCCATTTGAAAACCTGGAAACGAACAATTTAGTCTCTCTTCCTTGTTCTTTATCTTCTCTCTATCTCCAAAAATGAGTTTTCACAGTAAGCTCAATGTATTTGGGCCATGTAGTCCCCCCTTTTCTTTACCTTATTTTTTTCTTTACCTTTTTTCTTACCTTTTTGTTTCTATTGCCCTGGTCATTTTCATAGAGATGTCAGCTCTGCACTTTCTACCCTGAGGAGCTGGATCTCAGGGTAGAAAGATCTACTTGTCCAGGTCACTCAGGGCCAGGACAAAAACAGGATTTCCATCCATAATATGAACATTCACTCTTAGAATGTATGTACTCCCCTGACGGATGAGTTAATTATTTAACATAGGAATTAACTTGACTGTGTTACAAAGTAATGTGCAAGACAATTGGCCTGGAAGAAAATAAGATAGCAACAGAATCCGGTTTTATAATAGAGGTTTTGTATTCCAGGATATTCCAGGGGACAAATGATGGTTAGACATGACCATATTTATTGCTGGTAACAGTCAAGCAGATGGGAGACAGGGAGAGAGATAAGGGCCTTCATGAACATGAGGACCTCTGGCTCCTCCTGGTGGGCACCTACAGCCCAGTTTTGCACTATTGGATGAACCTTCCTCACTTGTTCAGAGGCTGCTGGACACCAATTGCAAGAGCATAGCTTTGGGGACATGCTATGTATCCACATGTATCCACAAACGTAGTGCTTCTTTAAGAAAGGACAATGAGCTACCCATCCTCTTTAAAAAAAAAAAAAGGCACTACGTTTGTGGATACATGGGATATGTGTGGTTATTCCCTTATTTGTTCATTCCTGGAGAACCGTGGAGATTAGTGCCTGTCAGGACTTAGTACCTGGGTGTTGCATCTTGAAAATGGCTGGGAAAGAACCTCGCTAGACAGGGGTATTGACCAGCTCTGGAAAACGGGTGCTCAGAGGCAGCACAGAGCCCAGTATCAGCGGGAGCCCAGTTACAAGGGGGCTGAGGAAGCCCAGATGAGAAGCCAGTGTATATTGCACCAGGGTGCTGGCAGTGCAGGGGATAAGAAATGGCCCCATTCAAAATTTATATTGAAGGTACAGAAGCAACAGAAGTTGCTGATGTAAGAATATGGAATATTAGGATATCTGAAGAATATTTTTATTTTTTGCCCTGAACAACTGCAGAGACACTGGTGCCATTTTCTGAAATGACAACACCTGTATGTGTGTGTGGTGCCTGCAAGCTGGGGAGATGTACAGTGAAGAGTTTAGTTTTGGACATTAGGGGTGAGGAATCTGTTGGAGATTCTAGCGCACACGACAGGAAATGTGTTCCAGAGTCTGGAATTCAGCTGGGTGGTTGGAGCTGAAGATATAAATGCAGGAATCATTCTGAAATTGACAGCATTTAGCACTATACATTTGGAAAAGATTTCATGGAGAATGAGTATTCTAAGAGAAGATTAAAATTTCAGTAATATTGGGTGATTGCCTGAATGAACTACATGAAATTTGAATAATATTGGGTGATTGCCAGAATGAATTACATGGACTTTGGGGTTAAAAATGTGATATTCAAAGGCACCGTAGAGCCTGGAGAAACTTTGACAGGCTGTTTCTGAAAGCAGCTTAGGCTAAGAAAGCTTTAAGTGGCTGTTATTTGTTGCCTAGTTGTCTGCTCGTGCCTGCGGGATGAACTGCATACATTAATCTTTCAAGGGTTTCAAGGTCTTGCACCCAAGACCCCTTGGAGAGACTCTATTGCCCCCAATTTAGAGTTGAAAGACAGAGGCCATGATAGGTGAAGTCATGCACTAATGATCCCACAGCTAGTTGATGGCACCACTGAGACTGCAGCTCCCAACAGACAGCACATTGTCTTACCCGAAGCCCATAATGCAGTTTTCACTCCTGCAAAGGGGACAGCTACATCTGGGTCCTCTGTCCCAGGCTGCTGCAAGGCTAGGACCTGGTGAGCTTTCTCCAAGAGGCTCCAGAGAAGGACAAGGGGAAAGGCTCTCAGGGCTGTGAGCCTCCTAGAGGTCACTGTCTCTCAAGGGACCGAAGGAGCCTGAGGACCAAGGGGAGTAAAAAGACCCCAGCTCTGTGATATCTGGAGGAAGCAGCATCCCAGGGCAATGAGCTACCCCAAACCTGCGTGGCTGTGGGATAGAGGTATCCTTTGGGTTGATGGTTCAGACCTTTGATGATTCTCCAATCCAGCAGCTGCACTGAAACACCTGCTCTTCACGTTCATGAAGGCCCCTATCACTCTCCCTGTCTCCCATCTGCTTGACTGTTACCAGTAATAAACACACATCTAAGCATTGTTTGTCCCCTGGAATATCCTGGAATACAAAACCTCTATTATAAAACCAGATTCTGTTGCTATCTGAAGTATTTTCTTTCAGGCCAATTCCCTTGCCCTTTAGTTTTTAGCACAGTTAAATTAATTTTTATGTTAAATAATTAAATCATCGCCCAGGGAGTACATGCCTTCTAAGAGTGAATGTCCATATTATGTATGGAAATTAAGAGTGAATGTCCATATTATGGATGGAAATCCTGTTTTTGTCCCAGCGCTGAGTATAGGAGAGGCAAGATTGGACTCAGAATAAAGGACAAGAAAAATAGTTTTTCAGACTTTATTTTAAATGACAGCACGTTTGAAGTCAAGGGGACAATAGATAATGGGCACTTTGCTACAGTTAAAGAAAAAAGGGAACAGGAAAGGCATTTTATTCTAAATGATTATTTACAAACGCATTAAGAAACTAAAATTATTTTCCATAATGTCAGTGCCGTTTTCTTTTTCTTTCTTTCTTTTTTTTTGGGGGGGGTGGGGGTATGGAGTCTCGCTTTGTTGCCCAGGCTGGAGTGCACTGGCACAATCTCAGCTCCCTGCAACCTCTGCTGTCCACGTTCAAGAGATTCTCGTGTCTCAGCCTCCAGAGTAGCTGGGACTATAGGCACCCGCTGCCACATCCAGATAATTTTTGTATTTTTAGTAGAGATGGAGTTTCACCATGTTGGCAAGGCTGGTCTCGACCTCCTAACTTCAAATGATCTGCCCGCCTTGGCCTCCCAAAGTGCTGGGATTACATGCATGAGCCATTGCGCCCAGCCCAGTGGAGTTCTCTAGAAATACTTCTGCCAGAGATAATGAGAAACTTGACTGGCAACAGAGTTGTGTCTAAGGCTGAGCAATGGGCTGCCGGTGAGGGCCTGGTCCTGGGAAGATGGGCCACCGGGCATCTTCTGGCTTGGCCAGTGCTCAGCTCTGCCTCTCACACCACAGGGCCTGGACAGTGGTTTTTAAACCACCCATTTATCTTTCCAGATTTTCTGCTCACCCAATTAATTTTGGGGTCAGAGAAGGATGAAGAGAGACTGAAGATATCAATTTCTCCAAATAATAAGGACTCTGGGTGATCAAACACATGAGAGAATTCATGGAGAAAGGTTAGAACTGGAACAAAAATGTCCCAAATTGTTTCTTCAGTCATTGCTAGAGATTCAGAGAGACAATGCCAGAGAGACGGAGGCTAGGAAACAATTGTGGAACGCTATCTACAAACTTAGCAATGTCCAGTGAGAAATAGAGAAGCAGTACAAATACAGATGGTTTAAAACCTGGTGCTAAATGGCCACCAGGGCAAAACAAGGGCCATGAAACCTGGAATCACTGATGCAGGAAATTAGTCCCTCCCAGGCTCCCTGTTAATTCACGAATTCAAATAAATATTATAGATATTACAGATTTAATTCAGATCCTCTCATTTTCATAAGGCAGAATAAGTGGGAGATAAACTCTATCAGTTTCTCTGCAAAGAAAGAAAAAACTGAAACACATATCAAACACCCCAACCTCTCCACTGTATTCTAAAGGTCTGGCTTCTCTCCCACTCTCTCAAGGCAATAGCATGACTTGACACTTTCTAATTTTGTAGGAGTCACTAAGAATAAAGACAGGAGTTTGGACTGGCACAAAGGTTTAGAAGCCCACACAATCTCATTTATAATAGCACTCAAAAATAAAATTCTTAGAAGTAATTTTAACCAAAAAAGTGAAAGATCTGTACACTGAAAACTATAAATATTGATGAATAAAACTGAAGAAGACACAAATGAATGGAAAGATATCTTGAGTTCATGGATTGGAAGAATTAATATTATTAAAATGTCTACACTACCCAAAGTGATCTGTAGATCCCCATCAAAATTCCAATGCAATTTTTCACAGGAATTAAAAAAATACTAAAATTGGCATGAAATCAGAAATGACCCCGAATAGCCAAAGCAATCTTGAGCAAAAATAACAAAGATAGCGGCATCATGCTCTCTCATTTTAAAATGTATCATAAAGTTATTGGAAGCAAAACAGCATGGTCTGGTGTAAAAGCAGACACAATAACCAAAGGAAAGGAGTAGAAAGCCCAAAACTATACCCAGGGCTTTATGATTACTTGATCTTCAACAAAGATGCCAAGAACACACAATGGGGAAAGGACAGTCTTTTCACTAAAAGGTGTAAGGAAAACTAGATATCCACAAGCAGAAGAATGAAATTGGACACTTATCCCACACTATACACAAAACTCAACTCAAAATGGATTAAAGACTTACATAAAAGACCCGAAATTGTAAATCTACTAGAAGAAAACATGGAGGGAAATCTTTATGACATTTTTCTGGGCAATTATTTCTACAACAGGACTCCAAAAGCAAAGACAACAAAATCAAAAATAGACCAAGGAGGTTACATCAACTAAAAAACTTCTGCACAGAAAGGAAACAAAAAGATGATCCAGGGACTAGGAGAAAGTGTTTGCAAACCATATATCTGATAAGGGGCTAATATCCCAAAGATATAAGGAATTCAAACACTCAATAAGACGAAAACAAACATCTCAATTTAAAAAAGGGCAATAAACCTGGCCCACAGATATATGAAAAACACACTCGACATCACTAATTATCAGGGAAATGCAAATTAAAATCATAAAGAGGTAATCATCTGTTAGAATGGCTTTTAACAAGTAGACAAATAATACGTGTTGGTGAGGATATAAAAAAAAGGGGACCCTTGTAGGCCATTGGTGGAAATGTAAATTAGTGCAGCCATTTTGGAAAATAGTATGGCGGTTCCTCAAAGCACTGAACATAGAATTACCATATGACCCAGCAATCCCACTTCTGGGTATATCTCCCAAGAAATTGAAATCACTGTATCAAAGAAGAATCTGCACTCCCATGTCCATTTCAGCATTATTCAAAATAAGCAAGATATGGAATTAGCCTAAATGTTCATCAGTGGATGAATGAATAAAGAAAATATGGTATACATGCAAGATGGTATACCATATAGCCTTAAAAAAGAAGGAAATTGGCAGGGCGCGGTGGCTCACTCCTGTAATCCCAGCACTTTGGGTGGCCCAGGCGGGCGGATCACGAGGTCAGGAAATCGAGATCATCCTCGCTAACACAGTAAAACACCGTCTCTACTAAAAATACAAAAAAATTAGCCGAGCATGGTGGCGGGCGACTGTACTCCCAGCTACTCAGGAGGCTGAGGCAGGAGAAAGGCGTGAACCTGGGAGGCGGAGGTTGCAGTGAGCCGGGATCGCACCACTGCACTCCAGCCTGGGCGACAGCAAGACTCCGTCTCAAAAAAAAAAAAAAAAAAAAAAAAGAAGGAAATTCTTCATTCATGACAACATGGATGGAACCAAAGGACAATGTGCTAAACGAAATAAACCAGACACAGGAAGACAAATACTATATGATATCACTTACACATGGAATGTTAAAATGTCAGTTTTATGGAACTAGAGTACAAAGGTGGTCATCAGAAGCTGCAGGTGGGTGAGATAGGAAAAGAGAAGATGTTGAGCCAAGAGTACAAAGTTTCAGTTATGCTGGAGAGTCTTAGTGATCTATGGCACTGCACGGTGACCACAGTTAATAGTGATGTATTGTATCTTTCAAACTGCTAAAGGAATCAATTTGTAATTCTCCTTAAAAAATTAAGTTGGTGAGGTGATGGCTATCTTAATTAGCTTATGTGTTTCTCCCATGTGGATATCAATCCAAACGTCACATCATACCCTACAAATATACAGAAAATTATTTTTCAATGAATAAATAAATAAATTTGAAAAAAATTAAATGAGGAATTCAAATATAGAGACTCTCCAAGGGCCCACTGAGCCCCAAAGGATTTGGATCAAATATGGTGATATTATGGAAATATGTAGTAATATCTTAAAAATGTGTAAGATATAGTCTCTTTTTTTTTTTTTAAGAGAAAGGGGTCTCACTATGTTTTTAGGCTGGTATCGAACTCCTGGTCTCCAGTGATCCTCCCACCTCAGCCTCTCAAATAGCTAGAAATATAGGCATGTACCACCATGCTGGCTTAAGATGCATTCTTTGACACAGCAATTCTATTTCTATAAGTTTATCCATATAGGTAAGAGAACATATATACAAGATAATCACTGTAACTTTACTTATTACTGCAAAAGTTTAAAAATAACCAAATTGTAATAATTTTATAATATTTTATCAGTACAAAAAATAAGTGATGGCATATACAAACCCTGGGATAGTATAAGGCTATTAAAATTATAATAGCATTCCATGTATTTTGATATACAAAGTGCCAATGTTACAGGTGAAAAAAGCGAAGTGCAGAATACTATGTGTAACTGTTAATAGTGATGGTTTGCTGGGTCAGAACTGAAGGCCTGGGGGTAGAAATGAGAGCTCATGACTTCTACCTTTTGAATGTTGTTCCTTGTGCATGATTTACAATTTTCTAAAACTAAAAAAAAAATCTCAGAAAGGGGCTGTACGCACCTAAATTACTTTGATATTCCCCAAAGTGGAGAGAAGTACCCGCTACACATTTTATGTGATGCATTCAGATCACACCAACTCCTTGAACTAAATCCGAATTTTTATTTTAATCTGATAAACTTGGCCTACTATTTTACTGAACTCATTTCCCCTATAGCCTGATAAGGTCATTGACCTCTCCATACTGGCACCAGCGGGAGACTACTCACCTCGAGATCTCAAAAGCCTCCTACATGAGGTTAGTAATATCCCTGAATCCTGCAATGAATTAACTCTCTACTCCACTGAGTCCCAGGTCTGCCCCCAGAGAGTCATCCAGAGAGTACCAGGGACCATCTTCAGAAAACAAGAGGCATTTGATCCCCAAACTTCTTGAATGAAAGCGCTGTTGTTTTTCTTTTTTGAATATATAAAAGTAAATACTCAAGCAGATGGGAAACAGAACAGGATAGTAATACCCTTATCATCATTAACACCTTGGATCAAGAAGAGGCATTAAGCATACAGACTCACGCTTTGATGAAAGCTGGGAGAAAGAGGAGCATCAAAGGGATCTTGAGAACAAAGGCAGTCCTTCCCCTCCCAATCACATGCCCACCTCCTCTCACTGCAGCTTCTGTCTCAGGTCTTCTCCCAGCAGAGCTATAAATCCAGGCTGACTCCTCACTCCCCACATATCCACTCCTGCTCTCCCTCCTGCAGGTGACCCCAGCCATGAGGACCATCGCCATCCTTGCTGCCATTCTCCTGGTGGCCCTGCAGGCCCAGGCTGAGTCACTCCAGGAAAGAGCTGATGAGGCTACAACCCAGAAGCAGTCTGGGGAAGACAACCAGGACCTTGCTATCTCCTTTGCAGGAAATGGACTCTCTGCTCTTAGAACCTCAGGTAGGAGACATCAATCTTGCACATCTGCAAAATCTAGAAAAAAAGGATTGGAGAAAGGATCTGGAGTCAAGTGTGGAAAGGTCTACCTCACTTGAGTGACTTTACTTAATCTTCCTGGACCTTGATTTTCTCATCTATAAATTAATCAGTGAGAACCAAATAAATCTAAAAGATTTTCTTTTTTCTAAGACTTTCAGTTCCAAGATATTTCTGTGAAATTTGCTACTTTTAAGATAGAAAGAGCTACACTGACTAGTTCTTTGTAGATCTAAATGGGCAGACTTAGTTATATAGAGAGTGTTTTACTTTGTCCATTGGAAAAGCTTTTAGAACCTAGAGAGGAACCTATAGGTGTGTTTTGATGTAGGCTAATAGGCTTGATTAAATCTTTCTACAATACATCCTTAGATCAAAACATCATATTGTGTCTCATACATATACACAATTATTGTTTGTCAATTAAAACAAGTAAATATGTAAAATGTTAAAAAAAAAAAAAAAAAAAAAAAAAGGAGAGACAGAGAATGAAGAATTTGAATTTGGAAAGTCTTCAAAGACTCCTTGAGCACCAAAGTATTTGGTCCATGACATTAGCATGCACAATGCGGCATTTCAGAAACTGATTCAGGTGCTTTAGGGAGCCTTGTTAGGACCTGGAAATCACACATGGAGGTCAAGATTAGGCGTGTGGATGAAGCAGAATGAAGAGTAGGTAACCCTGAGGTTGAGAGGTATATTGTTGGACCAGGGAGCAGGTAATAAATACATCCTGGATAGACTCACATGGGGAAAAAAACTATGATCTTGCATGACTAACACATAGCTAGTAAGATTTCTTGTCACTTACGACAAAGACATGAATTTTCTCCATCCTAACATGACTGATACAGTGTCTCTTATTTAGACTATCTCAGTTAGTCTGGCTGTGCTTGTCCTTTTTCCCACCTCCCTCGCTGTGCCTGACCCTCTCTTCTTTCCACAGGTTCTCAGGCAAGAGCCACCTGCTATTGCCGAACCGGCCGTTGTGCTACCCGTGAGTCCCTCTCCGGGGTGTGTGAAATCAGTGGCCGCCTCTACAGACTCTGCTGTCGCTGAGCTTCCTAGATAGAAACCAAAGCAGTGCAAGATTCAGTTCAAGGTCCTGAAAAAAGAAAAACATTTTACTCTGTGTACCTTGTGTCTTTCTAAATTTCTCTCTCCAAAATAAAGTTCAAGCATTAAACTTAGTGTGTTTGACCTTTTTAATTTTCTTTTCTTTTTCCTTTTTTTTCTTTTGCTTTGTTATATGGTGGTTTGTATGGTTCCTTTGTATTGAGAATTCTGATCTACATTAAGTTAACTGGTCTTTGCATTCCAATGATGCACAATTTGAGCATCATAGAGCAATAACAAAATAACAAAAATGAATATAATTGGGTTTTTTATTGTTGTTGTTTGAGACAGTGTCTAACTTAGCCACCCAAGCTGGAGTACAGCGGTGCAATCTCGGCTCACTGCAGCCTTGACCTCCTGTGCTCAAATGATCCTCCCACCTCAGCCTCTTGAGTAGCTGGGACTACAGGCATGTGCCACCACACCCTACTAATGGTTTGTATTTTTTTGTAGAGACAGGGTTTCACCATATTGCCCAGGTTGGTCTCGAACCCCTGAGCTTAAGTGATCTGCTCTCCTCAGCCCCCCAAAGTGCTAGGATTACATGCTTGAGCCACCATTCCTGACAGGATATAAGTGTTAATTGGAATAGTTTGAAACTTAAAAATTCAATGCATTCCTAATGATACTCAAAAAGTAGAAGTTTACAATGAGAGGCAAAAAGTGGTTGTTGGCTCAAAGGAAAGATAGATCTAATGGGCTATGTTTACTTGTCCTTTAATTTTAAAAAGTGGGAAAGCATTGCTATACATAATTTTTGAAATTTTAAGCAGATGTGTTAAATATATACACTTTACATTAAGCTTTATTTCACTCTGTTTTGGTGATATATAACTGTATCAACAAGATAGAATAAAATAAAGTTTACTAAGGAAAAAGTTAAAACTGTGCCCAAAACAAGAAAGACTGACAAGCATCAGTGATCTCAATTAATAACCAGATAGAAGAGGAGCTCAGAAGCTGGTGACCATAGAGGACGAGGCCCAATAACCAATGAGACAAATGGTCCCTCACTGGTCCCCAAAAGGTTAATTAGACCAATGTTTAATGAAGGAGTTGGTCTCAACTCTCCATCCCTTCAAGCATATGAACTCTATTTATTATAATAAAGCTATACTCATTTTAATAAAATGCTAGTGAGAAAATATATGTTAATATGTTTTTAATTATGCCAATGAACCAAGTCAATACATCATAATGATAAGAAAATTGGCCATACACTTAGGGCTATGCAAAAACTTAAGAACGACGTATTTGTGAGAAAAACAAGTTTCTAGAATTAAAATTTATATAAAAGACAGGGATTGAACAGTGTCATGACATGACAAAAAAAACCAAACATTTTTATTACAACAACAACAAAAAGTCTCAGCCTGATAATAAATAACAAGTAGTCTGGGTTTGATTCATCTTAGACACATGCAAAGCACTGTTTCCTGATCAAGGGTCAGCTATTTGGCCCTAGACTTGCAACCTCGTTTAGTCATTTGGGGTCTCGGAAGATCACAAAAATCATAGGAAGGAGTAAACTCAAAACAAATGAGAAAAGATGTCAAATCCATGATATGGGCCCTTCTGTATCATTTTTGGTATAATGAATGAATAAGTTTGTGATTGTCTTTCAGGAATATGTTTATCTATTCTTTAAGGTATTAGATGTGTTTAAAAACAATTAGGCATACTAAATGTATTACATCAATATAGATGAAGGGAATTTAAATAATCACCTTTGTATCAATATTTAATACTCAAGAACTGGTTTAAACTTAGTGTAAATAGTGGTGAGATTTTTCTCTGTGCCCCAAAGTCCTTCCAATATTAAAGAACCTACCAGGCTAGTGCAGGCTGGTGCTGCCTTTCCTCATCTGATGGTCCTTGGTGAGAGCTCTCCACTTTACTGGGAGATAGGTGGTAGGGGCTGGTTCTCTGCCTCAGCAACCTTTCTTAGCAGGACTCTCTTCCACTTTTGCTGTCACACCTGGTCCTGGAAGTGGAGGGCCAGCAAGAGAGCATGATAGAGGAAGGCGAGCATTCTCATGCACCACCCAAGAGGTGAGGGTCTCCGACAGCAGGAACCAGAATGGGGAGTGGGGAGACCTCAGATGCTCTATACAAGTACATCTTTTGGGAAGTTAAGGTCACTCTACAAAGTCTGTGAACTTAGGTCAGGTTGGTGTGTAGGGTGAAAGGGAAGGATTTTCCAGGTCCCACCTGGTTGCCTAAAAGTCACTGTGATGCTCCTCTATTTAACTGCTTTACTCACAGCCAAAATTGATTAGTCGGTTGGTCTCTGCCCTTTCTTTTTGATGTGTTCTGCTTTTTGTTTTTTGGGTGTTTTGTTTTGTTTTGTTTGAGATGGAGTCTTCCTCTGTCACCCAGTCTGGAGTGCAGTAGCACGATCTTGGCTCACCGCAACCTCCGCCTCCCAGGTTCAAGTGATTCTTCTGCCTCACCCTCCCAAGTAGCTAGGATTACTGGCAAGTGCCACTGCACCCAGCTAATTTTTGTATTTTTATTAGAGATGTAGTTGCACCATGTTGGCCAGGCTGGTCTCGAACTCCTAACCTTGAATGATCTCCCCACCTTGGCCTCCCAAAGTGCTGGGATTACAGGCATGAGCCACCGTGCTGGGCCAATGGGTTCTGTTTTTATAAGAATCTTGAATAGCATCTCCTGTTCTTCATCAGTCTTTATGTAAACATCAGTTACAGCGTGGGAGTTTGTTAGAGGCTCTGCTGCTCCATTCTGAGAAGCTACAGTATAAACAACCCTAGGTTTTCCAGGCAGATCTCTTCAATGTCCAGTTTTCCCTTGAAGCTAAGACTCTTGTCTTATATTAGCACAGTGATCAAGCAATATGAATAACTTCCATGGAGTAGGACTCCAAGGTCATGGGGGAGAATACCCTACTCTCTACTATCCTGAGTAAAACTTACAGTAAGAAACAAAATAAATGTTTCCTCGGGCCCAAAGCTATTAAAGTGAGCATCAAGTCTCTGGTCAGGAGGACAGCAAGTTATGCAAAAACCAAGATAGACAGAAGATGTTCTTCACCCTTCCTTCAGGCAACGGGAAGCTTTTTCTGTTCATGGAAATTCTTGGCTCAGCATGGACCTAAACAAAAAGGTGTGATAAAAGGCACTTCACTCTCATTTTAACCATGTCCTTCATATATCTCCTCATCTTTCCATCCCACACATCCTCATTCTCATGTCCCAACCCCAATCAGTCTAACTGCAGATCTTCCTGTTCTCTGCTGCACAAAATTCAGGTGACCACACAAATGAAGTGTCTACATAAACTGTATGTCTTGATCAAGGATCTCCAGAGAAACAGAACCAAAAGAATGTGTATGTATAGAGAGATTTGTTTTAAGTAAATGCCTCATGTGACTAAGGAGCTAGCAAGTCAACAATCTTCAGGATGGGCCATCAACCTGGAGACCCAGGGAAGAGTCAAAGTTGCAGTTCAACTCTGGAGCCTGTCTGCTGGCAGAATTCTTTCTTGCCCAGGGAAGGTCAACCTTTTCCCTATTCAAGCCTTCAGCTGGTTGGATGAGGACCACCTACATTATGCAAGACAATTTAATTCACTGAAAGTCCACCAACTTAAATGTTAATCACATCCAATAAGACACCCTTACATAAATACCCAGAATAATGTTTGACCAAATATCTGGTCCACTGCAAAACAGCCAAGTTGACACATAAAATTAACCATCACATTAGACCTTCAGTTTTACTGAGCAATCTTCTAAGTCTTCTCTGTATTTCAATCTTGTTCCAGTTCTTTAGAAGGACTTTAATAATATCCTAGTTCTATCATATTCTATATCACGTTTTTCACAGATTAAATTCTTGAAACTGTTGTTGGGTTTTTTTTTCTTTTCTTTTCTTTTCTTTTTTTTTTTTTTTTGACAGAGTCTCACTCTGCTACCCAGGGTGGAGTACAGTGGTGTGATCTCAGGCAGCTGCCACCTCAGCCTCTCAGGTTCAAGCGATTCTCATGCCTTGGCCTCCCAAGTAGCTGGGAATACAGGCATATGCAACCACATCCAGATAATTTTTTCTACTTTTAGTAGTAACAGGGTTTCACCATGTTGCCCAGGCTGGTATCGAACTCCCAATCTCAGGTGATCCACCCGCCTTGGCCTCCCAAAGGGCTGGGATTACAGGTTTGAGCCACTACACCCAGCCTTGCTTTTGAAACTTTTGATGCATCTTACACCTATGTGTAAATGTAATCTGATAGTGGTTTTGCTTTGATTTACTTTGATAAACTTCTATAATTATGTAATTGGTATTACTATAATTTGAGTATGTCCTCCAAAAGTTCATGTTGAGACTTACTCCTCAATATAACACTATTAAAAGGTGGGGTCTTTAAGAGATGATGGGGTTCTGAGGGCTCTATGCCCCCGAATGGATTAACCCATTCATGAATTAACGTGTTAGTAGATTGTCACAAGAGTGAGTCTGCTGTGAGTCTGTTGTAAAAGCCAGTTCCTCTCAGTGTGTCCCGCCTCACCATGTGATACCCTGCACAACTGAGGACTGCAGAGATTCCTTATCAGCAAGAAGGCCCTCACCAGATGCAGCCTCTAAATCTCAGATTTCCCAGCCTTCAGAGTTGTAAGAAAAAAATGTATTTTCTTTGTAAGTTACCCAGTCTTAGGTATTCAGTTATGGAAAGAAAAAAATAATATAAGACAGCTACCATCTTAGGATCAAGGAAATATGGCAATATTGGTTAATATCCATTCATTGTCCCCATTGTGTTAGGCATCACACCAATTGCTTTCCCTACCACACATGAGGTAGGAGACAATTATCTAGATTTGAGAGATTAAGAAATGGAGGCCTGGTACATGGCAGCCCATCCTTTAGTCTTCGGTATACCTGATGTTGCATAAGAAACAACAGCAAACAGAAAAAGATGACCAGCCCCAATGGACAAAGGAGCCAGTGACCAACCCTAAGAAGATGGCAATGTTCAATAATTCAAAACAGCAGTTTTTAGGAGATTCAGCAAGCTTTGCAATGACACAGAAAAGTAATTCAGAAATGTATCAGAAAAATTTAGCAAGTATATCAAAATCGTTTTCTAAAAAGCAAATAGAAACCCTGGAACTGAGAAATAAACTGCCTAGCAGAAAGCTGTCAGACTCTCAATAACAGAAAGAATGAAGAATACCTATTAAATATAGAAAATACCTCAAAAGAACAAATCTAAAAGTCATTGACCTTCAAAAGGGAGCTGAGAGAGGGCAAGGGCTACAAAGCTTAAATAAATAATAATAGAAAACTTTCCAAATATAGAGAAAGATATAAATATCTAGGTATAGGAAGGTTAAACATTATCAAACAGATTCAACACAAAAAAGACTATCATAAGGCATACGGTCATTAAACTCTCAAAGGAAAAAGAGAGGATTCTAAAAGCAGCAAAAAGAAAGAAGCAAATTAAACATAAAGAGGCTCCAAATCATCTGGCTACAAACTTCTCAGTGGAAATCCTACAGACCAACAAGGAGAGGGATGATATGCTCAAAGTGCTGGGGCACAGGCTGAGAGATAATCTTCCCACCAAGAATACTGCACCCAGCAAAGCTATCTTTCACATATTGAGTAGAAATAAAGGTTGTGACTGACAAACAAAAACTGAGGAAATTCATTACCAGACCTGTCTGTCTTAATACAAAATTATAAAAGGAAAGTCTTTAGTCTTTAAGAAAAGGATGCCAACATGCAAAAAGAAAACATCTGAAGGTATAAAACCAATTGGTAAAAGTAAGTACACAGACAATTTTAGAATACTCTAATATTATAATTGTGGTTTGTAGATCTCTCATATCTCTAGTATGAATACTTAAAGGCAAATCTATGAAAAATAATAAATAAAACAATTTGTTAAGAGATAGGCAATATAAAAAGATGTACACTGAGATCAAAAAAGTCTAAATGTTGGGGGGGAGGGAGTTAAAGTATAGAGTTTTTTAGGTTTTTCTGTCATTGTTAGCTTCTTCTACTTTCTTTGTGATCAAAGTTAAGTTGTCATTTGTTGAAAATAACTTCTTATGAACATTTCATAATCTTCCTAATAACCCTAAAGCAAAAACCTGTAATGCATACACATTTTTTTTTTTTTTTTTTTGAGACAGAGTCTCACTCTGTCACCCAGGCTGGAGTGCAGTAGCACGATCTCAGCTCACTGCAAGCTCCGCCTCCCAGGTTCAGGCCATTCTCCTGCTTCAGCCTCCCAAGTAGTTGGGACTACAGGTGCCCGCCACCACCCCTGGCTAATTTTTTGTATTTTTAGTAGAGATGGGGTATCGCCGTGTTAGCCAGGATGGTCTCGATCTCCTGACCTCGTGATCCGCCTGCCTCGGCCTCCTAAAGTGCTGGGATTACAGACGTGAGCCACCGTGCCCAGCCATGCATACACTTTTTTAAAAGCAAAGAATTAAAGCGCTATCAGAGAAAATCATTTAACCACTAAGGAGGAAAGTAATAAAAGAAGAAAGAAAAGGAAGAGATGAGTTACAAAAGAAACAGAAAACAAGTAACAAAATGGTAATAGTAAGTTCTTACCTATCAATAATAACATTAAGTATAAACTAAATTCTTCAGTTTATAGACATACATTGGCTGAATGGATTGAAAATCAAGATCCAACTATATGCTCCCTACAAGAAAATTACTTTGTCTATAAAGACCCATATAGATTGAAAGTGATGGGATGAAAAAAGATATTCCATGCAAATGGAAACCAAAAGAGAGCAACAGTAGCCATATTTCTATCAGACAAAACAGAATTTGAGTCAAAAATTACAAAAAGAGGCAAACAGGGTCATTATGTAATGATACAGTGGTCAATTTAGCAAAAGGATATAAAAATTCAAAGAGCATTCAAATGCAAATATTACTGGATCTAAAGAGATAAGCTGAAATACAATAATAGTAGAAAACTTCAACAACTCACTTTCAATAAAGAACTGACCATTTAAACAGAAAATTAACAAAACCAAACATCAGAGTTAAACTACACTCTAGCCCAAATGGACCTAACTGACATTTACAGAATATTTCATCTAACTGATGCAGAATATATTCTTCTCATCAGCACATAGAACATTCTCCAGGACAGATCATATGTTAGTCCACAAAACAACTCTCAACAAATTTTTAAGTCAAACCTATATCATGTATGTCAAAATTATATCAAGTATTATTCTGACCACAGTGGAATACAATTTGAAATCAATGATAAGAGGAACTTTGGAAACTGTACAGACACATGGAATTAAACAACATGTTCCTGAATGACCAATGGGTCAATAAAAAAATAAGGAAATTTAAAGATTGCTTGAAACAAATGAAATTAGAAACACAATATACCAAAACCTATATTGAAGCCACAGTTACTCTTAGGTGGTCACTGATAAAATGACACAAGGAGTTTGAGTGGGACAGAGAGATTACAGACTTCAAAGAAAGATACAGCATTTCAAGTGGGTTTTCCCCATTCTTGACCAAAACATCTCAAGGGCCAGACACTGCTGTGACCACCAACACCAATCACAAACACCCAGAGCTCAGGAGAAGGGAGCTGGTGTTTCCCATGTCCACCCCATGAGATTCTGAGGAGGTCTCAGCCCCAGACTGAGGCTCTGCCTGTCTGAAGAGGCAGTTCAGGAGTCCGGGCACCACACTGAAACACTGCACGGCCAGGAAACCCAACACAGATCCCAGGGAGGACAAAGGCATTCTGACAGACAAATGATCCCAACCTTCCCCTTGTTTAGACGGTGAAGGACACACACAGAACTTTGGATTGTGAAGGCCAGGAGGCTTCCTTGGCTTCTAGTAACTGCCACTGCTTCAAAGTCCTGAGGTCCCTGAACTAACATTCCGTATTTTTCCAAACTGTCGGCTGGGCCAGGCTGACTCCACCCAGGGGCATCTGCATTTCACCCAGAAGTACACCTGGCTCATTTCCCAGACCTGGGGTCTCCGCTAAAAAATTTCACTTTGTCACTGAGGTCTTTCCTGATTTCTCAATTTTAAACTGCAGCAACTTTCCTGGGCAATCTCCATCCCACCTGTTCTCTTTATTTCTAACTGTAGAATTGTAGCGGTCTCACATTCTGTACACTTCACTCACTCTCTGTAACATTTCCCTCCGTACTCTAGAAGGGAAGTTGCATGTTTTGCTCATTATTGTACCACAGGGTCCAGATGACTGCCTAGTACATAGTAAGAGATCATCAAATTAATTGTGATAAAATTAATTAATCATATCTAATATCACATAGTGATATAAAATTAGATTATTATTATTACTAAACTGCATAGGAAAAAATGAAAACTACAGCCACAAAGCAGTCTATATATCAAGTTTCTGTGGCAGCATGGAAAAAAAAGCCAATTAAAAACATTGAAGGCTGATATATAGAAAAATATCCTTGGGAAAATGTGGCTTCATGAAGCAATAGGAGTTTAGAAGAAAGAAGCAGACTATTTTGGTTTTGAGTGCAAGAAAAGATTTCATGGTGAAACACAGAGGTATTTAAAACATGGGTAGATTAAAAGAAGGGGTACAGTAGAATGTTCGGTGGAGAGAAAAATATCAGGGCAAGAAATATGCAGGGTCAGGTCGACCTCCACTGAATTGAGGAATGGATGTTGCCAGATAGAAGGATGCAGTAGAATTCAGGCTGATGTGCTGAGAAGCATCCATCAACTCAAGGGAAAGGGGCAGATGAGGACGGAGCCTCCCTGCTCCTCTGTGTGGATAAAGACACACTGGGAGCACCACATGTGGCTTCTGCTACTGCAGTCTACGGTGGGCTATGACTACTGCAAACTCTAGAGACAGAGAATTCAGGGAGAGGTTTGAGGGTCTCCAAACAACCAGGACAACTTGCTCGGCCTCAAGTAAGACCCAGAACTGTTCACTGGATGCACAAACACTCTACATTCACTGATGACATACAAGAGATTTTCTACCAGGAACCACTCGTGTGGTGGAACAATAAATATTGAATAAGTCAGATGCCTCATCCATATAAATGTAATTACACAAGAGGGCAGCAGCCCTGTCTCTGTGAGAGGATAGGAGACTTATTCCAACAAGCACAAATTAGCAAACACAGATGGCCCAATCACACTAGCCAACTTCCCTCCTAACGACCTCCAGAGCTAGCCTGCTAGCTCCCCTCAAGGCTTAAATTCTCCTGCCTTTGGCTTGAGGTAAGTTGAGTCCAACGGCTCTTCCTATTACAACGTTGTGACTCCTATTGCAACAGTCTTCAATAAACGTTTCCTTGACATTTCTTGAAAGTCTTGGTGAAATTTTTCTTTTACAAGAAAAGTACAGAGTTGTTTTGTTCTGTATCACTGTTTGTTCTGAGCTCTGCTTACAAACAAAACCAGAATGTAAGAGATGAGAAAAGTGCTCGTTTCCTTTTTTGAAGTTCTGTATTTCTTCCTTTGCCACTAAAAGCTAAATAACTCATTAAAAAAAAAACTAAGGGAAAGAGTTCACACTAATATTTCCTGGCAGATCACCCTCCCAACCTTTCAGTGCTCTGTCCTCCTGGATGACAGTGACTCCCCGTCCTCTTTGTCCCAGCTCTCCACCACATGGCCACCCAGTAACTCCTGCCACCACCTGGAATTCCTCCAGCTCTGAACATCAACTATGAAGCTCCCCATCCCTGACTCACCCGCTGTCCTTCCAGCCTCTCATGTACCTGTCCCTCCTTCCCTGCTGATCAGCATCAACAAGGCTGTTCTCCCCCGGGCTGTGCATGGGAATCACCAGGGAGCCTGATGCCCAGACTGCCCCCAGTACACCTGTCATCTGCTCTCATCTCCTGTCCTTGTGCACTGCACCATCTTTGCCTCAGGTTCTCTGAGTTTGGTATTTTTGATGTTTTTCAGACAACTTAGTAGGGTCTTGAATTCAAAAGTCAAACCATGACAAGCTGAGTTAACATTTTGACTCCTATATCTTGGAATTGAGGGGGAATTCTGGCTTCAGGAAATACTTGATTTAAGGACTCAAAGCATAAGTTACATTGTTGTCTTCACCTTTTTCCCATTTATTTCTCTTGATCTTACTTTGGGCTCTCTCCCCAGGTGACAGCCATGTGAATCATGGTCGTCTCTCTGTGACCTTCATAGCTGATCTCCTGGAGAAAATCCCTACTTCCTTCCCATTGTTCCAGCCTACACCCAAGTCCCAAGGCCACCTCTGAATCTGTCACTGAGGGCGGAGGTTGGCACCACACCTGGGTCCCATATCGCCCCACTCCCCAAGGAAGAATTGAAACTAAGAACAGTTGACAGGGGATTAGTCAGTCACTGGAAAAAGTCCACAATCCCATTCCCCCACCACAATGGGCTCTGTGTTACACTTTGAAAATAAAGTGAGAAGATCCATCGATATTTTAGAGAAGCAAAAGTTTACATACAAAAAGTGCACAAGTCCAACTTCTCTCCATGACAATGAGAACTTCTCTCCCTGTTCACCTGCTGCTTTGTAAAAAGCCACCACAAAATTCAGAGGATTGAAACAGCACCATCAGGTCTTCACTCACACATTTGCAACTGGGGCCTGGCTCCCTCCAGGGGCATCAGAGGAGAGGTTCTGCTGGGATCTGAAGATCTCAGGGCTGAGACACTCCTGCACAGGGGCAGGCAGTGCTGGCTCAGGTGGGAGCTCCGGCAAGACTGAGGGACGGGACTGTGTGATATGCTGGGGTCGGATCATGCTGGCTCATGAGAGAGGAGTTTTTGTGAAATAATTGTTAAATGATCTATAGCTAGGAGAATTTTAAGAATAGAAACTTAAAAACACTGCAAATCAGAGTTGTTTTTTGTTTCTTGTTTTTTGTTTTTTTTTTTTTTTTTTTTTCCCCAGAAAGCGGGTTGCTTTGCATTCTCTAGCCAGTCCTTGTAGATGGGCTCGGTTCCTCTCCCTGTCCAACACTTAGGCTTCCTCTAAGCATGGTGCCTGGGCTCCAAAGTCACCAGCGCTCTTAGTCTGTCTGGGCTGCTAGCAAAATAATGCCATAAACCAAGCTGCTTATAAAAACAGAAATGTGTTTCTCATGGACTGATAAGTCTAAATCAAGGTGCCAGGAGATTTGGTGTCATGAGAGCTGCTTTTCTGACTCATAGATGGCATCTTCTCACTGTATTCTCATCTAGTGAGCCCTCTCACCAGAGAGGGAGCTCTCTGGGGCATCTTCTATAAGGGCACTAATGCTAGTCATAAAGCCTGTGCCCTTCTGACCTTCTTAACTCCCAAAAGCTCCCACCTCTTATACTATCAACTAATGGTTTAAGATTTTAACGTATGAATTTCAGAGGGACAAAAATATTCAGGTTGCAGCACCATCCAATAGAGAGGAAGTGAAAGATACCAGTTCATCAGGCCCGATCCCAGAAAAACAGCATGGCACTAAGTCAGGTGCACTCAATTTGTCAAGATGTTACCAGGTCTCGATTCAATAGGGGATAAGTAAACCTCCTTTTCTGTGTGAGGAGAGTCAATGATTTAGGGACGCATTTTAAACAGCTCAACGGAGTTATTCCCTCATAGTTTTTTGTAAAATTTCTGCAGACGCCAATACTAGACAGATAGACAGCTTGTGAGAGGTGGCTGGGAAAGGCAGACAAAAGCCAGGGACTTGGAACTCCTGCCTGTCCCAGCTGGATCTGCAGGCGTGGGAGTCGCTGTGTGGCACAGGCAGCACCAGGACCCTCCCCACAGGCGGGTGGACAAAGGGCTGAGGGGAGGGACAGGGTGGTGCTCTCTGAGGAGCTGGGAGGTGGACAGTCCTCAGAGCTCACCCCCACGCAGCCTCCGCCCTGCCCCACGCTAACACGCACGCTAGGTTCCAAGACTGCCCTTCCCTACCAGGTCAAAACGATGTTCCAGGGCCATGCCCAAGGTCCACACACCCTGTGTCTGCTGGGGCCACCAGACAGCCTCAGCTGTGTGGGAATATCCTTGCTGCTCCGGGAGCCCTCTCTCCTGTCACACCCACACCTGCAGCCCCACCCACAGCTTCCGCAGAATATATACTCCAGCCTGATGGTGTCAAGGCTCTTATGGTCAGCTCCAACCTAGCGCAGGCTCACTTCAATATTCTCTGGAAATTCAAATGCATGTGTATGAGAGAACAGTTTCAACCACGTCTACACTGGAAGTCTACACTTGTAGAAATTCATGGAAAAATCGACTGGGGTAGGGGTCATGGATGGCAACAGCCTCAGACCACAGCGCCCCAACCCAAGGGTTGTCAAGGAAAACAAGAGCCTCACCAGAACCAGGGGACTCCAAGGAATCTCACCTTGATGGTGAGGTCACCACTAAACCAGCCTCTCCTTACTGCTACAGGGTAGGGACCTCACCACCGCCAGGACATGGTGCTGGCTCACATCCAGTACCTGGACCCCTGCTTAGCTGCTCTCTTAGCTCATGCTTTGTTGCGTACCCTGCAGGTGACTTCATAGAGCGGTATTTTGCTGGGAACACCATTTGTCTTCATGTAACCCCATTAGCTATACCCTCTAGTGCAAGGAAACCATAGGGCCTAGGTCACACCATGAGGCTGCCTTACAAGTTATGCAAAAACTATGGACTTGGGAGACCTGTGCGTAACAACATCACACCCAAATTTAACCAGCTCTCCCCATAACAGCACGCTCATGTGTTACTGAGGAAATGCCTGTGGATTGGAGTGTGTTCTGTGTGCAGGAGGCTGGTCCAGGTTTCACTTCTGCAGGACACTGGACGTTTCCCAAAACCAGCAGACTTTCCCCACGTGCACACACACCCCTTCTCATTTTGCCTCTACATCCATATCCACTGGGCCCTTCAGGCACCTACTAATGCCCTAGAACCTAAAACCATCATCTGGGGCCCAGTTCCCTGAATGGCCCTAATCTCTTCCTCTGCTGGAATGAGTCCAGTGCCCACTTCCTCCAACGGTGAAATTGCTGGGCTGCTACAGATCAGGAACTCACTGCTTCCTCATAGGGGCAGCCGACTTCACTGCTCTGCAACAGCGACCACCCCTAGCGAGGCTTGAGATGCCTCTTGCCTCCTTAAGACTGAGGGAGACGCTTCAGCTCTCACTCCACTGCCCCAAGTCCTCCACAGCGCGGTGCCTGCTGCCTTCACACAGAGCT
Organism: Homo sapiens; assembly: GCF_000001405.40. Lineage (NCBI taxonomy): Eukaryota > Metazoa > Chordata > Mammalia > Primates > Hominidae > Homo > Homo sapiens. The sequence goes on along the minus strand of NC_000008.11, from coordinate 7,042,168 downwards.
GCAGGGGAGGTCCTGTGTATCCGGCCTGCTGGACCAGCGCTGTGCACAACCCTCCCATGGCAACAGTGGCTGCCCGGCCTGCACACTGGGCTTGGCAACCTCGCTGTAGGTATTTATTCCCTCAGGAGTGACTGCATTCTTTTCCCATTTCCAGAAAACTGATGCCATTTACCTCACTATGAGGAGGAGGAGGAGGAGGGTGGAGAGTGGTACATTTTAAAATGTGCACTATTCTCCCTAGGACTCCCCCTCAAATAACCCAGGAGGGACCATACCAGCTCATTCCTGTGTATCCCAAGCATAGAGTAATCATCCCACTCATGCTGAGTGTATGGTGGCCATTAAGCCTGCCCTGAACTGGCTTTAGAACAAGGTGTTTGAGCACACAGCACCGTCTTGCTGCCACCTTGGCCCCCTCCCTTGTGAGACCTCTGAGACACATTAGGTCTCACCTAAAAATCTCAGGATTTCTAGGCCCAAACGGTCCTAAAAAATTGTTCAGTCTGAACTCTCTAAGGTCAAGAGAAGAGGTGGTTGCTCCCTCTAAGAAACCACATGTTGCATGTACATCCTTAATTCCGGAAAGTCCAACAAACCTGCCCTGCTTAGCAACACAAGCCGAGGTGGTACTCCTCTCACCCGGGCATTCTCCAACACACCTGTTTGTCCAAACAGCTTTGATTTGTTTTTATAGTTGGACCCCAGGTTCCCAGGAGGCTGGTTCAGGCCATATTCCAAATCCTCATCTGTGTGTGAGTGGCATTCTTAGCCTAGCCTCCTTACAGGGTGGATACTATGATACACAGCCAGGCTGTCCCAGTGGCTTTCAATATTCTTTTGGTCCAGATAGTTCAGCCTCAGCACCAGTGTAGGCATCACAGGGTCAATTGTCTTAGGAGTCATGGAGAATTCATAGTTGGTAGCTACCTGGGCCTGGCCAGGGCTGACCATAGACAAGGTATCCCTCTGTGAACTCCTATTTTAATGCCAGCTTCCCAACAAATTTCTCAACTGCTCTTACCAGCAGGTATTTAAACTACTCAATAGAAAGTAACCCTGAAAATTAGGACACCTGTTCCCAAAAGACCCTTAAATAGGGGAAGTCCTTTCCTGCTTGTGCACAGCTGCTGATGTGGCAACATGAGGCCTGGGACAGGGGACTGTCCTCTGCCCACTCTGGTAGCCTCACGTAGCTTAACAATCTGTCAGTAATACAATACAAAACTTAAACTTTCATACTGCGGTTCCACCCAGGAAGCTGTGTTCCCAATCTGACCCGTGATTATGGGGCCACCTCAGAGGGAACCAGTGAGGGAATATTTTGCCATCTGGGACTGTTGGTTGCTGGGGGCAGTGGCTATGAGCTCAGTTAATAAACTCAAGCAGTTTCCTTCCAAACACACATGTCCTACTTAACGTGTCCAACAGAGATGATCATACTCATAGCTGCTAAAACATTATTTTATTTTGAGAAAAGTCTATTCATGTTCTTGGCCCATGGAGTTTTCATTTATTATTTATTTATTTTGCAGAGATGGAGTCTCACTGTGTTGCTCAAGCTGGTCTCCAACTCCTGGGCTCAAGCGATCTTCCTACTTTGGCCTTTGAAAGCGCTGAGATTGCCTGTGTGAGCCATCATGGGGGCTCACTGGCCCACTGATTAATCAGATTAATTGTTTTTTGCTATTGAATTGTTTGACTTCCTTGTATATTCGGATATTTACCCATTCTAACACGTAGGGTTTGCAAATATTTTCTCTCATGTTCTGTGTTGCCTTTTCACTCAGTTGGTGGTTTCCTTTGCTGTGCAGGTGCTTTAGTGTTCAACGCAGCCCCGCTTGTCTATTTTCCATTTTATTGCCTGTCCCTTTGATGTCATAGCCAAGAAATAATTGCCCAGATTAATGTCAAAAAGCTTTATCCCTATATATTCTTCTAGTAGTTTATGGTTTCAGATCTTATGTTTAGGTCTTCAATCCATTGAGTTGATTTTTGTATGTGGTATAAGAAAAAAGACCACATGTATACATATCTCAAATTCTAAGGTAGTATATATTAGACACATACAATGTGTCTATTTACACACATTGAGCTGAAAATAATAAACATATTTTTATCTTTCAATCAACTCTATCTCTATCTCACTGAACTTGTTTCACCTATAGCCTGATGAGGTTGCTGTCCTCTCTACCCCAGCTCCTATAGGAGACTGCTCATCCCCTAACCTCAAAAACCCCTTCATGAGGGTGATAATGCCCTTGAATCCTGCAATGAATTAGTTCTCTACTACAGTGGAATTCAGGTCTGTTATGAGGGTCTGGATCTCTGAAGAGAAGAGCTCTCATTTTCAGAAAATAAGCAGGATTTATTCCCTGAAATTACTGAATTAAATCACTGTTTCGATTACTTTTTGCAATATTAAAAGTAAATATTTAAACAGGTAAAAACAGAAATAATGGTAGGGTCCTTATCATCACCGTGAATTCCAAGCTAGCATAGACACTAAACCTAGAGATTCACACTAGAATGAAAGCTGGGAGAGCAGAGGAGTCTCAGAAGGATGTGGAGGCCAATGGACACCTGCAACCTCTCCAACGAAATGCCTACCTCCTCTCACTGCAGCATCCATCTCTGAGCCTTCTCGCAGCAGAGCTATAAATTCAGCCTGGCTCCTCCGTTCCCACACATCCACTCCTGCTCTCCCTCCTCTCCTCCAGGTGACTACAGTTAGGAGGACCCTCACCCTCCTCTCTGCCTTTCTCCTGGTGGCCCTTCAGGCCTGGGCAGAGCCGCTCCCGGCAAGAGCTCATGAGATGCCAGCCCAGAAGCAGCCTCCAGCAGATGACCAGGATGTGGTCCTTTACTTTTCAGGAGATGACAGCTGCTCTCTTCAGGTTCCAGGTGAGAGATGCCAGCATGCAGAGCTACAGACTAGACAGAAGGACAGGAGACAGGCTCTGGAATTGGATCTCAGTGGCAGATGTCACTTAGGTGGCTATACTTAACATCTCTGGTCCTGGATTTTCTCATATCTAAATGGAATAGAGAACCAAAGAAATCTAAGAGATTTTTCTTTCTCCAAAAACTTGATTCCAAGATATGACTGTGAAATTCACTAGATTTAAGATATAAGGAGATGCTACCTAGTTCCTTCTGGAGCCAGACAAACAAGCTTAAGTATATAGAAAATATTTCACCCTGTCTATATAGGAGGTTTTAGAACCTGGAGAGGAGCCTAAGAATGTGTTCAGGTGTGTGTGTGATGGGCACGAATGCACAAAAGTGAAGCAAAGGAGAATGAGTCTCGAATCCTGTGTGACCAGCACTGCTCTGTGTATTTATTCCTATTGACTGAGATTGTTTGTGCTACCGGCTGTAATACAGCCAACATCACTCATCAGCCAACATGTGACTTCTCCAAGATTCCCTTTACCACCCACTGCTGACCCCGTACTCAGTTTCTGATGCTCTCTCTGGGTCCCCAGGCTCAACAAAGGGCTTGATCTGCCATTGCAGAGTACTATACTGCATTTTTGGAGAACATCTTGGTGGGACCTGCTTCATCCTTGGTGAACGCTACCCAATCTGCTGCTACTAAGCTTGCAGACTAGAGAAAAAGAGTTCATAATTTTCTTTGAGCATTAAAGGGAATTGTTATTCTTATACCTTGTCCTCGATTTCCTGTCCTCATCCCAAATAAATACTTGGTAACATGATTTCCGGGTTTTTTTTTTTTTGAGGCGGAGTCTCCCTCTGTCACCCAGGCTGGAGTGCAGTGGTGGGATCTCAGCTCATTGCAAGCTCTGCCTCCCAGATTCAAGCAATTCTCCTGTCTCAGCCTCCTGAGTAGCTGGGACTACAGGCGCCCACCACCACGCCTGGCTAATTTTTGTATTTTTAGTAGAGACGGTGTTTCACCATGTTGGCCAGGATGGTCTTGATCTCCCGAACTCGTGACTGACCCGCCTTAGCCTCCCAAAGTGCTGGGATTGCAGGCGTGAGCCACCGGGCCAGGCCGATCTAATAAAATAAAGATCCAAATTCTAGGAACTTCAAGGAAGAATTCTGGCTTCAGACACATGTATATGAAAGGTCAAATGATGCCCCTGATCTCTCCATCCACTGCTCTGTCTTTTCATTCTGCCTCATTTTCACTGGATCCACTCTCAAAGAAGTCCTGTGTGCTGGGCAGACAATCAGTGTCAGCTAAAAGTTTATGCAATCACAAAATCATTCCTTCTCAGGAAAAACCATCATGCTGTTTCCAAAATTGTTGGAGTTTTATTCAACCAAACTGGATCACACATCTACATTTTAAGTTTGGGGGTTATATCAGTTCTATTGAAACAACTTTAGCTAAGGTTGGAATGGTGGGTTGCAGGAGTTTGAGACCACACTGGGCAACATGGTGAAACCCCATCTATACAAAAACATATAAAAAATTAGCTGGGCATGGTGGCACACACCCATGGTCCCAGCTATCAGGGAGGCTGAGGTGGGAGGATTGCTAGAGCCTGGAATGTTGAGGCTGCAGCGAGCTGAGATTGCACCACTGCAATCCAGCCTGGGCAACAGAGTGAGACACTCCAGCCTGGGCAACAGAGTGAGACACACCAGCCTAGGCAACAGAATGAGACACTCCAGCCTGGGCAACAGTGAGACACACCAGCCTAGGCAACAGAATGAGACACTCCAGCCTCGGCAACAGTGAGACACACCAGCCTAGACAACAGAATGAGACCCTCCAGCCTGGGCAACAGTGAGACACACCAGCCTGGGCAACAGAGTGAGACACTCCAGCCTGGGCAACAGAGTGAGACACTCCAGCCTGGGCAACAGAGTGAGACACTCCAGCCTGGGCAAAAGAGTGAGACCCTATCTCAAAAAAAAAAAAATTGTTTTTTTTGAAGATTGGAATGAGTTGTTAAGAAAGCTGTAATGAATCAAACAAAGAGCCCAGGAACACCACACTGTGATAGATTCATTATCAGGACCTTCCAGGAGGAACAGCAACAGCAATACCCTCTTAGGTCCTCAGAGTATGTACCGGGATGGTCACGGCTTCCCTCCCAGGCTGTCTCCAACTGTTGCTCATCTTCATATCTCACTCTTGGGGCCTGTGTCCTTTTGAGCTTGTCTTTTTCTTCCTTTCCAAGAGGACATGGTCACTGCCTAAACCTGGTGTCTCTGTAGGGCCAGGCTGACATCTTGTTGAGGTGTAATGTGACTCTTCCTCCTGTCTCCCCTCTGTTTCCTTCCCCAGATTCCAACTGTCCCTTGAACAATTATCCAACGTGTCCTGCAAATGGCCTGTCAGTCCCTGACCACAAGACCCCACAGAGGCGTCCAGCGTGAGTGCCAGCTCCTTATTTCACCTGGAATATAGCAGTTTCAGTTTGTGATTCCACAACACGTATTTGGAATAAGAATATGTCTGTTTGAGCCAAGGCTACTCTTATCAGGTGGGCTCTGGTAAAACGCCTTAAGAAATCCAAGACTGATAGAGAGACCACTGTTTGCAAAGAGACAGAATATCAAGTGAGTTATTTACCATTCTTGACTAAAATAATTCAACGGGCCCACATACTGCTGTGACCACCAACACCGCCAACAAATGCCCAGACCTCAGGAGAAGGGAGCCGGTGTTCTCCACATTCACCCCATGCAGATTCTAAGCAGGTCTCAGCCCCAGACCGAGGCTCTGTCTGTCTGAAGAGGCAGCTTCAGCTAGGCAGCGGGTCCAGGCACCCCACTGAGACACTACACAGCTAGGGAACCCAATACAGATCCCAGGGAGGACAGAGTGGGTCTGTGTCCAACCAAGAAATGGTTCCAGGCCGGGCCTGGTGGTTCATGCCTATAATCCCAGCACTTTGGGAGGCAGAGGTGGGCGGATCACCTGAGGTTCGAGACCAGCCTGGTCAGCATAGTGAAACCCGGTCTTTACTAAAAACACAAAAAAAATTAGCCTGCCATGGTGGTGTGTGCCTGTAATCCCAGCTACTCGGGAGACCGAAGCAAGAGAATCGCTTGAACCTGGGAGGCGAGGTTGCAGTGAGCCGAGATCGCGCGCCACTGCACACCAGCCTGGGCGACAGAGCAGGACTCTGTCTCAACAACAACAACCAAAAAAAAAAAAAAAAAAAAAAAAAAAAGAATTTGCTGGACACCGCTATTCAGTAGTGTACCTATGCAGTTCCTCCAGGGTAACTTTATAAGGGGCAGGAGCGCCGCCTGCTGTCCTTAAGGTGCTACTGTGGCTCTGCTGGCCCAGCTTTCTGTCAGAGCAGGTTCTCCTTGACTGGGAATATAGCATGGGCACTGCTAAGTCGCCCTCTGATAACTGAGGACATCTCAAGGTGGAAACATACTGAAGCTACTGAGGAAAAAGAAGAAAGAGCCCTTGGCACAAACAGATTGAACTTCAGTGAAAATGCTCTGGCTTCGATGTGGGGTGGGGTGGGGTGAAGGAGAGAAGGGCGCTGAGCAGAGATAAGGTCCTCATGACTACCGGTCATCACAGGGGACAGTCGTTTCTTCTCACGAAGCTGCACAAGCCTGATGGCTAATGAGGGAGAAATATACCCATCCTGTGTTTGCATTTGTTCATTGAAAGCTGGACCCAAGAGTAATGGGCTTTGCTGAATAGGGCTTGGACATTTGTCCATATGTGAGTATGGGGGCTGGGAGGAGAGGGAAGAGAGGAAAGCAAACCATTTGAAGTTCCCTTATTGTCTCCAAAGCCCTTTGATGTTCTTCTTATTCCAGGTGTGCCATCTATTTGCTTGGTGCCTCTGATGATTTCATGAGTCGTGATATGGATCCCAATAAGAGTCCCTGCTTCCCGTCTGTCTATATGTTTACCAACCACCATGTGGACTAGGCTGTGTTATCTTCTATTCCACAGAGTAAGCTGGGGCCACTTATTATTTCCCAAAGGTAGATCAGACAATTACAGAATTCCCCTTTAGGTCAAGACCAGGAAATCAGGACCACTTACCCTTAGAAGAATCTTGTCCTCTTAGATAGATCAGGGTAGCTTAGGAATAGCTCCTGGGAAGGATTGCCAGGTGATAGGGTAATTGTTGTCTTCCCCTTGAGCAAGTAGGGAAAGTGATGTGGACACCTTTAATTCACAATGAACAAGCAGAATGTGGGGTGAAGGGCTGGGCATGGTGGCTCCCACCTGTAATCCCAGCACTTTGGGAGGCCGAGAGGAGGGGATCAGTTGAGGTCAGGAATTTCAGACCAGCCTGGCCAACACGGTGAAACTCTGACTCTAATAAAAATACAAAAATTAGCTGAGTGTGGTGGTGTGCACCTGTAATCCCAGCTACTTGGGAGGCTGAGGCAGGAGAATTGCTTGAACCCAGCAGGTAGAGGTTGCAGTGAGCTGAGATCGTGCTACTGCACTCCAGCCTGGGTGACAGAGCAAGACTGTCTCAAAAAAAATTGGGGTGAAGGAGGCAGGTTTAATTGGAAACCTGGGCCTTGGTTAAAAGGCCACCTCACAGTGGATAAATGAATGCCAAGTTCAAGTAAATATAAAACAAATGCATTTACACACAAAAGGCACATCTCTGGAAATGGCTGAAAAGTTTCAGAATTCTTTCACTCTGAACGGACTTCAGCAATGGGATTTAACAGAAAGCATTTATGTCCACTGTTTTTCTAAGGACCTGGGAGAAAGAGTCTTTGTCCTGAGTGATGATGGTCTATGAGCAGTAAACCTCCACTAGGTCTGCAGAGGTCTCAGTAAAACACTGTTGCTAGGACCCATTCCACAGAGTTTCTGATTCAATAGGTCTGAGGTGGGATCCAGGAGTTTGTATTGCTACCATGTTCCCAGGTGATGCAGGTGCTTCTGGTTCAGAGCTCCGGCTTTGAGAACACTGCTGTGGTGTGGGAAATGGCATTGCTCTCACATGGCTCCCAACAACCTCAGGGATCCTTGACCTGTTGGTTTCAGAAACCTCCCTTATACTCTGTTTTGTTCACCCAATCCACAGCCATAACATCAATCTTCTTATCACTTGGAGATACTCTCACCTTAAAAATGCAGATTCCAGCATCCTACCATGCCTCGTCCCCACCCCTCAATCTTTCTGACTCAGCCGTTCCCATACTGTCACTCAGTGTCGTCAACACTTCCATTCTCTAGGAACACCACTATTTCCCAATCAGTTGTCCAAACTCTTTTAATTCTTTCACATCCAGCCCTGGTCTATGTTCCATCACTTAATCACTGTTGAATGAGGACTTCGTTCCTTTCCCCCCACTCTCTTATCTCTCTGGGCAAATGCCAAATGCTAAGCCCACATCAATTTTATACTGTTCTCACCTTCACCTTGATGCTGAGAAAAAGTCCCCATGCCGTAAATCCAATTAAAGCACAACTGAGTTCTCTGCCTTGCCTAGAAATCTTCTAAAAATCCTTACTTTTCCAATATCAAAAGAGAATAAAATTATGTCACATTCTCTATTCTAGAAAGTCTCTTTTAAAAAAACTCTTTACTCTTATGAAATGTGAAATGGGAGAGGCATTTTATAATTGACGATTACATTGAACTGTAACAACACACACAATAAAAATAAATGATAGGCCGGGCACGGTGGCTCACACTTGTAATCCCAGCACTGTGGGAGGCTGAGGCGGGTGGCGGATCACCTGAGGTATGGAATTCAAGACCAGCCTGGCCAATGTGGTGAAACCCCATCTCTACTAAAAATACAAACATTATCAGGGCGTGGTGGTGCACACTTTTAATACCAGCTACTTGGGGAGGCTAAGGCAGGAGAATTGCTTGAACCTGGGAGGCACAGGTTGCAGTGAGCCGAGGTCGCGCCATTGCACTTCAGCCTGGGCAGCAGTGCAAACTCCGTCTCACAACGAACAGACAAACAAAAATGATAATAGTATCATATAGCATAAAATATTTAACATTTTAGTTGTCCCAAAACAGCTTTTTGAATACACGATCTTATAAAAAAGTTGGGAGTGAAGAAAAGTGGTAATAATTGCCTCCACATTTGAGTAAACAAGGTTTGCTTGGAAAAACGTAACGACAAATATCTCTCAGATTACACTAATCCAGGTCACATAATAAACCACCATTAATGTAGCAATATAACACAATTTCCATCATGCCAACATATTTTATTTTATATTTGGCCCCAAACCAGTAGTGCACCATATATAGAGAAAGGAAATGCATTTGGTAACTTAAAAAAAAATTGGTTATATCATTTTTCGTGTTATTTTGTTTTTTAAAGCCACTCTATCGAGATAAAATTAACATGATGTACAACTCACACATTTAAAGTGCAGAATTCAGTGGCGCTTAGTATATTCACAGACATGTGCAGCAATAACCACATTCAAATTAATTTTCATCACTTCATAAAGAACCCAAGGACTTTCCATTCCTCCCTTCCGATATTCCCATCCCTCTACCTCTGAGCAACCACTAAGCTATTTTCTGTCCCCATAGACTTGCTTATTCTGGATATTTTGTATAAACAGAATCATGTAATACATGGTCTTTTATGTCTGGCTTCTTGCCCTTCCCCATGACTGTTTGTGTGGACATACACTTTCATAGCTTTTGGGTATATACCTAGGAGTGGAATTCCTAGCTCACAGGGTAATTCTATGTTTAACTTATTAAAGAATCAATAAAACTGTTTTCCCCAGAGACTGCCCCATTTTACACCACAGCAGTAAATTTCTCCACATCCTCGACAGGTTTTGTCTATTATCTGCCTTTTTGATTCTAAAAAACCCTGGTGGATATGAAGTGGTATTTCACTGTGGTTTTGATTTGAATTTCCTAATAAATAATGATGCCAAGAATTTTTTCATGTGCTTATTGACTATCTGTATATCTTCCCTAGAGAAATGTCTAAGGAGATCCTTTGCCCGTTTATAAATTTGTTTATTTAGCTTTAAGTGTTTATCATAAGAGGACTGCATATATTCTGGATACATGGGATACATGTCTTTCATGAGATACGTGATATGTAAGTATTTTCTCTCATTCTGTGAGTTGCCTTTTCGCTTTCTTGATAGTGTCACTTGAAATACAAAAGATTTTTATTTTGATAATATCCAATTACCTGTTTTTTTCTTTTGTTGCTCATGCTTTTGATATAATATCTAAGAATCCATTGCCAAACATAGGTTATGAAGGCTTACCCCTATGTTTCCTTATAAAAGTTTTATGCTTTTAGATTTTACATTTAGATTTCTAACCCATTTTGAATTACCTTTTAAATATAGTGTGAGGTAGGGTCCAACTCATTCTAATGCTTGTGGCCATCTAGTTTACCCCACCATTTGTTGAAAAGAATTTTCTTGCCTCCATTGAATGCCCTTGGCACCACTGCAGAAAGTGAGTTAATAACCATAGACACGTTTTTATTTCTGAACTCTCAATTCTATTCCACTGATCTATGTCTATCTTTACAGCAGTACCACCCTGTCATGATTACCGTTTCTTTGTAGGATGCTTTGAAAACAGGAATCTTTTCTTCTTTTTCAAGATTATTTAGCTATTCTGGGATCCTTGCTATTCCATATAAATTTTAGAATCACCTAGTCAGTTTCTACAAAGAAAGTCTTCTACAAAGAAGTCATTAGGGATTCTGAAATAGATTGAGCTGAATCTGTAGATCAGTTTGGGGAGCACTGACATCTCACATTAAACCTCACAATCCCTGAGCATAAGATCTCTTTCCAGTTATTTAGATATTCTTAAAAACTTCAACTTTTTGTGGTTTGGGGAGTATAAGTTTTGCACATTTTTTAAATTCAACGACTAGCTATGTTCCTTTTGATACTACTTGTAAAAGGAGTTTTTAGCTTCATTTTTGAAAAGTTTATTATGAAAGAAAAAATACAATTGATTTTTGTGCACTGGTCTTCTATTTTTCAACCATGCTAAACTCCCTTATTAGTTCTAATAGTTTTTTAATAAATTGTTTTGGATTTTCTATATATAAAAGATCATGTCTTTGCAAACAGAGATTATTTAACAACTTCTTTTCTAACCTGGATGTCATTTAATTTTTCCTTCTTGCCTGACTGCCCTAGAACCTCTAGCACAATGTTGAGTAGAAGTGCTGATTTCAGATATCCTTGGCTGGTTTCTAATTTCAGTAGGAAAGCATCCTTTTTTTTTTTTTTCAACCACCGAGTATGATGTTAGTTGTAAGTTTTTCATAGATGTCCCTGATGCCAAAAAAGTTGGGGACTGCTGCCTTAACAGATTGAGAGTTCACCTCTCAACCCAGTGAGTGTTTTCATGCCTAATAGTATCTCACTTTTCTCTAACTGTATTCTTGTTTCTTCATCTTTTTTCTCTGTTCTCTGGACTATATAATCTTTTATCTATCTGTACACACATTTCCTAAATCTTGGTTCTGCCAGTTTAAGTATACTATTGAGCAGCCGTTCATAAAATTTACATTTCGATTATTGTACTTCTCAATTCCAGAATTTCATGTGTTTCTTCGTAACTTCACTTTATTATATTCTGCCCTTGAAAAGATTTTGTCATCACAGTTTCCTTTAATTATGTAATAATGGTTTCTTTTAGTTGTTTAGTCACATTTATCATTAATACTCGTTTTTTTCTATTAAGTTCTTTATATATTTAGATATTTACTTTCATTACATGTATCGTTTACAAATATTTCTCTCTCTTGCTAGGTTGCCTGTTTGCTCAGTTAATGACTTCCTTTGCTATGCAGATGTTTTACAGTTAAATGAACTCCAACTGGTTTATTTTTGCTTTAGTTGCCTCTACCTTTAATGTAATATCCAAGAAATAATCTCCCAGTTCAACGTTAGGAAGCTTTATCCCTATGGGTTCTTCTAGTAAGTTTTATGATTTCAAGACTTATATTTAGGTCTTCAATTCATTCAGAGTTGATTTTTACATTTGGTGTGAGATAAGGGTACAAATGTAGATATACGTTGAATTATCAGGTTGTGTACTTTCAACCGATATAATTTCTAATTGTCACTCCTCTCAATACGGTTGGAAATAAAAAAAAATTTTTAACCTTATTCAGACCAACTCTTTAACTAGTATCCCACTGAGCTTATTTGACTGATAGCCTGATGAGGCCATTGTCCTCTCCACACTAGCAGTGGCAGAAGACTATGCCTTCCAGAACCTCAAAAGCGTCCTTCATGAGGGTAGAAATGCCCCAGAATCCTGCAATGAATTACTCTCTATGCTGGGGTCCAGGTCTTGCCTCAGGGTCTAGACCACCAAGAATAGCAGGGCTCATCTTCAGAAAATAAGAGGCATTTATTGCCTGAACTTATGGAATAAGAGCAGTGTTTCTTTTCTTTTTTGAATATTAAGAAGTAAATGTTCCAGCAGATGAGACACAGGAAATTATAGCATGATCCTAATCATCACTATTGGCTTGGACCCAGAACAGACACTCGATAAGCAGACTCATGCTATGATAAAAGCTCGGAGAACAGAAGAGCATCAAAGGGATCTTGATGGCAAAGGCAGCCCTTCCCTTCCCCAATCACATGCTCCACCTCCTCTCACTGCAGCATCTGTCTCTGAGCCTTCTCCCAGCAGAGCTATAAATCCAAGCTGGCTTATCACTCCCCACACATCCACTCCTGCTCTCCATCCTCCAGGTGACCCCAGCCATGAGGACCCTCACCCTCCTCGCTGCCATTCTCCTGGTGCCACTCCAGGCCCTGGCTTGAGCCACTCCAGGCAAGAGCTGACTAGGCTGCAGCCCAGGAGCAGCTTGGGGCAGACCACCAGGACTTTGCCATCTCCTTCACAGGGGACATAAGCTCAGGTTTTAGAGATTCAGGTGAGAGCCACCAGCACTGCAGAGCCAGGAGTCTAGAGAGGAAAACCAGGCACCGCTAGAATCAGACCCAATAGCTGGTTCTTTCTCTTAGGTGATCACCTCTCCAGGCCTCAATTTCCTCAAGTGTAGACTGAAAAGACAGAATCAGATGATATTCAATGGACATTGCTCCTCCAAAGGTATTTGATTCTGTGAAAAGTCAGTGAAATTTAGTAATCTTATGCTATGTGGAAACACGCTGGGGAGTCTCTCTGGCATCGAGGATGAGAACCCACTTGGAAAGAAACATATTTCACTTTGTTTGTTAGAGGAGCTTCACAAATGGGAAGGGACCTAAGGGTGTACTCAAATGTGTGTGTGAAGAAGCAGCATCACAAAAAGTGAGCAAATGAGAATAAGTCTCTAATCCTGCCTGTGAGCAGCACTGCTGTGTACGTTGATTCCTATTGATTGAGCTGATCTTGCTGCTGCTGTGGTGTGGCCACCATGATGAATGCAATCAGCCCAGTAAGTAACTGCACGGGGATTCTCCTTACCAACCGCGTCTGACCCCAGTCCCAATGCCTGATGCTTTCTCTGTGTCTTCAGGCTCAGCGACGGGCTTGGTCTGCTATGGCAGAATATCAGGCTGTCATTTTTCCAAACACCGCTATGGGACCTGCACCAATAGTGGGATCATGGAGCACAGAGGAAAATGTGTTCATCATTTGCTTTGAGATCTAGAGGAGAACTTTTATTACTCCTTTACCTTGTCTTCAATTTCTTCCCTTATTCCTAATAAAGTCTTTGTAGCAAGTTTGTGTTTGTACCTGTTTGGTGTTTAATGCACCTCTTAGTCAAGACTCTTTGGGATGCAAGCACCAGAATCCTAAATTAAGCTTTTTAAGCAAAATACAACTCCAAATTCTAAGAATATCAAGGACAAACATTGGCTTCAGACACAAACTGATTTACAAGCACAAATTATGCTGCCAATTTCTCCTTCTACTTCTCTGTCTTTTCACTCTGCTTCACTTTGATTGGATTCACTCAAACGTAACTCCCATGTGTTAGGAAAAACAGTCATTATCAGCTTTCAGTTTACACAATCATAACATCGCTACTTCTTAGGGAAAAAACCACCATGTTCTTTCCTGAAGTGTTGGAGTTTCATTGAACAGACCCAGGTCACACATCTGCCTTTGAAGACCTGGGGTTGTCACAGCTCTATTGAAAAAAATTTAATTGAGATTGGAATGAACAGTTAAGAAAGCTGTAATGGGCCAGGTGTGGTGGCTCATACCTGTAATCCCAGCACCAAAGAAATGGTTCCAGACCGGGGGCAGTGGCTCACGCCTGCAATCCCAGCACTTTGGGAGGCTGAGGCAGATGGATCATCTGAGGTCAGGAGTTCGAGACTAGCCTGGCCAACGTGGTGAAACCTCGCCTCTATTAAAAATACAAAAATTAGCCGAGAGTGGTGGCACATGCCTGTAATCCCAGCTACTTGGAAGGCTGAGGCAGGAGAATCACTTGAACCTGAGAAATGGAGGTTGCGGTGAGCTGAGATCATGCCATTGCACTCCAGCCTGGGTGACAAGAGCGAAACTCCATCAAAAAAACAAAACAAAACAAATCCTGTAATGAGTACAACGAAAAGCATAGGAGCACCTCGCTGCGACAGACTCATCATCAATATTTTCCACCCATGCCAGGGAAAATCTTGATTTCATATTCATAAAGTTGTCTTCACACAAACAAAACGCAGATTCCTCAACTGTATTCTGAAAGATGCACCCTTGAGACAGGAGAATAGGGAAATAGGATAATCAAGGGTTAAGGCATAAGGAAAAGAACACCAGGTGCAGCCAGTTCCAGGCAAGATTAGGCAGCACACCAAATTCTTTGAGCTTAATAAAAACACTAAGTGGGGGGCTCTTGAGCCACTTGCTTGAACTGGCTCCCACTCTGTGGTGTGTCAATAAATCTGTACTTTCGTTACTGCATTCTCATGTTGCTTTGGTTTGTCTTTCGTTGCTTTGTTCTTTTGTTGCTTTGTTTGTACGTTTTGTTGAATTATTTGTTCAATGCACTAAGAATCTGGACAACTCACAGTCAAGATCTTCCATCTGGTAACACTCTTGTGTTCCCTTAAAACTGCAGAGGACCTGATTCTACCTGAAAATACAGTTTTAAAGGGGCACCGGGAAAACAGAAGTGAGGGAAAAGCTATCGAAGTAATCTGCGTCCCGGCTGGTGCTGCAGGGCGCTGAGGTTCTGATACTCAGAAAGTGCTGCACATCAGCCAGTGAGCAGGAAACCAGGTCTGCGGAAAGGGAATGAACCAGGAGTTGAGCGCCCTCTGAGATGCTCAGAGCAATTACCTGGAAGACCACAGCGCCCCCTGTTGTCCTGCCTCCAACTGCAGCCTCCCCACCAGGCACAGCACACGTTGGGTATGTACCTTCCTGAGCCTGTCTTTCTCCTCTCCTCCAAGAGGACAGGGTCGCTACCGGTGTCCCTGAGGCCAGGCTGACATCTTGCTGAGGTGTGATGTGACCCTTCCTGTATCTCTTCTCTTTCCTTCTCTAGGCACCCATTGAACCTTGAACACTAGTTCAACATATCCTGCAAATAGCCTATGAGAACATGACCACAAAGGCCCAGGAAGGATTCCAGCGTGAGCCCCAGAGCCCCGGGAAGTATTCTAGCGTGAGCCCCAGAGTCTTTATTTTACTTTAAATTTAGTAGTGCTAGTTTGTGATTCCACAATACATTTTTTGAATAAAAATATGTCTGTTCAAGCCTTGGCTACTCTTATTGGGTGGTACTGGTAAAATGCCCCAAGAACCCTTACAGTGACAGAGAGACCATAGTTTGCAAAGGAAGAAATAGTGTTTCAAGTGGATTATTCACCATTCTTGAATAAAACAATATAATGAGTCTAGACACAGCTGTGACCACCAACACCAACCACAAATGCCCAGCACCCAGGAGAAGGAAGCAGGTGTTGTCCACATCCAATCCATGCAGATTCCGAGCAGGTCTCAGTCCCAGACTGAGGCTCTGCCTGTGTAAAGGGGCGGCTCAGGGTTCCAGGCACCCCACTGAGACAATGCACAGCTGGGGAACCTACTGCAGACCTCAAGGAGGACACAGTGGGTTGGTGTCTGACAAAATAAATGCTCCCAGATCTTCCCCCTTGTGTAGACAGTGAAGGACACATATTATGATTCAGGGGGTGAAAAACAAGCCACCTTCCTTGGGTTCCTGTCACTGCCTTGGAGTTGGAGTCATGTGGTCCTTGAACTAACTGCAAATTATTCCTAACTGTCCACTGGGCCAGGATCACTTCATTTTGGGGCAGCTGCCCTTCACCCAGAAGTCCACCTGGCTCACTCCTCCAGCTCCTGGGGTCTCAGCTAAAACATCCCTTGGTCACTGAAATCTTTCTTGATTTCCCAACTTAAGATTGCCACAAGTTCCCCTGGATACCTCCATCCTCCTTGTTCTCTTTATTTCTAACTGTAGCATTTCAAACCATTTCGCATCCTATACATTTCACTTATTCTCGGTAACATTTCTCTCTCTGTGCTAGAAGGGAAGCTGCATGTTTTGCTCATTGTTGTACCACAGTGCCCAGATGACTGCCTAACACATAGCTGGGGATCAACAAATTAATTCTGAGTTATTAATTATCCCCAACATCACATACTATTACAAAATTGCATTATTATTACTCAACTTCATAGAAAAAAAGCTGAAACCTACAGAAGAAAAAATTCTGTATGTCAGTTCATGTGACAGCAGACCTTTCAAAAACTAAAATCTTTTAAGAATGAAATATAGGAGAATATCACTGGTAAAATGTGGCTTTAAGTAACATTAGGACTTTAGAAAGAAGAGATCATTTTGTCTTGGAGTGGCAAGGACAGATTTTATGGTGTATCTTAAACCGGAACATAAAGATGTTTACAACTGAATAGATTAAAAGGAGGGTTAGAGAAGAACGTTTGCTGGAGATAATGGTATCAGGGACAGAGATATGCCAGGTCAGGGTCTAAGTCTGCTGGATTTGGAGGAATTGATGTTGAAAGAGAAAAGGATGAACTGGTAATTCGAGCTGATATTCTCGGAGGCATCCATCAATTTAAGGGAAAGGGGCAGACGAGGATGGAATATCCCTGCTCCTCTGTGTTGATAAAGGCATACTGGTAGAACCACATTAAGATTCTGCTACTGCAGTCTAGGGTGCGCGATGACAGCTGCAAACACTAAGGACAGAGAATGCAGGGAGAGGTGTGAGGGTCTCCAAACAATGGGAGCAACTTGCTTAGCCTCAAATAAAACCCAAAGCTTATTACTGGAATGCACACACACAGAACATTTATGGAATGCCAGTGAGATATTTCTACCTTAAATAAGCCACTCATACAGTAGAAGAAAATAAAGAATAAGTCAAATATGAAGCTAACCCTTTGAAATGTCATTTTCCAAGAAGAAAGTACCCTTTTCTCTGTGGGAGGATAGGAGCCTACCTTCCATAAATACAAATTGGGAAACACAGATGGCCCAATCACACTGCTCAACCTTCCTGCCAGCAACCTCCAGTACTTTTTCACCAGCTCACCCTAGGGCTTAAACTCTCCTGTGTTTGGCCTCAAGAGAGTTGAGTTCAACTGCTCTCCCTATTGCAAAGAGTTAACACCTATTGGGACATTCCTCAACACCAATTCCTTGGCATTTCATAAAAGTATCTGGTGCAATTTTTCTTTTAAACAAAGGATACTGCCTCGTTATTGTTGCTGTTGATATTCTGTGCCTGTTTATATGATATTCTGAACTCTGTTTACAACAAGAATGTAAGAGATAAGAAAAGTACTTGTTCCCTTTTCTGAACTTTGGCATATTTTGTCTTTTGCTGCTAAAAGCCCCGTAACTCACGAAGAAACTTAAGATTATGAGAAGTTATTTTTCACTCTAATATTTTCCAGAAGGTCACTCTCACTACCTCTCAATGCTTTGAGATCCTGGATAACAGTGAACCCCCTCCTCTTTGCCCAAGCCCTCCACCCACGGCCACCCACTAACTCCTGCCATCACCTGGAATTCCTCCATTTCTGCACATCAACTATGAAGCTCCCCATCCCTGACTCACCTGCTGTCCTTCCAGCCTCTCACATAGCTGCCCCTCCTTCCCTGCTGATCAGCATTAACAAGGTTATTCTGCCCCGGGGCTGTGCATGGGAATCACCAGGGAGCCTGATGCCCCAGCTGCCCTTGGTACACCTGTCATCTGGTCTCAAGCTGCCCCGGGACACTTGTCATCTGCTCTCATCTCCTGTCCTTGTGCACTGCACCATCTTTGCCTCAGGTTCTCTGAGTCTGGTATTTTTGATGTTTTTCAGATCTCTTAATGGGGTCTTGAATTCAAATGTCAGAAACCAACAACAAGCTAAGTTAACATTTTGACTCCTATATCTTGGAATTGAGGAGGAATTCTAGCTTCAGGAATTGCTTGATCCAAGAAATCAAAGCATGAGTTACACTGTTGTCTTCACCTTTTTTTTCCCTTTGTTTCTCTTGAACTTACTTTGGGCTCTCTCCCCAGGTGACAACCATGTGAATCATCGTCATCTCTCTATGACTTTTGTAGCTAATCTCCTGGAGAAAATCCCTACTTCTTCCCATGTTGTTCCAGCCAACCCCCAAGTCCCGTGGCCTCCTCTGAGTCTGTCACTGTGGGGAGAGGTTGACACTCCACCTGGCTCCCACACCACCCCTGCTCTGAACAGGAAGAATTTAAACTAAGAATGGGTGACGGGGGTTCTTCAGTCACTCCAAAGAGTCCACAATTCCACGCTGCCATTAAGATGGGCTCTTTGTGACACTTTGGAAATAAGGTGAGAGGGTTCTGTCCTACTTCAACAATATTATAGAGAGGCTGAGATTTACACACACAAAAAATGCACACATTCAACTTCTCACCAAGACCGTGCCTTCTGTTCATCTAGGACTGTGCGAAAAGACACCACAGAAAGTAGTGGATTGAAACAGCATGATCACGTCTTCACTCACACATTTGCAATTGGGGTTTGGATCCTTCCACGGGCATAAGAGGAGAGGTTCTGCTGAGATCTGAAAATTTCAGGGCCAGGACACTCGTGCACAGGTGGCAGGTGGTGTTGGCTCAGCTGGAAACTCTGAGAAAGCTGAAGGATGAGACCCTGTGATGTGCTGGGGTCAGATCAGGCCAGCTCATGAGGGAGGAGTTTTTGTGTGATAATTCTTAAACTGTCTATAGCTGGGAGCATTTTAACCACAGAAATTTACAAACATTGCAAATCAGAGTTTTCTTTTTTCCTAGAAAGCTGGTTGCTCAGTGTTCTCTAGCCCATCCTTGCAGGTGGGCTCAGTTCCTCTCCCTGTGGGATGCTTAGTCTTCCTCCAAGCATGGTATCTGGGCTCCAAAGGCACCAGCCCTCTAAGCACATGTGGACTGCTAAAAAAAATTCAAAATGTCGTGAACTAAGTTACTCTAATATTGCCTGGAAGGTCACCCTCACTACCTCTCAGCGCTCTGTCCTCCGGGACAACAGTGACCCTTCATCTTCTTTGTTCCAACCCTCCACCGCATGGCCACACCCTAACTTCTGCCACCATTCGGAATCCCCTGTGGAGGCTAAGAAGTCCAAATCAAGGTGGCAGCAGAATCAGTGTCTGGTGAGAACCAGCTTTTTGGTTCATATACAACATCTTCTTATTGTGTCTTCATCTGGTGGAAGGAATGAAGGAGCTCTCTGGGACCTCTTCTACAGGGGCACTCATTCCATTCATGAGGACTCCACCATGCTGACCTCCTCATTTCCAAAAAGACCCTTTCTTTTAATGCTATCATCCTAGGGTCTAAGACTTCAACATATGAATTTCAGAGGAAAAATGTCTCAGACCACAGCACCATCCAAAGAGAGATAGAAAAAGACACCAGTTCACTAGCGCCTGATCCCAGAAAACAGCATGGCATCTAGTTCCATGTAGTCTGTTGGTCAAAATGTTACCCATCCTAGACCTAACAGGAGAGAACAGAAACCTTTCTTTCTATAAAAAATAATAAAAGAATTTAGGGAACATATTTTAAAACAGCTCAAGGAAGCTATTTCCTTATGGTTTATTGTAAAATAAACCTGCTGCAATCCTCAACACCAGACACACAGACAGCTTGTGAGAGGCGGCTGGGAAAGGCAGACAAAGGGCAGGGACTTGGAGCTCCTACCTGTCCCAGCTGGATCTGCAGGCCCGGGAGTGACTGTGTGGCACAGGCACCACCAGGACCCTCCCTGCAGGACAGTGGACAAAGGGCTGAGGGGAGGGACACCACCATCCACTCTGAGGAGCTGGGAGGTGGAGGGTCCTCCTCAGAGCTCACCTCTGCGTAGCCCCCGCTGTGCCCCATGGTAACACGCATGCTGTGTTCCATGACTACCCTTTCCTGCTGGGTCAAAACCATAACCCCAGGGCCCCGCCCAAGGTCCACACACACTGTCTGCTGGGGCCACCAGACACCATAAACATGTGTGAGAATATGTGTGCTGCTCCTGGAAGCTTCTCTCCTCTCACACCTACAACCCCACCCACAGCTTCTCCAGAATGTTTACCCCAGCCTAATGATGTCAAGGTTTTTATTGAGTCTAGACTCGCTTCAATATTCCCTAAAATTCAAATGCGTGTGTCTGAAAAAACAGCTTCAGCTGCATCTACATATAGTGTCCACAGTGTGGACACTGATTGTCTACACTGGCTGCAATCACTGGAAAAAATCAGGCTGGGGTTGGGGACTATGGATCAACATGGAAGTGAAAGTACTGTAAAAAATCTGTAGACATAACACCTTTTTTGTTTAAACCACAAAATTCTGCCAAGGTTCTGGTGCAGCCCAAAGAGAAAGGTGAAAAGGACCACAGGGAAGAATCTCTCTGTTCTAATTTGAGTTTTGGAGTTTGAGAATCACCTGCGGGAGGATGGCGACAATGCCTAGGTGTGACCTCAGCGCAGACTGAGACCCTTCTGGGGCTCTGGGCTGCCGAGTCCTGACCGCAGTCTATGGAGGAGGCAAGGATGGGAGCATGGCCATGAGGGAGACACAGAGCAACGTCCCAGCAGATGGTTCCCAGTCCTGCAGCCAAGAATGGCAGGGAAGGAGAGCACAAGACTGGGTTGGGGCAGAGAAGGCCACCCCTCCAGGGACAGGAGCCACCCGTGACTCTGAGCCAGCTGGAGGGTCTCTGTTCTCCCTCAGCTCCCCAAATCGCTCTGGGTGCTGCATGTAAAGCCACCGCCTGGGCCAGGACACACGGGCAGGTCTGCTGCACCCGCTCTCCCTCTTCCTGGACAGTGACCAGGTTTCTGCAGGACACACTCATGGCCCCTCCAGCACTGTTGTAAAGATTCTGGGCATCAATTTGTCGTCAGTGGGCTGACAAAGTCCCCTTGCAGTTAAAAACCAAATCCTCACCACTAGTGTCCTAGCCACTTTGCAGTAGGCCCTCCATGTACTGGGACATGGTGTCTTTGGAGACAGCTATACCCCACTTGTCCATTCTGCAGGGGCCCACAAATGCCATCACCCAGAAGCCCTTCACATCCATTGGGGCCACAGCAGGATACAGTCTGTTGCTGGACCAGCAGGTGATTCTAGACCATGCCCGGGTCCCGGGTTCTGAGTTTCATGGGGAGGCCCTCACTACCGTCCACCACAACTCTCAGAGCCTCTGGACAAAGCACACCTGTCCTAACTATGAGCTTCTGCACGTGTAGTCTTCCAGGGACCGTAGCTCCTTATGCCCTGCGTGGAGCAGGTGTTCTCTTTACGTGGCATTTCTTCACTATCTCCTTTAGAACCACACCTATCATTGATTCAGATGGAGGCTCCCACCTCAGGACATCACAACACGAGGGTGGGTTAAGGGAGACTCATTTAGTCCATCGTCCCCAAGTCACCAGCCTCCTCAAGCAGCACGGTGGCCTCCTAAAGTCATGGTTATTAATGTCTCTGGATGTGCTATGGACACCCAAGGCACCAAGGTCCTTCCAAGGGCCGTCACTTTTTTAACTCTCAACCCCATGGCCACCACTGCCTCATCACAATTGGGCTAGACCCACTTTGGTGCCTATCTTGGTGATCACAGAAGAGTTAGCTTCTTTTTTCCCTTACAGATAACATCATTTACATGTTCTCCAATAATGAGACCTCCCCATATCATCACAAGACATCCACCATCTCAACATCAAACATGTACTGAACAATGGACTGTGGATGGATAGTAAACTACGATCTTCTGAGGATAACCCCCCAGGCCCACTGGCACCCAGCAGGACCACGAGGCTTTTGCTACACCACACCTCTCCATTTCACATGCAGCTTCTGGCAAAAGCTCCCTTTTTTACCGGTTTTAAAGGTTAGCTAATATTTCCCACTTACTCCTCCTGGCAGGAAGTAAGGATTATTGCTCCAGAACCCACCGAGGGTGCAGTCAGAGGCAGTAACGAGGAGAAGAAGCCTTCAAACTAGAGACACCAACTACGTCAGGCAAAGACCATATGGAAGTGCCATCACCAAACGTGGCCATGGGGGAGAAAGGCTCCAAGGAAAAGTGGGTGCCAGCCAACCCCATCATCAGTGTCAATATAGAAGCACTGGGAAGAAAGCCCTGAGTGACAAGATGTCAGTGTTCTCTATGATTGGCCTTGCTTGGTATCTTATGTACAAATGGCTTGTGGGGTAGCTGTTTAACCCAGGCCTGGCAGCCTAGAGGGCTGCTGGAACAAGACAGCCCTAGTCAGAATTTGTACCCCAGACTGGAAAACTGGGGAATTCCCTGTAAGCCCTGTTAGAGGGGCTGTACCCCAAATACAACCTGACCTGTGTCCAAGGTGGGCAACTCAACCCTTAGATATTGAATGGGTCCCATGGCACCAATGCTTAAACACCAGCAGCCCTCACAACCACAGATCGTGTTTTAAGGATGAGGAGGTAGTTCTCTGGATGCATAGGCTTCAATCCAAATGGGCTAACAATGCCGCAGCACACACCCAGACAGCAGCCTGAAGAGTTGGAGCCTTGCATTCACATAAAGCATCCAGACAGGATCATGGGCTAAGGGATACGCCTGTTCTCCGATGGGTACCAGTTAAGGATGGAAACTCCTATGCCTCCCAGAAAGCACCACTCAAGCTTTTGCTAAATGCTTCTCTGAAGACCCACAAGGGCTGAGAGGCTGTCCAACACCAGCAGTAAAGTGAATGCCCAGACTCCCACTTCCCTTCTTGGGTGGCCATCTGGAAAGGCCACTCCCACCCTGATGGCTAATGCCTCAGACCAGTTCCTGGCCCAGATGATCCTAGACAATTGTTTAACCTTAAACTGTTCATTGGCCAAGCAAACAGGTGATAGTCACCTCTGGGGAACCACATGCCGCGTGTACATCCAGTACTCAGGAGAACCCAAAAATGTCTGTTCCACATAGCAACAGAAGCCCAGGTAGCACTCAGTCTCACCTGGGTGTTCTCCAACATCCCAGCTCAGCCAAATGGCTTTCATTAGTTTTTATGGTTAGACCTCAGGTCCTCGGGACACTGCTTTAGAAACACATTCCAAATCCTCCTCTGTGTGCAGGTGGCATTCCTATCCTAGTCTCTTTGCAGGGCGTATACTATGATACGCAGCCAGGTTGTCCCAGAGGCTTTAAATATTCCCTTGGTGCAGGTAGTTCAGCTTAGCCACAGCCAATGCATCACAGGGTCAACTGTGTTAGGAGCCATTGAGAATCCATAGTTGGTTGCTGCCTGGGCCTGGCCAGGGCTGACCAAGGTAGATGAGAGGTTCCTCTGTGGAGTTCTACTTTAACCTCACCTTCCCACCAAATTTCTCAACTGTCCTTGCCACCACAATTATTTAATGGACCCAACAGAAAGTAACCCCGGAAATTAGGACACCTCATCCCAAAAGACCTTTAAATAGGGGAAGTCCACTTGTGCACGGCTGCTCCTTGCTATAGAAGACCTGGGACAGAGGACTGCTGTCTGCCCTCTCTGGTCACCCTGCCTAGCTAGAGGATCTGTAAGTACTACAAAACTTAAACTTTACACTGAGTTTTCATCATTGAAGCTATGCCTCCAATCTGACCTCTGACTGTGGGGCCGCCCCAGAGGGACCCAGCGGGTGAATCCCTGCTAGGAACGTCTGTCCGGACCTCTGGTGACTGCTGGGGACGATGGCTTCCAGCTAACTTAATAGAGAAACTCAAGCAGTTTCCTTCTAAACACACATGTCCTGGTTGACATGTCCAGTAGAGACTATCACAGGTCTTTGGAACATTCTTTTGAGAGAAACCTATTTAGGTCCTTGGTCTGTCTTTCAATCAGGTTGTTTGATTTTTGCTATTGAGTTGTTGGAATTCCTTATGTATTCAGATATTTGCCCCTTCTGCCATGTAGGTTTTGCAAATATTTTCTCTCATTTTCTGGGTTATCTTTTCACTCGGTTGATTGTTTCCTTTGCTGTGCAGATGCTTTAGCGTTAAATGAAGCCACACTTGTCTATTTTCCCTTTTATTGCCTGTGCCTTTGGTGTCATAGCCAAGAAATCATTACCTACATCAATGTCAAAAGCTTTATCCTTCTATACACTTCTAGTAGTTTATGGTTTCAGTTGTTACATTTAGGTTTTCAATTCATTCTGAGTTGATGTTTCTACATGGTGTGAGATAAAGATTTAAATACATACATATATAAAATCATGAGGTAGTGTACACTATAAATATACAATTGTTAATTGTTACTCAAGTCTAAGTAGAGGTGGAAATAATAAACTTTCTTTTTTTTACTTAAACCACTCTGTGTCACTGAGCTGATTTCACCTTTAGCCTGATAAAATCATTGTCCTCTCCACCCTGATTCCTACAGGAGACTACTCACCCCATAACCTCAAAAACCTCTTCATGAGGATGGTAAGTCACCTGAATCCTGAAGTGAATTACTCGCTATTCCATTGGAACTCATATAGGACACCAGAATCTAGACCTCCAGAGAACAGCAGGACCCATCTTCAGAAAATAAGAAGCATTTGTTCCCTGAGCCTGTTGAATCAAAGTGCAATTTCTATTCTTTTTGGAATGTTAAAAAGTAAATCATAATATTTAAGCAGGTGAACCCACGAGTAACATAGCAGGGTCTTTCTTGTCATTATTAGCTCCAACCTAGCACAGACATTAAAGGTACAGATGTATACTAGCATGAAACTGGGAGAACAGGAGCATTCGAGCAACCTTGAGACCAATGGGCCTCTCTTGTAAAATGCACACCTCCTCTCACTGAGATTGAGGAAGGTTTCTTGTCTCCGAGCCTTCTCCCAGTAGAGCTATAAATCCAGGCTGGCTCCTCCCTCCCCACACAGCTGCTCCTGCTCTCCCTCCTCCAGGTGACCCCAGCCATGAGGACCCTCGCCATCCTTGCTGCCATTCTCCTGGTGGCCCTGCAGGCCCAGGCTGAGCCACTCCAGGCAAGAGCTGATGAGGTTGCTGCAGCCCCGGAGCAGATTGCAGCGGACATCCCAGAAGTGGTTGTTTCCCTTGCATGGGACGAAAGCTTGGCTCCAAAGCATCCAGGTGAGAGAGGCAGGCATGCAGAGCTGCTAAGTCTAGAGGGAAGGACGGGAGAGAGGTTCCAGAGTTGGGTCTCAGCAGTCTATGTCACTGAGGTGGCTTCACTTAGAATCTCTGGGCATTGATTTTCTCATCTAGAAATTGAACAGAGAGCCAAATAAACCTGAGAAACTTTATTTCTCCAAAGACTTGATTCCAAGAAACATCTGTGAAATTCACTAAGTTTAAGATATGAAGAGACAGACTAGTTATTTCTGGATCTAAACAAGTAGACTTAGTTGTAAAGAGAACATTTTACTCTACAGAAGAGCTTTTAAAAACTGCAGCCAAGCCTGAGGGTATGTTCAGGTGTGTGTGTGATGGGGCAGGAATGCAAAAATGAGAGCAAAGGAGAATGAGTCTCAAATTCTGTGTGACAAGCACTGCTCTGCGTGTTTATTCCTATCGACTGAGGTTGTTCGTGCTAACGGCTGCAATGCAGCCAGCATCACCTGTCAGCTAGCATGTGACTTCCCCGAGATTCTTTTTCTTACCCACTGCTAACTCCATACTCAATTTCTCATGCTCTCCCTGTCCCAGGCTCAAGGAAAAACATGGACTGCTATTGCAGAATACCAGCGTGCATTGCAGGAGAACGTCGCTATGGAACCTGCATCTACCAGGGAAGACTCTGGGCATTCTGCTGCTGAGCTTGCAGAAAAAGAAAAATGAGCTCAAAATTTGCTTTGAGAGCTACAGGGAATTGCTATTACTCCTGTACCTTCTGCTCAATTTCCTTTCCTCATCTCAAATAAATGCCTTGTTACAAGATTTCTGTGTTTCCACCTCTTTAATGTGTGATATGTGTCTGTGTCAAGACACTTGGGATACACGTACCAAAACGCAAAATCAAATTTTTGAACAATATAAAATTCCAAATTCTAGGAATTTCAAGCAGGAGTTTGGGCTTCAGATCCAAATTGAAAAGAAGGCCCATATGACACCACTGATTTCCCCACCCACTGCTCTGCCTTTTCACCCTGCCTTATTTTCTCTGGATCCACTCTCAAAGAGCTCGCGTGTGCTGGGCAAACAGTCGGTGTCAGCTTACATTTCATGCAGTCACAAAATCATTACTTCTCCGGGAAAAAAAAACCATCCTCTGTGCTAAAGAATTGGAGTTTCATTGAACAATGTCAGATTGTACATTTTCCTTTTAAGACATAGGGTTACATGAGATCCACGGAAAAAACTTTCATTCAGAGGGAAATGGGTTGTTAGCAAAGGCGGGATACATGGAACAGAAAGCACAGCATCTCACATTGGCACGTCCTCATTAAGAGGACCCTCCAGCCACGTCTACTAAGACCTGGATTTCACAATCATACAGTTGTCTTCACACCCAGAAAACACACACACACAAATGCTCCACCGCACTTTGCAACGCGCACTCTCTTGTGTTACCCTAAAGCTGCTGAGAACCTGATTCTGCCTGGAAAATACAGCTTCAGAGGGGATAAGGGACGAGGGAGGGAAAGCATTTCACCAGGAACATGGTAGCGTTCTTGTTGCTGCAGGGGGCTGAGGCAGCCCAGGGGCCCAGGTACCCACTGAGACACTGCATGGATATGGAAGCCCACCAAGAACCCTGGGAGGACAGAGTGCGTAATGATCCCAGACTTCTTCTTGTTTAGATGATGAAGGACACAAATAGGGAATCACGGTGTGAAGCCCAGGAACCTTCTTTGGCTTCCTGTGACTGCCATGGACTTGGAATCATGTGGTCCCCGAATTAACTTTCCATAGTATTCTGAACTATGAACTGGATCAAGATGGCTGCATCTTGGGGCATCTGCCAGAGGTCCACCTGACTTTCTCCCAAGCATCTGAGGTCTCAGCTAAAACTTCACTTGGTCACTGAGGTCTTTTCTGATCTCTCAACCTTAAATTGCAACAAGATCCCCCTGCTGACCTCCATTCTCCGATTTTCCTCATTGCTAACTATAGAATTGAAACCATCTCACTCCCTGTACACTTCACTTACTATACGTAACATTTGCCTCCTTACTCCAGAAGGGAAGCTGCATGTTTTGCTTATTGTTGTACCAGAGTGCATGGATGACTGTAACATAAAGTAGGGGGTTAATAAATTAATTCTGATTACATTAACTAATTGCATCTAATAGCACATAACAATATAAAATGATTTATTAATTGTTATTCCTAAATTCCACAGGAAAAAGCTAAATTCAACAGAGGTAGAGCAGTCCATTTTCTAGACCCTATGACAGCACACCTTTAAAAAACAAAATAAATAAAAGTATTCAAGGCTGAAACATGAAAAAACATCATGGGTACTATTTGGCATCATGAAGCTTTAGGACCTTAGAAGAAGCAGGCCATTCCGGCTAAAGCAGGCAAAAAGATTCCATGTGAATCTTCAAGTACAACATCAATATGTTTAAAACATGGAATGACTAAAAGCAGAGGTAGAATGAAATGTTTGGTGGACAGAATGCTATCAGGGCAAGAGCTATGCAGGATGAGGGTGGACCTCCACTGAATTCAGAGGAATGGATGTTGCCAGAGAGAAGGACGGAGTAGAATTCATGCTGATGTGCTGAGAGGCATCCATCAACTCAAGGGAAAGGGGCAGATGAGGACGGAGCCTCCCTGCTCCTCTGTGTGGATAAAGGCACACTGGGAGCACCACATGTGGCTTCTGCTACTGCAGTCTAGGGTGGGCGATGACTGCTGCAAACTCTAGGGACGGAGAATTCAGGGAGAGGTGTGAGGGTCTCCAAACAACCAGGGCAACTTGCTTAGCCTCAAATGAGGCACAACACTGTTTACTGGGATGCACATACACTCTAGGATTAGTGATGACATGCAAGAACTTTTCTACCGGAAATGAGCCATTCATGCGGCAGGACAAGGAAATAAGGAATAAGTTAGATGCCTCATCCCTTTAAATGTAACTACTCAAGGGGACAGCAGCCCTGTCTCTGTAGGCAGGCAGGAGCCTAACTCCAATAAGCACAAACTAGCAAACGCAGATGGCCCAATCACACTGCAAGACTCCCACTACCAACCTCCAGTGCATTTCCGCTAGCTCACCCAGGCCTTAACCTTCCCGCTTTGGCTTCAGGAAAGTTGAGGCCAACGGCTCTCCCTGTTGCAACGTTCTGACTCCCATTTCAACAGTCTTCAATAAGTGCTTCCTTCACATTTTTAAAAGGTCTTGGTTAATTTTTACTTGTACAAAAAATGAAATAGGTTTCTTTTGCTGTTACTGTTCTGATTTTCTAAACTCGGCTTATAAGCAAAACCAGAAGGAAAGAGATCTGAAAAGAACTCATTCCATTTTAGGAATATCTGTATTTTTTCCGTGTTCACGAAAAAAACAAATAACTCATGAAGAAACTAAGGGAAAGAGCTCACTCTAACATTTCCTAGAAGTCAACCTCCCAACATCTCAATTCTGTGTCCTCCTGGATAACAGGGACTGCCACCTCGTTCCAGCCTTCCACCCCATGGCTACTCCCTAACTCCTGCACCACCTGGAATTCCTCCATCTCTGAACATCACTTATGAAATTCCTGTCCCTGACACACCCATTGTCCTCCAGCCTCTCACATAGCCGTCCCTCCTTCTCTGCTGATCAGCATCAATAAGGCTGTTCTCCCCCAGGGCTGTGCATGGGAATCATCCAGGAGTCTCTTCTCCAGGCTGCACCCAGGACACCTGCCATCCGCTCTCATTTCCTATTCTTATGCACTGCACCATTTTGCCTCAGCTTCTCTTATCTGGGTAATTTTTGTTGTATCTTTTTCAGGCATATTAGCGGAGTTGTGCACTCAAATTTAAGAAACCACAACAAGCTGAATTAACATTTTGAATGCCCCACCTGAACAGTGGGTCACACCTGTAATCCAAACACTTCGGGAAGCCAAGGAGGGTGGATCATGAGGTCAGGAGTTCAAGACCAGACAGCGCAACACGGTGAAAACTGTCTCTACTACTAAAAATAGAAAAATTAGCCGGGTGTGGTGGTGGGTGCCTGTAATCTCAGCTACTCAGGAGGCTGAGGCAGGAGAATCGCTTCAACCTGGGAGGTGGAGGTTGCAGTGAGCCAAGATCGCA